>NC_000008.11:138735000-139037078 GCF_000001405.40 Homo sapiens | reverse complement strand
ACATGATTTCCACTTTCTGGATCTTTCGTTTTCCACATAAAAAAAGAAGGGGTGAAATCAGATGAACTCAAAGTCTCCTTCCAGTGTAGACACTCAGGAATTCTAGGATTCACTATCTCTTATCATGGATTAATGGCATTATTATAAGTTCTTATTACTTCTGAAGGGACTTATAGGACTTAATTCAGAGTTTGAACTTTATTTATTTATTTTTTATTTTATTTATTTATTATTTTGAGACAAAGTCTCGCTCTGTCGCCCAGGCTGGAGTCCAGTGGCACGATCTTGGCTCACTGCAACCTCTGCCTCCTGGGTTCAAGAGATTCTCCTGCCTCAGCCCCCTGAGTAGCTAGGATTACAGGCACGCGCCACCACGCCTGGCTAATTTTTGTGTTTTTATAGAGACGGGGTTACACCATTTTTTAGACCACTGTTTGGCAATATTTTTCCCTCTTACAAAGCACATGACAAATGAAGTCAAGTTTAGACTCCAATCCCATGAGTTAACTCAGATTTTTAAACAAAATATGCCGGAAGATAAACAATCCTATCTTTTATGAATTAAAGAGGATGGAAAGAGATGACATACATGTATTTATGAAGATTTTACATCAGAACACTTTATAAAAGAAACTACTTCACCCTGTGGGCAGGATGTCAAGAGTCCACGAGGGAAAGTCCATATCCTGGAGCTACTGGCAATGGTGAGTCGTGGCAACCCAAGCCGCACAGGGCTGGTGGAGGTGCAGTTATTGCAACACAGAGGAGGGTAGTTGTGATCGTTAGTCAAGGAACACAGCCAACTTGCAGAGATCCTTCAGGGAGAGTGAAAAGAGTGAGCACCCTGATTTGACCACCTGCCCTCCCTCTCATCTCTTGCTAGCACTCCCTAATAGCTAAATCTATCCCGGAAGCAGAGGGCATGCAGTCTATTGAAACGACCTATTCTGATCAGCACCCATGAGTTTAGGGCATGGTGGAAAAGGCAGAGAGTGCATGAGTTTGGAGCAGAGATAGAAAGTTTTCAGCATACAATCTTGAGAAGATATCAAAATGCAATCAAGAAGAATTTTATAGAGATAACCTTGAATTACTCTATTTATAAAGTATCTCGTTTGCAAACATCAGCATTTTAGCAAGTATTAGTCTTAAATTACTTGTGACACATTTCTAAATAATTTGAGGTACATCAAAGAATCCTCACTATGTTGTACTGGGAACATTACAGAGGGTGCAGAAAAGATCATTTAACTGGAACATATATGAACTGCTTTGTTCCTGACAATACTTCTAGAAAGTAAATATGTCAATCTGAAAAGAGTACAATGATCTAAAAAATACGATTTATGTGTAATATCATCTGCATATATTCTCTTAGGCACACCTTCCATTATAGGAAATAAGAAACAAGGTATATAACATACATTTACACAATTTTCAATTTAATGAATTCAAGGATTTTTATCCATCAGCCACATAAGCACCTGAGAACAATTGCAATCCTTGTTTTATCAGCAAAAGCATGATCACAGTAATGTGGTGCTGAATGATTTAGCCAAACCTGCCTACACTCAATGGACTAGATTAGTGGGGCATGGAGTCCAATTACTCACAATGCCTCAACCACGTTGTTCATCTATGACTTTCACTATGGGAAATTGCTCTTCAATTACATTTTAACCTCTGATTATGACAGAACCAAAAAAACTATTAGGTAAACGCTTCTTCCAGGAATCACTATAAGAGCTAGTTAAATTATCTACCAATTATATATGATCTATGAAATATATATACGTATGTAACATTTCATTATGCATTATAATTCTATGGACATGTCATAAACTACCCCAATATATGCATTTTATACACACACATGCATACAGACACACATTTATAGACACATTCTATGACTGTATAATGAACCACCCCAACATTTCGAGGTTTAATCTAACCAAAATAATTTATTTTCTTGAGATTCTGAAATTGGGGCAGAGCCGAAGGGGGAAAATTCACCTGTGGTAGGCAGAATAATGACCACCAAAATGCCCCCTTCTGATCCCAGAACCTGAGCATTTGGTGCAATATAAGTTCAGTGATTCTGTTATGAAATATGACATCAGGCTAGGGAGATTTGAGTGGGCCCAGTGTAGGTACATGAGCTCTTAACAGCAGAAGGGGTGGTGTGAAAAGTTCAAAGCCCATCTTTTTGCTAGCTTAAAGATGGAGCAGGCCATGGGAGAGGGAACTGAATTCTGCCAATGGTATGTCTACATGTCCGGGCAAGTGGATCTTTCTCAGAGCCCTCAGCAAGAAAAACAATCAATTCTTGTTTTTTAACCTTTTGAGATTCTAGGCAGAAATCTAGCTGAGCCATGCTGTACCTCAATTTCTGACCCAGGCAAACTGTGAGATAATAAATGGGTTTTAATTTGCTCGATGTGTGGCAATTCGTTATAGCAGCAAAAGGAGAGTAATACATGGTCCCTGCTCCATGGCATCTGCTGGGGTGAATCAACTAGGGCTGGAAGACACACTTCAAGATGGCTTTGTCTCATGGATGGCAAATTGCTATTGACTTCTAGCTGGGAGCTTAGCTGGGGTTGTCTTTCAGGACATTGTCTGTGTTTGATAATACCTTTCCATGTGGCTGTTGGGCTTTCCACAATACCATGCCTGGGTTCTCAAAGGGAGTGTTCCAAAAACAATCATTTCAACAGAACATACCCCAAAGAATATGTCCTTATGAAACCTCCACTCGCAAGACAAATGTCACATTGGCCATATCTAGTCAAATGGTCACGTTTGCCCTCAATGTTGGAGGAGACCACACAAGGATATGAATACCAGAAGGTGTGGCACATTGCAACCAAAATAACAGTTGGCCACAGTCCCCCTTCTAGTTCCCAATGATTCAGCCCTTTCCCACTTACAAAGATAACAATCACTTTTAGCCCAGAAACCCTCAAAAATCTCATCTCATAATGGCATCCTGTTCAGGCTTGAAGTCCAGGATATCATCATGTCAATCAGGTTCAGATGCTCGTAAGTTTCCTGAGGTACACCTGCTCTCATTCAGAAGTCCTGCAAACCAAAGACAAAAGTTATCTGCAGCTTCCCCAACACATCCACTATCAAAGTGAAGCAAGGAGAGGAAAACAACCAAATCGGAAAATGAAAGGCACATGGTGGTCTTTCATCAACAGCAGCTCTCTAGAGACACTAGATCCTTGCTTGGAGCCAAGTTCTGTGCTTGAAAGTGGTTCTCCATGGCTCTGGGCTCTTGACTCTATCCTCTGAGTCCTTATAGCCTTTGCATAAGTAATGTTTCATGTTTATAGCTGAGTAGCTTTCTCAACCTGCTTCTTGCATGTAAAATATTGAAGGCTCTGAGGTATCCTTTCATATTTTAAATTTCTCTGTTTCTTTTTCCTTTTCCATCAATACAAATTTCTTAAAATCTCTGTGGGTTTTCTATGACTCTAATTGGGGTTTACTTCATTAGACAAAAGCCTCCTCCTAAAGAATGCCTTCATTTCTCTCCCTGCCTTGTACTCAGCCTACAGTCTATGGGAAAATGTCATAAAGAGTCTTAGAAGCACTTCCATCTAGTTGAGAAGTTTTATGAGCTGTATTCTTATGATTCTTAGGGTCTGTTTGCCTAGCCAAGTTTAAAAGGCTCCACACTAAGTTTTTAAGATTCTTAGGGTCTGTTTGCCTAGCTAAGTTGAAAAGGCTCCACCCTAAGTTTTTGTGGTCATAACAAAAGGTCTAATGGTTCTACACTGGAACTGATCTTAACCTTGAAGCTATGCTTTATTGACAGCTCCTTGGAGTGGATGTTCACCTAGAGGCTGTTTCTTACATTGCAAATCTTTTACTAGGAGAAACTAGGAGAAACAATTTTATTTTTAAACCAAGCAATTTCTGGCTCCTGTACATTCTTCAAATTCTGCTTGAATATTGATCATTTCCTTCTTTCTATCACCTCACTCTTCCTGTACTTTATCATAGGCAGATTTTACAAAGTCATTTGGCATTTTCCATATTCTGCCTGAAAATCTCCAGGTGAGAGCTAAAAGATTAGGCGATAATGTTCTTTCGTCCATATTACATATATGACAGTTTCATTATGTTCTATGCTAGCACATGGATTAGATACCCTTTTGTCCAACCTCCTATTGCAATTTCTTTATTTTATTTTGAGCCCCCACCACCTAGTCCTAAAGCTGCCAAGATTTTGATTTTTGTAATGTCAGCAACTCATTTCTGATACCCACTTCTATTTTAACTATACCTGACTGCATAACCAACTACCCCAAATATCAATGGCCCAGAAAAAAGATAATCATTTTCTTATGATTCTGCAATTTAGGCAAGGCTAGGAAGGGGTGGGTCATCTCCCTCCACAAGGCTAGAGCTGAGGGATCTTCAAGGTGGCTGAGGGGTCTGTTTTCAGGATGGCTTCCTCATGTACCTGGCAAGTCAGTGCTGGCTGTTGGGTGGGACCTCAGCCAGAGCTGGCAGTCAGGTCTGCCACAGAGCCTCTCCAGGGGCTATGGTAACCATCTCACAGCCTGGCATCTGGGTTCTGAGAGGAAGCATCCCAAAGGTGAGTATTCCTGGAGACCAAGCCTCAGAGTGGACATTGCTGGCTGATGCTGCCTGAGCCTGCATTAGTCACATGGTCAAGAGTCAATGTGTAAGGAGATTACAAAAGTCACATGGGCCAGGAAGCACAGTTTGTTGGCTGTGTATGAATGGATACAGGGGGTGTTTGTGTGTGTGTGTGAGTATGTACATAGACAATCTACCAAGAAAATTTAAATTTGGGGACAAAAATCTTAGAGAAAAGAAAAAAATGAGGTGAACCCCAAACTGGATTGAGTGCTGCTGATTTTATTTTCATTTTTTATGTCAATGCAAATGACCAATAATAGCCAAGACAGTCTTGAAGTAGAACAAACATGGAGGGTTTCTACAATCAGATATAAATGATACGGACAGAAGGCAGGGAAATACTGGGTAGAAGATGGTGGTTCCCAGGCAAAGGTCTCACCCTCAAGCCTGGAAACCACAGTGTTAAATGAGAACAGTTATCCCCATTTTCCCACCCAAATGCTGATTTTCCCAAAACCACCCTGGCCCACCACACCTCCCATCCTGTACCTATAAAAATCCCAAACTCCACTGGCAGAGGAGCAGAGTGGCACAGCAGAGAAGGACAGAAGAGAAGAAGCATCTGAACATCAAAGAGGCACCTGGACAAAGAGGAGTTCAGCCACGGACAGCCAAACTCCAGGAGAAGATTATCTTCCCACTCCTTCCCCTTTCCAGCTCCCCATCCCACTAAGAGCCACTTCCATCAGTCAATAAAACTTCTGCATTCACTATCTTTCAAGTCCATGTGACCTGATTCTTCCTGGATGCCGGACAAGAATCTGGGTACCAAGAGGGCAGAGTATGTTACTCTGACTCTCCACTGAGCTGGTTAACACTTAGCCATCCATGGAAGGCAACTGCTAAATGGCATTGTTTGTAACACACACCCTCTGGGACTCCAGAGGTTGCAGGCAACGGCTAGATGTTGCTGAGGGCCGGTACAACATTCGTTCCTGCCCGTGCTTAAAGGCACTCACCCTGGCTCCTACACCCACTCATCTGCATGCTCCCACTCCTGCAAGGGGTTTGAGCAAAATGAGCCACCACCGCTCCAGCCCACCCCTACTCACAAGTGCCATAAGGGGGTCAGGAAACTCTCCCATCTCATCAAGTTTCATATAAAGTTTCACAATTAAGACAGCATGGCAATTGGTGCAAAAATAGGCAAATAGAGGACTGTAATAGAATAAAATTTCCACTAACACGCATAAGCTAATTATCAATGCAATACATAAATGATTGGTTCTATATAATTTGTATATTCATCTTTTGAGAATATTAATATTGATTCCTTCTTCAATGCATACATAAAATTTACTCCAGATAGTTTTTATATCTAAGTGAAAAAGGAATAGTGCTATAAATTCTAAAAAGTAACATTGGACAATGGCTTAATGCCATGTTGTAGGCAAAGGTATTTAAAAAGAAAATACATGTACTAACCATAAAATATTTTTTAAAAGATCAGTGCATGTAGAATATAATTAAGAACTTCTATTCATCAAAACACACCATCAATAGGGTAATTGTGCAAGCCACAGGTGGGAGAAGATGATTTTCTGACAAAGGACTTACATCCAGAATAAGTTAATCTTTTAAATTGATAAGAAAAGAAAGATAATTCAATAGAAAAATGAGTAAGAGATTGAACAAGCACTTTGCAAAAGATTATATCTAAAAGGCTTGTATGTATTTGAAAAAGTGTTCAACCTCTTTATTCAAATGCAAATATAAACCACAGTGAGATCCCAGTGAATTCCCCCACAGCCCCAAAGGCTAAAATGCAAATTACTGACAATACAAAGTGCTGTGAGGATTTGCTACCTTAATGCTCATACTATACTGGTAGGAGTGTAAGTTGTTACAACCATTTTGTAAAACTGGTTGGCAATATCTATAAAAACTGAACAAATGGATACTTTATTGCCCAGAAATTCCACTCCTAGGTAATAACTGAGAACGATAGAGCGTTTGCTTACCAAAGCTATGTATAAGAATTTTCACAGTAGCACCATTTGTAACAAAACTGGAAACAAGCCAACATTCATACTTAGTAAAATGTATAAACAAACATAGTCTATTCACATAATGTAATACAAAGCAGTGAAAAAGAGCTCAATATTGTCATACCGAATGGCAAAGATAAATCTTCAAAAGATAATGCCGAGTGAAGAAAATCAGATGCAGTGAGATATGGTATTGTTCCATCTCTGAGTGTGTGTGTGCACACGTGTTTCACGTGCAGGAAAAAATTCACCTTAGGTGATAGAAATCAGGGTCTCAGTGTGAGTGCACAACCCCTGAAAAGGACTTTGAAGGAGCCTTTGGGGTGCTGTTATGGCTTCTGCTTTTCCCTTGACCTGGGTGATGGTTACACAAGCAATATTTCCTTTGTGAAAATTCACCCAGCTGTACATTTCTTATTTGGGCACTTTGGGATTTGATTTTATGCTCAACTAAAAGAAAGTTTACGTTTAAAATGTTCTTTAGTTATGAAATGTGTGATCATAAACTATTTCATGGCAATTCCAATTTTGGGAGGCCTCTGCTGTTTAAGCTCCATAAACCATGTTTCGCCGTCATTTCTTTATTCAGTCATCAACTATCTACTGACCTCCTGCTCTGTGCACAGGCCTGGTTTACACTCTAGGGAGACATCAGTAAAAGAAACCAACAGAAGTGTCTTTACTCAAGGACCTTACATTTAATAGTAATGTGAGAGAATCTTGTTAAGTATGGGGTTATTTTTAGTTGAAAAAATTTTGAAAGTAGTCCCTTTCTAACATCCTTCATGCTCCCCGCTAATATATAAACTCTTTTCTGCCAATACCTTGAGCAATATAGGTATTTCTCCCAGAAGTGACCCTAGGAAACAGACCCACTCTGGAATTGGATTCTGAAATTTAATGGATTACACATTGAACACATGAACATCTCATCTCTTCACCAAGGAAAAATGAGACAGGGATGACTTGCCGTGTGCTGCAAAATCACGGACACTTGGATTGCCTCTGCAGCTATGTGATACGTGCAGGTAGAAGGCAAGATGTTGATTTAGTAATTGGCCACACCACTTAGTAGCTGAGGTTGCTACATAGTTGGCAGCTCCTGACCTGCCTGGAGAGCATATTTAGATAAAATGACAGACTTAAAGCCTTGAATTCTCAACACAGGTTACAGGTAGAAAATTAAAAAAATCTCCATGGCAATTCCAAAGGTATCCCTTTCCCCCTGTAGTTGCAAGTCTATGAATGTAATTATGTCCAGAGGCTGTTTGTAAGGGTCACGGAATTACAGTGACAATTAGATAGATGATTCTGCAAGTCTCTCATGCCAAGTCCAGGGAACAGAGGGGAAGAGAGACCTCAAAGCATGGACCATTTGGGTAAAGACAAGGCTGAGAACTGCTGAACTCTGCAATCCCTCTGAACACCCCTTACCACAAAAGTAGCACTTTCTCATATATGAAGGAATCAGCTTCTCCCTGCATTTAAAAAATTAAAAAATATTTAAATTAAAATATAGACTATAGTGGCCGGGCGCGGTGGCTCATGCCTGTAATCCCAGCAATTTGGGAGGCTGAGGCTGGCAGATCACCTGAGGTCAGGAACTTGAGACCAGCCTGACCAACATGGAGAAACCCTGTCTCTACTAAAAATACAAAATTAGCCAGGCATGGTGGTGCCTGAGACTGAGGCAGGAGAATCGCTTGAACCCGGGAGGCGGAGGTTGCAGTGAGCTGAGATCACGCCACTGCACTCCAGCCTGGGCAACAAGAACAAAACTCTGTCTCAAAAAAATAAAATAAAATAATAATAAATAATAAAATAAAAATAAATATAGACTATAGTAACTCTCGTTATATTGTATTCTCGAAAATAGCCGAGAGAACATTTTAAGTTATCACTACAAAAAAGATCAGTCTGTGCCACTCTGCAATGGGTACATATCAAAAGACTACGTTGTGTATGATAAATATATGCATTTGTTGTCAATTAAAAAATAAAATAATTTAGAAATATCTATTAAAACTTTTGAATGACCTCACAAAGGGTGGCTCATGCATAGAGGGATGGCCCCTAATGCCCCTTGCCTCTGAGCTGAGAACAAGAGCTTTATTCCAGCAATGGCAGGAAGGGAATGGAGGCTTTGCTGTAGGAAATGTGCCTCTATCCACCAACTGAGTTATGGAATCTTTTAATTCTTTATTGACAGAAGCCCGAGAAACTTGAGTGGGAACGTGTTCCAAGATTGTTAGACCGGGGGGATAAAATTTAACACTGGACTGTGCCTACATTATTGATGTGGGAGAGGTACCAGGACTCACTACTTAGTTAGTTGGATGAGGTACTAACCCTCTGCTTGGTTAGCAGACCAAATGCTTCACACAATGGTGAACACTCAATTCAGAGAAGCCAACATGCAGGACTAGCCCAGATACAATGTAAAAGGAGGCACTTAGTAGGCTTAGTTAGATGGGATTTTAATGAATCTACAATGTGCAACTCGCTTAGCTATCTTCTAGCTACATGCCCCAGGACTATGGAGACCTTCAGACACACCCGTGGGTGAGGGGCACCAGGGTTCTTGAACAGCTCTGTGGTGCCAAAGATGATGGCACCCTTGAAATTGAGCTCCCTGGTTTGAAAGGGATGATGGAAACAGAAATATTAGAGGCCATGTGGCAGGCCATAATTACCAAAGATAAGGTCGTGAAACCAGAGAGTTCCCTTATTCCCCTCGCAAGACATACAGTGGCTGGCTCCTTCGGTCACCCTACTGCTCAAACCCCTCGGGGGAGCTTGCAAATGGGCAGGTGCAGAGGCTGTGGGGAGCGCTTTTGGGCTCTGGCCCCAGGGAAGCATCCAGAGGTGGGTGTCTGTGACTCCTGAAGCCTGAGTGGGTATGTGTTACAGTGTGCTCTTTCAGCTTTGTGGTCTGCAGACAGCTTGTGTGAATCAACTCAATAGACCCTCTGCCTTATCACAAGGGCAGTGGGCCAGTGTGACAGCTTTCTGTATCCCGAGGTCTTGCCCAGTGCACCAGAAAAATCAGATCACACGTGGACTCCAAGGATGAGTGGAAGGTTATTTTGAGTGGTAGAGGTGGCTCTCAGCAAGATGGATGGGGAGCCGGAAGCGGGGGATGGAGTGGGAAGGTGGTCTTCCCCTGGAGTCCAGCTGTTCTTGGCTGATGTTCAGACGCCTCTTCCCTCCTTCTCTGCCATGCCACTCTGCCGATCTCCACCACTCTCCGCTGCTGTGTTCCTCTGCTCCTATCAATGTTCAGCCACTTGTGTCTGTGCCCACCAAGGTCTTGGGTTTATACGGGCACAGGATAGGGGTGTGGAGGGCCAAAAGGCAACTTTTGGGGCGTGAAAACAAATTCCTGTCCTCACTTAGGGACACAGGTCTTCAGGCTTGAGGGTGGGGTCTTTGCTGGGGAACTGCCCTCTTCTACCCAGTATTTCCCTGTCTCCTGTCAGTAGGTACAATTACCACAACAAGCCACAAGGAAGAAGATAACTGTTTTGAGAGGCAGGACTGTGTGATAATGGTGACTTAAATCATGGAGTTACTGGGACTTAATTGTGCAGCCTCTTATGGTGCTCCCTGAAATAGATACCTGGAAACATTCCAGATCTGGCAGACACTCAGTTGTTTTTGAGTCACTGTAGTAGGGATGTGTGGCCCTTTACCCAATTCCCAGAAATGAGCCAGCTTAGACACCCCTTCAGAGTGGGAAGCCAGTTCCTTTGAGAAGGAACTTCAAAATGCAGCCACAAGTGTATACTGCAAATTGTTACAGACCATCTTGTTAGGAGAATGAGTCCAGCAGACAGAAACATGGTCATAGATGTGTGGTATTTAGGAGTTTGGTCTTTGTCTTGTGGGGTAGGGGATCCAGCTCGGCATTTTGAATGACAATGTGAAATAGCCCATCTATATCTTATAACAGGTATTCTTGAGCTCATTTAGAGTGGTGCTGAGATAAAACACATGGAAACTTGAACCAAAGCAAGGCTCCTAAATATGGAAAATAGGGGTTGCATTAAAGAGACATTTAAATATGACAATTGTCAAGTTTTTGTGTTTGGTTGGATATGAGGCTTACAGAAGAAGCCAGAGACAAGCAATGAATTCAAAGATAAGATCATAAAGTGTAAAGAGCTCTGCATACACTCAGTTGCTTGAAATTCAGAGAGCAAAAGAGAGCCACTGAAGAATTATAAATGGGACAATTCAATAATTGGAAGTGATATTTTACCCTAAAGATACTTGTCAACTCCTACAAAATACTTCTGTTGGCAGACTGTACGATGAGTCTCCATTAGAGTATGTTAAGGTCCTTGGCTTTTCAAAATGATAGGAAAGGCTAACATATTTCTGCAAAAATGCAAAGATGGCTCAATATCAGGAAATCTGGTAATGAAATTTGACACATTTATATACTAAAGGAGTAAAAAAGAGTGAGCATCTTACTGGAAAAGGAAAGAATTGAACAAATTTAAGCATCAGTAACAAATTTATTCATGAGCAACAATTCTCTCCAAAATAGGAATAAAAATAAATTTCTTAACTAGTTTGAGTAAAAATCATATGAGATACACAGCAATAATTTACTAGGCCACATTTATAGACTTTAAAAACATTTAAATCTCTAAAAATGGAATAAGAATGTCCTTGTGAATGCTAAGCAATTCAGGATAGTGGTTCCTTTAAGGTGGGAGGGATGAGAAGGACATTGAAGAAGGGCGTGGAGAGAGGTCACCATCTATCTGCAGGGCCACTCTGCGTGTGTATATATTTTTAAAAAAGAAATTTGAAGCAAAAATGTATTAGTCCGTTCTCACACTACTATAAAGAACTGCCTGAGACTGGGTAATTTATTAAAAAAAGAGGTTTAATTGAATCACAGTTCCCCAGGGCTGGGGAAGCCTCAGGAAACTTAACAATCATGGTGGAAGACAAAGGAGAAGCAAGTACCTTCTTTACAAGGCAGCAGGGAAGAGAAGAAAAGCAAAGGGAAAAGAGCCCCTTATAAAACCATCAGATCTCATGAGAACTCAATCACCGTCATGAGAATAGCATGGGGGACACCGGCCCCATGATCCAATCACCTCCCACCAGGTCCCTCCCTCAAGAAACGGGGATTATGGGAATTACAATTCAAGATGAGATTTGGGTGGGGACACAGATCCAAACTATGTCAATGTCCAAATATTAACGTGATAAAAGTTGTTACTGAATCCATTATATTATTTTTAGTAATATTCTATATGTTTGAAATTCTGAAAAAGCAGTAACACACATCCAGGTTAAAGAAAATGTCTAAACAGCACATAAGAGTATACAGTACAAAATGAGTTTTCTTCCCCCTCTAACCTCCATGTCCCCATCCCCATCCCCATCCCCATCTTCCTCCCTGTTTGTAGAACTTTGCAGAGATGATCTCTGCATAGGTAAGCGTTTTACTAAATGGAGTCATACAATGTGAACAGTTCTTCACCTCATTTTTTTTTCTTCATTAGTCATTGAACCTCATGCATTTCAATATTCAAGCAATGCTTAGCAAGGAAGGATGAGCTCCTCTCTTGAGCAATCGAGGGCCTCCCCTCCCTGGCAGCAGGCTTCTACCTGGTCTCTCCTCTCTTCTTGTCTGCCCTCCACAACCCTGCCAGGCTCCCTGCCCAAGCATTTCAGAAGGCAAGGATTGGAGTCAGGAGACCTGGGTTTGACCCCTTTCCAGCTGTGAAACCTTAAAGGGTCGCATAAGGTGACTTACTCCATTTCTTACTTGATAGGTTTGCTGCAAGGATGAAAGAAAATCAGGCAGGAAAGTGCTAATAACAGTGACTGATGGTTTAGTGTGCAATGTGAGTTTGCTGCTATTATTATGATTATTTGTTAGTTCCTGATGTCTACTTATAGACAAACCATAGATTGGCATCAAGGGCCTCTCAAAACATGGCCTCACTGACTGCCCCCCATATAAGTGTGTGTCCCCCTTGACTATCCACTGCCTTTCCCTGCATGAGCTCCTGGTCTCACTGCAGGGGCCTCCACCTGCACCAGGGTGGCTCATGGGAAAGCTGCCCATCGCTTCCCCTCCTGAGTCAATCCAGCCTGACATCTGGGCTGCACTGGACTTTGCCAGCCTATTTTTCCTTCTGGAAAACCTGCTTCTCCTGACTCCTGGTGGCTCTCCTCACCTGTCCTATTCAGACTTGCCTGGCTGCTCTCCCTGGTCTTAACACCCTTAAATGCCAGAGCTCTCTGAGTCCTTTCTCACTTCTTACCTCTTCTCTAAGTTTATTCCAACCCACTGTGGAATGGTTTGCTTGCCTCTCTCTGGGAGACCTCTCTGGCCACAGTTCCCTGCTGTTCACTGATGACTTTCAGACCCTCCACGTGTCCCTCCTCACCAGGGTGGGGGCGCAGGCTTGTCTGCTTCCTGGGCTCTCCCCTTCTTTCCCTGCAAACCTGCTGTCTGCATCTGTGCCTGATTGCCATGAATGGCCCCACCATGCTCCTCAGCGTTTATCCAGCCTATCACCTGTGAGTTATATCACAAATTATACCACATCCTGTTAATTATGCCACAAAGATCTCTGTAATTACAATAAAGATATTACTAAGAGTTAACACTTAATCAATAGTTAAGTATTTGGCAGGCATCATAGTACGCACTTGACGTGTGGTGATTCATTTAGTAACAATCTTACGAAGTGGATGCTATTATTCCTCCCATTTTACACATTGAGCTGCAGAGGTGAATGTGCAGAGGTTAAGCTGCTTGGCTAGTGTAATAAGTGAAGGCCCTTACTAATAAATGTCTCATCTCCATGTCCGTTATCGGCATCTGCATTGCAGCTGCCGAAATGAGCTTCCTAAGTCAAATGAGAGCTCTGCTTCCCTAGTTAAGCTGTCGTCTGTAGTCAACAGGCGTTCTCCAGCAAGGTATATGGATTATCCTTCATCATCTACATCCTGCCTACCTGACCCAGCCTCAGATCCTGCCACTGATGCCCCATTTTAATGCCCAGAAATTCTTCCCCAGGTGATGCCTTCACGGACTCGCTGCAGGGATGAGTACAGCACGTGGAAAGCTCTTTGCTGCCACCTACTGGTCGTCTAAAACTATTAGAGAGGCTCGTGGGAGAAAACCCACAAACACAGCTCTGTATGGATCCTTGGGATGTCGACCAGTGGTTTCCATGGATTTTTATTTTGCACAGGACTCTCCTGATGCAGTTTAGTTTAGTGTAACATTTTCAAAATCAGCATTCCCAGAGGTGGGAAAGAGAGCCTGTAAAATAGAAAAAGAGTCCTCTGGGGCTCGGGCAGATGGGTTCCAATCTCAACTCTGCCTCTGCCCGCTGGTCAGTCTTTCATTTCTCTGAGCATTCTCTTCATTTGCAAGATGTGATTAATTAATACTTAATTTGGGAGGTTTCTGTGGCATTTAAGATCATGTTGGGCAATTAACTCTGGTTCCTTTCCGTTTTTACATGTGGAAAGAAAGAACAAATACTAAGCATAATCCAGAAACCACAGCACAATTAAAAAAGAAAAATCATAAATCTCTTGGCCATTCTTGGTAGTAGCTCAGACTGCTAAAATTCCTATCTTGGATCTGAGACGTTTTCTTCCTCCTTTGTTAACAGGCACACAGCTACAGAAATGCCTCAACTGTTACCCAAGAAACACTCTCCTTTCCTAAGAGTCCTTTACAGCAAAGCTCTGATGCTTCATTCAGAGTCTTCCTGGGCTGCTTGGCGGGAGGGTTGACATCCAAGGATGCAGGATCCCTGCAAGGGAAAAAGAGGACACAATCCCAAAGGATGAAAAGTCTGAGAAGGAGCTGATGGCACCGAGGTGAGGTCCCTGAACAGGGCTCTCCCACCTGCTATCACATCGTCCTTCTGACCCCCAGGCACCTGGCTGTGATCTCCTGGAGCTCCTTCTACGACTCCTTCTTCCCTTCCCTCCATGCTGACAAGGTCTGTCCCAACGGCCTGGATTAAATTCTGAGAAAATGACTTCACCTCCAGTGATGCCATCAGCACCTTGAAATGAGAATAAAATTGGCAAGCAGATGATACCAGTGGCCCCCTGCTGCTCGGTGCCGCAGAACACCAGGCTCTCATTTTCAGCATTGAGATTGCTTCTCTGCACCTCGCTGACACCCACATCATGGGTTCTCTCCCAGGGCAGAGGAGCTGAGCCCAGAGGCTCCTGCAGAGGGGGACCAGCCCCCGGCTCCTTCCCTCTGCTCTCCGCCCTGGCTCTCCTGCTCCCCCTTGCAGTAGGACAAGGATGCATGGTGCGACTCCTTCCTTCCCCAGAGAGGCAGGTTCTGTGCCTTTTCAGGCCCGGGTCACTGCAGTCACCTCCCAGGAGATGTGGGGACATTTCTGAGCTGTGTTCCAGCCCCTCTCCCTCTCCTGGCCCTGGGGCTGTGGGCTGGACACTGGCATAGGATCCTCATTCCCTCCCTTCACCACTTACTCGTGGGTCTCTAAACCTTCACCATGCAGTGCCCCACTTCTCACAGACCCCACCACCTGGTGTCATGGAATGCAGAGTCCAGAGCGCCTTCCACACTGTGGCCCCTTCTGCACTGTGGCCCCTTCCACACCGTGGCCCCTTCTGCAGTCAACTTGCCCAGCCTCAACCCAGCCCAATCTCTGCCTCCAACATTTAGAGCCACCTGAATCGCAAAGAAAGGCCAGTGGGTGTGAGATGTTTAGTTCCGGTTTTATTACCATTTATTGCCAAGTGACCCTAATGGAGTCTTACCCAAGGACATCAGTGAATGTGTTTGTAATTTTGGTTATTGTTGTTATTTGGTTATTGTTATCTCTATTATTGTTATTTTCTCAAAGAACTGTATAGCTACCTCATCTGCATAATGAATGCTGTTATAACTACCCCAAAATTTTTCGTTCAGCATTTAATAAATAATTTATTTCCATCTCTATTATATTCACACATCTCTATTTCTATCTCTATTATATATGCACATCTGGCTTATAAGTGCTTTTTATTATAGTGTTTATTATTGAAACAACCCTGATGATAGAAATCATTAACCCTATTTTACATATGACAAAGAAAAAGATCAGTTATGAAACACACACAGGCACAAACAGCAGAAAACTCCTCTAGCCTGTGACTTGTGATGATCTCAGGTGCATCCTGCCATCTTCCTACATCAAAGGGCAGCAGTACCCAGTGGAGGCTAGAGATCTGAGGAACAGGGAGACTTTCCCAGCTAAATGTCTACTGGGGCCAAATCAGTGGCCTCCTGAGAATCAGGCACCACGCAGAGATGGAGGCAGAGATAAATGACAATTGTTGAGCAGATTTGTAACGAGTATTCTGGAGAGACATGTGTGAGCCTTGTGGGCTTCCACCACAAGTTCCTACTTCTGGACTTGGCTCTGACAGCAGCCACTTCCCCTCTTTCCTCATTGCTAGAATGGGAGGGTGGACAAAGGCTCTCTCGCACTGCCTCTAGGGGGTCATGGTGCTGCTAGTGGGTTGCCTCTGATTTTTTTTTAATATCTGTTCCCTTGGGGCCAAGTTGTCTGGCAGTCCTTGCTTAGCACAGTTTTATTCTGCACACATTGATCACCACAGTCTACTTGGATAAGACCAGTCCCCTCCCAACATGGTTCAAATTCCAGTAGCCCTGGTGCATGAATGGTGGGGAACTCCATAACACACAAGAACACTTGACTCTGGCAGGCTGCTGGGTAGGCGATGGAATATGGGGGTCCTTCTGCAGTCACCCCACAGGTGGAGTCTCAGGATTTATAATCAGAAGAATCTGCTGTGAAGGTCCCAGGTCTGCCCTTACAAGCTCAGTGACTCTAAGCAAATCTCTCTGATCATCAGGTTGCTTCCCTAAAAATTCAAAAAGATAGTAGTAATATTTGTACCTGAAGGTTGCTATGAATATTTTTATTTGGTGAGAACTTTGGTGGGAAGTTAAGGTGGCCCGTGACTCAATGGGAAAAACATGCTTTGAAAAGTAGAGTCTTGCACACGCATTGGTTCACGTACATTGGATGGTTCACGTACATTGGACGGTTCACGTACATTGGATGGTTCATGTACATTGGATGGTTCATTCTTCTTCTTCTCTGACACTCTTGGGTCCACAGGACGCTGATGCTTAAAAGATGGTGGGAGATTTGACTCTTAAATTATAGAAAGGAATAAGCGTGTGAAAGGGTCTGGCAACCTATGAAATGGGACATTGGGAGGTCCCCAAGACAACCTCCGGGGGCCCAGCCCATGCCTCCTCCACTCACCACCTTCTCTTCCTTCTTGCACTTATTTCCATTCTTTCTTTTTTCTCCTTTTGCTCTTCTCCCTGTCATCTTTTGTCTCCTTTCTGCCCTTTCTTTTCTGTCTCCTTTTATAGAATACCAACCATGGTGCCAGATACAGGACAAGGACACGTGAGTAAACGAGACCTCATCCCTCATTCAAGAACCGTCTCATCTCCTGAAGTCAAAGGAGCATGAAGGAAAATAACCCAGAGAGAAAGAAGCAGGTGGTCAGCCCCAGCAGGGGACCAGCTTCCACCCCTGCCTCAGGGGCATGAGCGCTGAGGATCTGCATAATATACGAGAATGCTTGACCCAGGCAGGCTGCTGTGACGGTGGTGGGCTGTGGGTTTGAACTGGATTCTAATATTTTTAAGACAGGAAATTATCCTGAAAAAAGATGTAAATTATTTCTATACCCTAAGAGTAGACCAAATTTACCATTTTTTAGGGAAGACTAAATATTATGCCAGGAGATGCCCTATATGATAATGCACACATAAAGAAGTTCTTATCCCCATGTCTTGAGGAAAAAAATTTCATTCAGCAAAGTAACCTGAACAAGTTCTGTGAGACAGAATGAGAAAATATGTGTTCTGCTTAGTTATGGGAATTAATTGGCTGTGGAATAGGAATCTTTACAGACTTTGTTGCTTCTATTGGAGATATGTCACTTTTCTCCGCGTGGAGTTGGACGTAGCACTTCACTTACTTCTTGTTCTTACGGAGTTGTGTGACTTCTCCTAAAAGCAAAGGTGAGATGAGATCCTGAGGGCTCCAGGAAAAGCCAGCACACTTGAGATTTCCCTCATGCTGAAGGTGAAAGTAGGAGAGGAAAAACACAGTGCTGAGTACTGTTGCTTCTGGCTGAGTGCCAGATCAGCAGGTCAGCAGATGTCTAAGGTCACAGATCAAAGGCATTTTTAATTTTCAATTATCCACAAACTCTACCCTCAACCCTAACCCAACAAATTACAGGTGCAATTGACTCTACATTCCCTAGCATAGAATTCATTTCTCATAACTACATGGATGCAAACAATCTTGCAGCTTCATTCCCCACCTCTGCCATAATATGTTCCACATTGTCCCAATTAGGACCATGACCCCTCATTGTAGCAAATTTCCTACTGGTTCTGCTGAGAATAACCGACCCCATCTCTGTTTCTCCTGGTTATTCAAATGATAATTAAATTCACATCTGTGAGTATTTTTTCAGGCTCATCCCGCGTTGCAGAACTGCATGCTTCCTTTTGTTCCTGCATTTTTGCACACACTTCTGGAACAGCACATCCTATTTTAGAAAACAGCACAGAACAGAGGAGGCAGGTGAGCAAAGTGGTTAATAGAACCCACTCTGGAACAAAAGTACTAACATTAAAATCTAGATTTCACAACTTGCTAGCAGTGGGACATTGAACCATTTACTTACTCTTGCTAAACCTCAGTTTCCTCTTCATAGATATGCACATAATCACAGGAGCTTCTCAAAGAGTTGTGAAGAGTATTTCAAAGTGTTTAAATATCTAAGCATAGTGCCTGGCAAAGAGGCTCTGCTCGATTCCTATCCACTCTCATCCACATCACCGGTGTCCCCATGGTCAAGATACCGTCATCCCCATCAGAAGTAGCAGCCCCAGCATCCTCATCAACATCACCATCGTCATTCTCACCATCGCATCATCCAGCTCCCATCACCTTCATCATCGCCATCAACACCATCATCATCCTTACTATCGCATCATCCAGCTCCCATCACCCTCATCATCACGATCAACACCATCAACCTGTGTCATCATCCCCATCCCCAACATCATCATCATCACCGTCAACATCACCACCGTCATCATCTACAGGCCCAGGGCTAGTTGACTTCTTAGATTCGTAATGTTTTGAAAGTAGGTCCATGTTTTATTTACCTTTATGTCTGCTGCAATAACAGAAAATATCCAGCCCTATAGACAAGAAGGTTACCTCATTTGGGAGAACGCAAGGTTTTGTAATTTATTGATCTCATTTTACAGATGGAGAAATTGAGGCCTTGAGGGGAACTGACTTCCCTGAAGTCCACAAATCATGTATAGCAGAGCTGGGGCTAGTATGCAGGGCCCTCTTATTACATCGTTACACTGCAGGTGTTGGCTTAAGAAAACAAAAGGAAGTAGAAAACCTTGGAATCACAACGCTTCTAGAAAGAACTCTTGGCAATTGGATTTTCACATTTTAGCCCCAGTAAGCTGAAATAGAATTGAGCTGTGGTTTTCCAGGAGAGAGACAGAATATACACATAGACCATGTCCACAGATGACAACAGAACTCTGACCCACAACTCCTGTAGCAACCAGCTAGGAAGCCGGACCACAGCCTCGGAAGACATTGGCCCAGAATGATCAGGACTTGGTCAACAACTGCCAGTTTCCCTTATTCTGCTCCACTTTCAACTCAGGACCACTCAGATAAAGCTAAATATGCTCCCTAAGCCAATGACATCGGATGCTCCAGCCAGCACCTTCCCCAGTCAGCACATACCCCTGCCTCTCTGTGTTCCTCTGTAAAGCTCTTCCTGCCTTTGAGTCTCTGCCAAATGCAAGGGCTGAACTTTTTGCTACTGCAAATTCTGAAGAAATAGCCTCTGTTTGTTCTCATTTGGGTGATCTTTGTTTATTTCTACACATTTGAGATAAGGAATACTTTTATCAGGGCCAAACTAAGTCAGGGGCTAACATGAGGGCTATGATAACAGAAATGGCAGTTCACCTAATGAAGCCAGCTGTCTCCTGCACACCCAGGACTTCAGCCTGTCTGACCAAAACCACTGCAAATGTTCTTACTGACCTTTCCTTATCTACTGCCTAGGGTTGGAATGATGGCAACCTCCAGCCAGGCAGCCGAGGAAAGCTCTAAATGCATTGCTTAATGTGGTAGCTACTGGCTACGTGTGACTACCAAACACTTGAAATGGGGCTGGCAGGAATTGAGATGTCCTGGGAAAGCCATGCTAGATTTTAAAGACAATTAAAAAAAACATGAACTATCTCATTAAAAATTTTATATTCATGATACATTTAGGATCAATAAAATATATTATTAAAATTCATTTCACCTGCTTCTTTTTACTTTTTAATATGAATATAAAAAAATTGAAAATCACTCTGTGGCTCACATTCTATTTCTACTATTAGACAAGGTGGTCTAGACCACAGCGAGTGTCGAGGCTAAACGTCCCAGCTAGCCACCTAGACGCACCATTGTGTGGGGTGAGTCCACCTGTTTACCCTCTGATTACTGCAGAGTCTCCAAACTTCAAACAGATTTTCATGCCCCGAACCTTGGCCTATACCAGTGATCCTCAAGGTTGTGTTCCTCGGTCAGCGACATCAACATCTCCCAGGAACACTGCAGAAGTGAAGGCTGAGATTCCAGGCCAGGGCCACCGTCCTTCAGTGCGTGGTACCCTGCAGTCCTTCTCTAACGAGACGTCTGGATGAACCTGAGCTGCACAGAGGTGCTCTGTCCAAAGCACCCTGGCACAGACATTGATTTTTACCCAGCCATTAGTCACCCATCCCTCACCCCTTCATCCCTGCTAACAAAACCCTGGTGTCTCTCAGGCGGTGGTGACCTTGATTTGAGCTCCCCTGAGCTGAGACCAGTTCTGGCCTCCCATTCTCCCTTCCCCGATGCCTCTTCCCCACTTGCCTTGAGACTCAAACTAAGGGTAACCAGTTGCCAGGGCTCTGGCTGGGGGTGGCTGGGAAGCCTGCCACATCTCTTCTGTGACAGCTTTTTCTCCTCAGCAAAAGCAAAGCCTCCTTTTCTGCCTGGCCCACTTCTTTCCTTCCCGAGCAGCTTCTGCATGAGGACAGGGTGCTGGACCAGCAGTGGCTTCATGCAACATCGAGGGAAAAGCCTGGAACCCCAGGATGGCCAAGCTGCTGGAGCAAGCCTGGCATTGCCAGACCCAGTGCCTCTTGTTAGGAGGGATAACCAGGCTTTCTCCTTAAGCCCTGTTAATTGGATATTCTGTTACTAGCAGCTGAGCACATCCCAAATCATATAAACCTTGCACCTTCTATAGCTACTGAAATTCTAACTATCTGTGAAGGTCCACGCCACAGCGCTGTCCACTGGCAATCCTGGCTTTTACCCCAGCCGTGATGCTGGAAGATGGTCACAGCTAAAGAACCTCCCCATCCCAAACTGTGTGCGCCAGGAAACCACTTATAGCAAGAAGCCCTCCTCCCCAAATAAGGCGCATAGATGCCCCCTGTTTACCTATGGCAAGACCAGGCACAGACCTCCACATTCCCATTATTTGCCCCTTAAACAATTAGCAGAACTTCTTGTCCTCACTGATTAATTTAAAAACAACAACAACATTTTAACCAAACTCTGCTTGTTGCTCTTTCCCTGCAGACCCCAGACCCCAGCCTGAGTGCTCCCAAAGGCCCTCCAGGGAACAGGCTGCCTGAGGACAAAACTCCCACACACACCTGTTTCTTTCTAGACTCTTTCACTCTGTACTTTAAAAGATAAACTCTTCTGAGAGACTGGCAGATACCATGGTCCTTCTCTCCCTTGGCAATTATCCTTGGGAGTCATGTCTCCTTTCCTAAGTGTTGAATTGCTTTATATTTGACACCACCATCACACACACACACACACACACACACTGCGATAGGTAACCTGGAGGTGGCCCCCAACAATTCCCTCCTCCTGCTTCTCACCTCCTTGTGTCAGCCTCATCTTGAGTGTAGGGTGGACCTCGGGACTCAGCTCTAATGAATACAGTGCAGCAGAAAGGAGGGCACTTCTGAGTTTCAGTTATAAAAAGACTGCAGCTTCCAGGTGGGAGACTCGCACCCCCTCTCTCTGAGGACTCATGCTGGGGAGAGTCAGGTGCCGTGTCCTGCAGACCCTGAGGATGTCCAGGGAGAAGTTCCCATGCCACAGCCAGGGAGGAGCTGCCCACAGCCCTGGGAGTGGGTGATGTGGAAGGGAACCCATCGTGCCTCTAGGTGACTGAGCCATGGGTTCGAGGGGTGCCTCACGAGAGACTCTGAACCAGGACCCCACAGCTAAGCTGCCCCCAGATTCCTGACCCTCAGAAACTCTGAGCAAATGTTTATTTTTCTCTTTTCTTGAGAGACAAAATAGCCTGTGATTTCCTTATTCTCTGCCAGTTGGAACCTATGGTGTGTCTATTCTTTTATTAATATCTTTATTTAAAAATAAATCTCTATATTTAATTTAATTTCAGTTATTATTAAATATTTCTATCAGTTTCTACTCTGCTAAGAACATTTGTACATGTTAACTTCACTGAACGTCCTTCCCCATCATTTTATTTTTAATTTATCTTTACTTTTAAACCTAAAATAAAATATACAGTAACTTAAATATTCTAACTCACAATTAATTTTGTACTGTTCCATACAGATAATTTAACTGAAATGGGCAGTATTTTGGCTTATATTATTGATTTTGTTGGCACTCTCTGTTAGCTTTAGTGATTAGATTTTCTTTTTTTTTAAAAAAAAAAAATATTTCAATGAGAAGTTTCCTTCAATAAAAAGTAGATCATTCTGATGTGGTGTAGCTTGATATGGTTTAGCTGTGTCCCCGCACAAATCTCAACCTGAATTGTATCTCCCAGAATTCCCATGTGCTGTGGGAGGGACCCAGATGGAGGTAATTGAATCATGGGGGCAGGTCTTTCCAGTGCTATTCTCGTAATAGTGACTAAGTCTCCTGAGATCTAATGGGTTTATCAGGGGTTTCCACTTTTGTTTATTTCTAATTTTCTCTTGCCACCGCTATGTAAGAAGTGCCTTTCACCTCCTGCCATGATTCTGAGGCCTCCCCAGCCATATGAAACTGTAAGTCCAATTAAACCTCTTTTTCTTCCCAGTCTCTGTATGTCTTTATCAGCAGCATGAAAACAGACTAATACATAGCTCATTCTACGTAAGTTTACAGTACTTGTGTTTTGCTCTTCTAAAAAGTCAACAGAAATATATTCATCCTCCTGTTGGTTATTTTCTGCTTGTTAAGACATATGTAAGGCATTGTACACTGTGTCCATTTTCAATGTTGTTTGTCTTAATAATAATACTTTTCAGATTACAGTTACATTTTCTCTCATTTGATCCTTCTCATAACCCTGGGAGGAAAATTTATGATCTTTATCATAAATAAACTGTTATTATTCCCAGTTTACAAAGAAGGGTGTGGAAGCTCTAAGAAAGGAAGTAAAACGTGTAAGGTCGCATGACTAGTAAGTAGTAGGATACAGTTGTTTCTGCAAATCCTTCCCACTCTGCAGTCCCCAAGGATTTCCACCTAAATATACCGGAGAAACAGGGTCCTGGCTCCTTCCCCAGGCTCCTAATGTCCAGCCCCTGGCCAGGTTCCCTTCATAGCCCCAGAATACCTGCCCTGCGGTGTTGTGGATGGCGCAGGTGCAGCTATGGAGCTAGGGCCATCTCCTGCCTCTTCTGCTGGGCTTTTCCACGCTGCGTTCCTTACGATGTCCTCGAATTCCTAAGAAAGATTTAGACTCGGGCGATATGTTGGCGGCCTCTTTATTCATCTTAATTCCCTGACCATCAAGGAAGTGGCTATGGGAGTGAACCTATCAATAAAAGATGCCGTGGGTGCTCCACCAGGCATCTCCTCCCCCACTGTGGTTTCAGCCACAGCTACAGATGAAAGAGACTTGCAGATAGCAACACACTTCATGCACTTGCTGTTTTTTGTTATCTGCCTTAAGGCCTTCTCTGAAGCCATGAGAATTCACTCAGCATCCGTACAAAAGTGCAGTCAGGAGGTGTCGGTTGTCTTTTTGCTATTGATTTTTTAGTATTTTTTATATCATAATATAAATTATTTGTTAGATACACATTGCAAATATTTTCTCCCAGTCTTCTGCTTACGTATGAATTCACTTAAAGGTGTCATTTGATGATCACATTTAAAAAACAATTTGCTGACACCCATTATTTCTTTTTACTTTCTTTTAGGGTTAGTACTTTTGTGCCCTAAGAAACTTTTGTCTACACGAAGAGTGTGTATTTGAGAAAATATATATTCTTCTGTAAGTTTCATGGTTCTAGTTTTTAAAATTAAGTCTATGATTCATTTCAAATTTACATTAAATGAATTACTGTCTAAGGCCGGGAGTGGTGGCTCATGCCTGTAATCCCAGCACTTTGGGAGGCTGAGGTGGGTGGATCACTTGAGGTCAGGAGTTCACCACCAGCCTGGCCAACATGGTGAAACCCCATCTCTACCAAAAATACAAAAATCAGCCGGGCATGGTGGCACAAGCCTGTGGTCCCAGCTACTTGGGGGGCTGAGGCAGAAGAATGGCTTGAACCCGGGAGGCGGAGGTTGCAGTGAGCTGAGATTGCGCCACTGCACCCCAGCCTGGGTGACAGAGCCAGACTTTGTCTCAAAAAAAAAAATTGTATTGTTAGATAATATCATTAAAATTAAAATTGCTTGAACCTGGGAGGTGGAGGCTACAGTGAGCTGAGATCATGCCACTGCACTCCAGCCTGGGGCGACAGAGTGAGACTCCACCTCAAAAAAAAAAAATTACTGTCTAGATGATTGAAATAGGGATGGAGATTTTAAAAATATGGTTATCCAGTTGTTGGGCAAGTTAACCTTGCTAAATTTATTGAACAGTTCTAGCGTTCTAGCTTTCTTTTGTAGCTTCCTTAGATATTTCTACATATACAATCATGGGACCTGAGAATGCAGAAAGCTTGAGTTCTTCCTTTGTGATATTGATGCCCTCCCTGCTTCTGCATGCCTGTCGGTCTGCGGTCTAAGACTTTCAGTGCCATTGCATGTGAGTCGTGCAAGTGGTCATGCATGCCCAGTACCCAGTGACGGCAGGAAAGCACTCAGTGCTTCACAATTAAGTATGAGGAGGGCTGTAGTTTTCCGAGGACCCTTCCCATCAAATTCAGCGCATTGCCTTCTGTTTCTGTTTGGTGTAGATTTTTATCCTGAACAGTTATTAGATTATAACAAGTAATTTTTATTCTTCTACTAAAGTGGTCCTATGGTTTGTCATCTTAATTGGGTGAATGCAATGATTCTCACATGCAAAGCCACCCTTACCTTACTGAGATATGCCTTACCTCGTCACATTCTATGTATTTCTAGATTCATTTTAGTAATATCTTATTATGAATGTTTGCATATCTATCTATGAGAAATGTTGGTCTCTAGTAGTTTTCTTTACTTTTAATATCCTCCTATGTTGTCATTTTCAGGCTTATGCCAACTTCAAAGAGTAAGTTAATTAAGAAGCATTCCCTCCTCCTCTGTTTTGAAAGTTATGTTTGCAAGATTGGTATTATTTCTTGTATGTTTGATATAATTCTCCATTGAAGCTGAGTCTGAGGTTTTCTTTTGGAGGAAGTTTTTAAATTAAAAATTTCATTTTTTAATATGAGCTATGCAGATATCCCATCTCGTTTTATTTGTCTTAGAAAGTTGTGTTTTTTGAGAAAAAAAAAATTGTCAAATTTGGTCGGGTGTGGTGGCTCATGCCTGTAATCCTAGCACTGGGAGGCCAAGGCAGGCAGATCGCCTAAGGTCAGGAGTTCAAGACAGGCCTGGCCAACATGGTGAAACCCCGTCTCTACTAAAAATACAAAAAATTAGCTGGGCATAGTGGCGCACACCTGTAATCCCAGCTACTCTGGAGGCTGAGGCACGAGAATCTCTTGAACCCGGGAGTTGGAGGTTGTGGTGAGCCCAGCCTGGGTGATAGAGCAAGACTCCATCTCAAAAAAAAAAAAAAAAAGTCAAATTTTTTGGCTTAAAGTTTTTAAAAATGCCTCATTATCATTTTTGTGTCTGTTGAATATGTAGTAATATACCTTTTTTCCTGCTATTAGAATTCATGTTTTCTCCTTACTAAACCATTTGTAAACATTCTTTCATAAATCTATTTTGCTTTATTTAAGATAAAATGCATTCATTCAACATGTACAATGCAGTGGTTTAAGTATATACACAGAACTGTGCAAGTACCACCACAGTTTAATTTTAGAACATTTTCATCATCCCCAAAAGAAACCCTGCACCCATTAGCCGCCACTCCTCATTTCTCCTCCATCTCCCCCGGCAACTACCCAGATATAATGTCTGGATATCTTCTCTCTCTATGGATTTGCCTATTCTCTAATTTTTTAAGCCGAGTCTTTAATGTTGAATGTTTAGGTTGTTTCTACATTTTTACTATGATTAAGGCTTCATTAATATGAAATACATACAATACACTGTTTAAATGTTTTGCCTGATTATATTTTTGAGAGAGAAACTAATGCATATTAAAAGTCTGCTGTGTATTGTGTGTCTTCATAGACATATCTTAGCTATTAGTTGTTGTGTTTTTAAGAAGAGAGTATAAAAATCCTGCACTATTCTCTCTGTCCTATTTCTTCTTATTTTTATTGTGGTAAAATATGCATAATATGAAATGTATCATTTTAACCATCTTTAAGTGGACCCTTGGGTGGCATTAAGCACGTTCACATTGTTGTGCAACTGTCACCAGCTCCCAGCTCCAGAACTTTTTCATCTTCCCAAACTGAAACTTTTCCCCTATTCAACAATAATTTCCCAGCCAGGCATGGTGGCTCAAGCCTGTAATCCCAGAACTTTGGGAGGTCAAGGCAGGCATATCACGAGGTCAGAAGTTTGGGACCAGCCTGGCCAAGATGGTGAAACCCTGTCTCTACTAAAAATACAAAAATTAGTTGGGCGTGGTGGCGTGCACCTGTAGTCCCAGCTACTCAGGAGGCTGAGGCAGGAGAATTGCTTGAACCCAGGAGGCAGAGGTTGCAGTGAGCTGAGATCGTGCCACTGCACTCCAGCCTGGGTGATAAAGCGAGACTCCATCTCAAAACAAACAAACAAACAAATAAAAAAATATATTTTCCCATTCCCTTCTTTCTTTTGTCTTATTTCATTTAGCATAATTCCTTTCAGATTCGTCCATGTTGTACCATGTGGCAGACTGTAATTCTTTTTTAAGACTGAATAATATTCCACCTTATATGTGTATCACATTTGGCTTATCCATTCATATGTTAATGGGCATTTGGGTTGTTTTCAAATTTTGACTATTGTGAATGATGCCACTGTCAACATGGGTGTACAAATTTCTGTTTGAGTCTCTCATTTTAATTCTTTCATTTATATACCCAGACATGGAATTTCTGAATCACATGGTAATTCTATGTTTAATTTTTTGGAGAAATTGCCATACTGTTTTCCACAGCAGCCACATCATTTCATGTTCTTACCAGCAATACACAGGGTTTCAATTGTGACACAATTTTTGCAGAACACTTCTTATTTTCTGTTTTTGTTTTTGTTTTTTTTTTAATAGTAGCTGTCCTAATGGGTATGAAGTGATACCTCGTTGTGGCTTTGATTTGCATTTCCCCAGATTAGTGACATTGCGTATCTTTCCATGCACTTGTTGGCCATTTATGTATCTTATTTGGAGAAATGTCTGTTCAATATTTTTGTTCATATTTAACTTGTTTGTTTGCTTTTTGTCGAGTTGTAGAAATTTTAATATATTCTAGATATCAGTCCTTTACAAGATATATGATTTGCAAATATTTTCTCCCATTCTGTGGATTACCTTTATACTCTGTTGATAATGTCCTTTGATGCACAAAACTTTTAGATTTACTGAAGTTCAATTTATCTATTTTTACTTCATTGTCTGTGCTTTTAGTGCCATACCTGAGAAATCATTGACAAATCCAATGCTATGAAACTTTTCTCCTCTGTTTTCTTTTAAGAGTTTTGTAGTATTAGCTCTTATGTTTAGCTCTTTGATCCATTTTGAGTTCATTTTTGTATGTGATGTAAGCTAAGGGTCTAAATTTGTTCTTTATGGATATGGATATCCAGTTTTTCCAGTGCCATTGTTGAAAAAACTGTCCTTTCCTCATTGATCTAGGTGTCCTTGTTGGAAATGAATGAACCACGTATGTAAGAATTTATTTCTGGGTGGTCTATTCTATTCCATTTATCTGAATGTCTGTATGACAGTACCACACTCGTTTAATTATTGCAGCTTTGTAGTAAGTTTTGAAATCAGAAACTGTGAGTCCTCCAACTTTGTTCTTTTTCTTACCTGTTCTTTTTTGTTCTTAGTAAATCTTGCAATGGAGTTATTAATTTTATTTTGTTAACTTTTTCAAATAACCAAATCTTGATTAAGTTGACGTTATTGTCTTCCTTTGTTATATATCATTGATTTCTGATTTTATTTGTATTATTCTCCTTCTACTCACATTGAATTTATTTTTTTATAAATTTTTCATGTTCCCAAGGTGGAAGCTTAGTCAATTTATTTTAAATCTTATTTCTTTTGTAATATTGGCATTTGGTGCTAGGTATTTCCTTTTAAGTATTGCTCTAGCTGCATCCCAGCATTGTGAAATATTGATATTTTGTTATCATTTATATGAAAGTGTTTTCCAATTTTTTTAGATTTATTCTTTGACCCACGGGTTATTTCAAAGTTTATTGAATAATTTCCAAATAGTTGGAGCTTCTTAGATATGTTATTGTATTGATTTAAAATTTTATTTAATGTAGTCAGCAAATATACTCTGTATGACTCTCAATTGTGTGGCTTTCATTGAATCTTTTTGTGGCCCGACATTTGGTCTATTTTGGCAAATGTTCCAGGTGAACTTGAAAGAAAGTTTTTTTCTGCATTTGTTGGGTACATGTTTTTATAATATTAATTAAGCCAAATTAATGGTAGTGTTGCTCAGTCTATATTTGTTGCAGGCCGAAAGAGTAAGGGTTGTGATCAACTCAGTATACCACTGGAGGCCACATGAGTAAACAGCAAACTGTTCTCATAAATGCAGAATGTTGGCAAACTGACCAACTGCGTCTGCCACCCAGAAGGAATGCTGGGGGCAGTCACACCCTAAGTGCAGTGTTGCTTGTGATTAGGCACATCTGAAGCCTGTTAGCAATAATGTGAACCTGTGATCAATTAAGCAGTTGACCAGTCGTTACCTCGTGCTCCCTGCTGTTTCTACCCAATAAATGCGAAGGGCTGTAGAAGATCAGGGGTGCTGCCTTTGCTCACTAGAAGCAAGGAGCTCTCTTCTTCTTCCCCTGGCCCCTTCCTTAAAACAGATTCTTTCGTTTTAAGTTTTCATTCCTGCGTTCCTCCCCTTTCATTCAGTCCTGTAATGACGGTCTCAAGTAGTAACAGTAGTAACCGCGGAAAGTGACAGTCTTAGGTAGTAATTGTGGCAGTTGGCCACATACATTCTAACTCATTTCTTCTGATTCCTAAATCAATTACTCGGCTACTGAGAAAAGCATGTTAATTCTCCAATCACAAAGATGGATTTATCTATTTGTCCCTGTAGTTCTGTTGTCTTCACAGCAGTTGAAGCTGTTGCTAGGTGCATATAATTTAAGATTGTTATGGCATTATGATGAATTGGGCTTTGCTCATTATTAAATATTCTTTATCTCTGGTAATAGTCCTTATCTTGACGTCTCCTTTTTCATATTAATAGAACTCCTTCTGCTTTCTTATGTTTAGTGATTGCAAAGATATCCCTTCACATCCTTTCATGTTTAAACAGTTTAAGTATTTTTTTTTTCTTTTTAATTGGAGCCTCGTTTTGTCTCCCAGGCTGGAGTGCAGTGGTGCAATCTCTGCTTACTGCAGCCTCCGCCCCCAGGTTCAAGTTATTCTCCTGCCTCAGCCTCCTGAGTAGCTGGAATTACAGGCTCCCACCACCACGCCCAGTTAATTTTTATATATATTTTTTTTAGTAGAGATGGGGTTTCACCATGTTGGCCAGGCTGGTCTCGAACTCCTGGCCTTACTAAGGTGATCTTCCCACCTCGGCCTCTCAAAGTGCTGGGATTACAGGTGTGAGCCACCGTGCCTGGCCTGTTTATGTCTTTAGGTTTAAGTTATGTTGTTTTAATCAAGATCTACTTGGATCTTGTCTTTCCTTTATACAACTTTATAATCTGGACATTTCATGTGGTGAACTTATCCATTTGCAGTAAGTGTCATAATCACTATTTTTAAGTTTAGGGTTTCACTTGGGTATTTATTTTCTACTAGTCTCATCTGTTGTTACTCTGTTCCTTCTTTTACATTTTTGACTATTTCTTGATACCACATTATAACTGTGTTATGGGTTGAAAGTGTCCTTCAAAAAGATTTATTCATTACCTGTGAATGTGACCTTATATGGAAATACAGTTTTTGCAGATATAATCAAGTTAAAATGAAGTGACATTGGATTTGTGTGGGCTCTGATCCAGTGAGTGATGTTCTTATAAGAGGATATCTGGACAGAGACAGAGACACACAGAGAGCACCATGTGAAGATGGAAGCAGAGAGTGGAATAGTGCATCTTCTCATCAAGGAATCCCAAGTATTGCCAACATTACTAGAAGTCAGAAAGAGACAAGGAGGGGTCCTCCCTTAGAGTCTTCAGAGAGAGCAGGGTCCCATCAACACCTCAATTCCAGACTTTTATCTCCAGAACTGTCGGAGAAATACATTTCATTTGCTTAACTCACCCTGTTTGTGATAATTTGTTATGGCAGTTGTAGAAAACTGATATGATATCCTTTATTGTACTGTTTTTTTTTTCTTTTCTTTTCTTTTTGAGATGGAGTCTTGCTCTGTCACCCAGGCTGGAGTGCAGTGGCGCGATCTTGGCCCACTGCAACCTCCACCCCCCAGGTTCAAGCGATTCTCATGCCTCAGCCTCCCACGTAGCTGGGATTACAGGCATGTGCCACCAAGCCCAGATAAGTTTTGTATGTTTACTGGAGACAGGGTTTCACCATGTTGGCCAGGCTGGTCTTCAATTTCTGGCCTCAAGTGATCGCCCACCTCGGCCTCCCAAAGTGCTGGGATTATAGGCATGAGCAACTGAGCCTGGTCCTTTTATGTACTTATAAATTCAATGTATTTATGATATGTTTGAGTTGTGCTCTAAAGATTATTACAGACATAATTAATATCACAGTCTACCTTCAAACAATCATACACGTTAGAAAAAAATGTGAGAATCTCACAAAAATATAATTCCATTTACTTCCTTTCTGCCCTTTGTGCTCTGTACTTATAGATTTTACAAACCCCACAATACTGTGTTATTTTTGCTTTATACAGTCAATATGTTAAAGTGTACATGATAATAAATAAGGTTTTTAAATATACTTATGTACATATTTATAAATCTGATGTTCTTTTGTTTTTCTCATAGTTCCAAGCTCCCATCAGGTATCTAAGCTCCTTATCATTTCCAGTAGATTTACTCACATATTTTTCATAGTTATGTTAAAGTCCTCATCTCCTCATTTCAAACTCTGGGCTACCTCTGGATCTGTTTCTGGTTAATGTTGTGTCACTTAATTTTGGCTGCATTTTGGTTGGTTTGCTGCTACACATATCTTTAAACCTTTTTAAAATTATATGTATGCATTATATGCAAGGATACAGTAGATCCAAAGAACATAATAATTATGCTTAGAAAGTTCTCAGGATCTGACTACTGGTTAAACTCTAAAAACTTCTTTATGCTTTACTACCCATCTGGCAATTTTCTGAATCAAAAACTATCTCTGTCTGATTTAAAGCCTAGTCACCAGGCTTTTTTTTTTTTTTTTTTTTTGAGATGAAGTCTCACTCTTGTACCCCAGGCTGGAGTGCGATGGCATGATCTCAGCTCACTGCAACCTCTGCCTCCCGAGTTCAAGCGATTCTCTTGCCTCAGCCTCCTGAGTAGCTGGGATTACAGGTGCCTGCCACCACACCTGGCTAATTTTTGTATTTTTAGTAGAGACAGGGTTTCACCATGTTGGACAGGCTGGTCTCGAACTCCTGACCTCAGCTGATCCACCCACCTCGGCCTCCTAAAGTGCTGGGATTATAGGCATAATCATCAGGTTTTTGAGTCTCTTTTGTCCCACTTCTAGCCTTTTTCTTTTGTGGCAATCCATTTCCTTCCTTCTTCCTTGTCCCAGCCTTCAGCTAGCGGCCACCTTATACTTAGTGAAGCCAATCTCTCTCATCTCTCCGATCTACCTCCAGACTTTGGAAGATTGCTACCTTCCATTCCTGGCAGGCCACTCTAGGAGCTTTTCTATATTTTCTGCCCTGACTCCACCCAAAAACAAGCATTCACATGCAGCAGGAAAGGCTCCATCCAACTTGGAAGTTCTCTTTTAGCTCTCCTGCCTTCCTCCAACCTCTAACATATCATACACACTTGGCAAGGGCCCCAAGGAAAATGCTGGCAAGTGATTGCAACCAGCTTTGTGATGCAGGCACCTAGCAATTCCACTCCATCCTATCACCTCACATGTGGCCATGAAACATGGTAAAAATGTGAGCTGGTTTCTTCTTGGTTCTCCTATAACAGATTCACTTCTTCTGTCATGACCCTGGGGATGAAAACATATGTGGACTCCTCTCCTAGGAAGACTAGGAAGACTTCACTCCTTCTGGGAATTTAATTCTGGCTTTGTTTCTGCATGTGCAGATTTCTGATTTTTTAAAATTATGATTGTTGTATTTATTCAGCTTGTCCTTGGTTTTTAAGATGCTGAGGACAGTCGCTTGAGACTTTCAACATCATAGCTGGAAGAAGATGTGCTCAGCATGGCCATATCCTCATCTTACTCTCTGTACTTCCCTTAAACTCTGAAGTAGTGTGGCTCTTTCTCTAATCAATAACTCAAAAAATTAATCATGGTTATACTTTCACGGTAGTCAGAATTTCTCATGTAGGACTTGTTGAGTCACAAAGAGCAGTGTGGGTTGGCAGAACTGAACAGACCTCAGAAGCCGGCAAGACAACGCCCCTCATGTTTTATAGTACAAAAAGCTGGTGCATAGAGGGTGCAGAGGACTAGCCAGGGTCACCCAGCAACAAGTGGTCAGAACTCTTACTCCCCACTCTTGCATCTTTCCACTTTTGTAGCACCTGACTCTTAGAGCTTCAGTTCTATCATTAATAAAATAAGCAAGATGGATTAGATAAATGGATGGCTCCATTCAGCCTCATGAGTCTATTTTTTCCTTTCCTTGTGTCTGCTTAATCTTTCAAGGATGTCAAGGACACCATCCATGTGACATCATCAGAGGAGCTTTTCTATTTATGCTTAAAGGTTTGCCACAGCATGTATAGATGACAATTCCCGGGGGAAAAACAACAAGAGCTTTTTGTTAAAAATAATTCAAAGCCAAGATGACATAAATTTTTAAGAAATGTATTTTGAAAAAAAAATCCAAACATGTTCATGTAAGATATTCTTAAGGTATTGCCAAGTATAGTAGGAAGACTATACTCTCACAGTTACTTCACTGCCAGAGATGACCACCGTAAAGAGTTTACTATTTATTTCTTACAATTTTTATGGGCTTATGTTCATTTTATGTTTGTGTCCCTTCAATATATATTACTTCCCTGTGCTAGAATACCCTGCTGGATATCAGAGTATGGCAAGAACAAGACAGACAAGGCCTCTGACAGACTTCACCTTCGAATGAAGGAGGCAGACAAGAGGCAAACGAATGAGTCAACAACGACATCCCACAAGAAGAGGCGACAGGGTGACCGGGAAAAGAACTACTCCAGAAAACGCATCTCTCTCAGTAACAAAGGTCCAAATCATACGTAAGAATCAGATATTTTAAAATATGAGGTAAGAGTGAGATGGTGAGAAAAATGCAAAGACCCTGAAAAGGATCAAGTCAGTGCATGCAGCCCCCAGCAAGAGTGTCTCGAGTGTGGACAGCAGGAGGGTGGCAGGACATGCCAGGGAGAGGAAGGCAAATGCCACAGCCTGCAGCCTCTGTCAGTGGGCTTCAGTATTTTCCAAGTGCAGTGCAAAGTGATTGGAAGGCTTTAGGCAAAGCTTTCACAGATGAATTCCTAATTTAAAATATAGTTAAATATAGACACACATTTATAATGCATACCTAACTAAAATAGACAGCATACATTCATTCATACATAGACATTTTTTACTGAAAATATCCCTTATTGTTTCAGAAGGTTTTTTCCATATACTCTGACACATCTTTCAGTTAAAATGTGAAACAGTTTCACTTGTTGGCTTATTGAGAGTGCACACAGTTCTTTTCAACAATGTTGCATGATTTCTTATTATCTCCTCTTTGAACAGGAATGTTAATTGAAATGGTGATCGCATTTGTGTAATTTCAATTTGTTCGCTTAAGGTATTATTCACTTCCTCATTCAATTATTCAGCCATTGAGCATTGTTTGAACCTCTACAATGCCTACCATGCTAGGCATTCAGAGAAATATGAACAAGTTAAGGGTCCTGTCCTTAAGAGGCGTAGTCTGGAGAAAGGAGATCAACTGTACATGACCAAGGACCATTCAATTCTTTGAGAGTGGGAGGGAAGTTTGCACAGAGTACAAAAGAAACTCTTCTACGCTGAATGCTTCCCTGATCCCCAGTCTCCTAAAACTTGATCTCGAATTCCATCAGAGGAAAGATCAAGTTTCAGGAGCTTGGGGATCAAGGAAGCATTCAGCATCTCTGATGCTCAGGAGGAATTCTGAAAGATGAGGGTTAGCGGTCAGCTGGCAGAGGACAGGACATGTCCAGAGAGGCCAACAGGTGTATGCACAGGGCAGGATGCAGCCCAGCCTGTGACAAGTAAATGCACAGGGCAGGATGCAGCCCAGTCTGTGACAAGTAAAGGGACAGGGCACGATGCAGCCCAGCCTGTGACAAGTAAATGCACAGGGCAGGATGCAGCCCAGACTGTGACAGGTGAATGCACAGGGTAGGATGCAGCCCAGTCTGTGACAGGTGTATGCACAGGGCAGGATGCAGCCAAGCCTCTGACAGGTGAAGGGATACACAGGGCAGGATGCAGCCCAGCCTGCAACAGGTGAATGCACAGGGTATGGCACAGCCCAACTGCGACAGTTGGATGCACAGGACAGGATGCAGCACAGCATGCGACAGGCGGATGCATGGGACAGGATGCAGCGCAGCCTGTGACAGGTGAATGCACAGGGCAGGATGCAGCCCAGCCTGTGACAAATGAATGCACAGGGTAGGGCACAGCCTAGCCTGTGACAGATGAATGCACAGGGCAGGATGCAGCACAGCCTGTGACAGGTGAAAGCACAGGGCAGGATGCAGCCCAGCCTGGGACAGCCCTCCTCACTTAGCCACAAGAAGATGTCATGGTGAGGAGGAAGAACCATGGCCCAGGGGGTCGTGACAGCTGGGCTTCCCACTTGCTTTTTCCACCAACTCCCTTTGTCTTCATAGTTAAGACCCTATGCCTCTCTGTGCCTCAGCAGCCACACCTCAAAGAAGTCCTTGGGCTTTTGCATTCTGTGACTGTTAGTAAAAAGCCCGACATATTGTGGGGAAATTACTTGCTTTGACCTCTCCTGACCGCTCCTGAGCTCTGAAACCCAGCCAAGTCCTTTTCCCAGCAGACAATATTGAAACAATTAATGTAATGAGAAATGCTGATCTCAGTGAGGGCATCTTCAGCAAAATAAGGGGAATAATTAAGTAACACTGTCGTGATAGATTCAAAGTAACAAGGAGGCAATTGGGTCCAACTTCCTTCTGATAATTTGCTAGTCCCCAACAGCTCTGCCTGGTGGTCATTTGGCCTTGGCTTGACCATCTCCAGTGAAGGATCACTCACCATCCACAGGAAATGAACCTTCTCTCCTGGGTGGTCAGGATCAGATGCCACTATTCTGGAGAAGATCTGTGTGTTCTAGGAGATTTGGGGCTTGTTTGCAACCCGCCCTAAGCTACAGAGGTGTTTAAGACTGAAAGATTAATTCCATCCTTTCTGTGGTTCACCTCGGCCTCTAGATGCCTGACATTTCCCTTGCCACAGTGGGTGGTTTATGAACTCAGGATTTTGCAGAGAATCCTAAAAAACAGACCCCTCTTCCTCTCTATTTGTGGCTGCAGATACAAGGCTTGGAACTTGAACTACTGCTGTGGTTTCCCCACTGTGAGGGGAAAAAAAGGCAGCAGACATGAGGGAGGGGCAGAATAAAGGGAATTGCAGAGACAGGTCTATTAAACCAGCTCCAAACCCCACCTCCTTTATTGTCTAAGCCGGTTTGATTTGGGATTTCTGTTACTTATAAACAGAGGTATCCTAAAAGCTCTCAAAGAAACAGAGTTGAGTGTATGCACCACATCCCTGTGGGAGCTCAGCGTCCCTGAACCGCTGCTCGGGACCTGCTGGTCTGCATGAGGTCCTGGGTCTAACTGGAGTCCTGAGCATTCTGGACCCATGAAGTCTGCACATGTTCTATCCTCCAAGTTGTGTTTGCCCCACAACCCTCTCTGGGGAACCTCATTTCACAACATGCATCCAATCATAGCCCCTACCCTACGCCTGCTGTAAGGCTCTGCTTGGTCTTGCCCAGAAGTTTATTGTCTAGTCATCTCGATTTATGTTACCTCCTTCTAGACCCTGACTGCTCTAATCCACCCCCACCATGCACCCTGCTTCAGGACCACCCCTTGTCTGTCACTAACTCCTGGTGGATCATGCAATTCTGCCAGTGGGCGTGTTTCCCAGCCCCACAAGTGCACACATCAGATCTGCTTTTGCTCACCATTGTCTTCAGTTCTTAACACAGAGAAGATGGACCGGAAAATTATGGATAAATTAATGGATAAATAAATGGTTTTCCATCATTAACTGAAAGGCCAGTCCTTGCCAGGCCAAGTCTCTGCAGTTAACTCTTTCCATCCATCCATCCATCCTATGATATAGAACCCCCAGAATCAATAAATCAAATCCAGAGGTTTGTCCAAATGTTGCATGCCTTCAAAGAGGGAGAGAAAGGCACATCTCTTCAGTGGACAGGATCAGGGCTCCCTGCTCTGTGATACATTGGGAACTGGCAGGCCATGGAGTTATTATCTGTCACACTCGATTTAGGGAGATACTGCAGCTGACACACTCCTCTGCAGTTTAAGAAATGTATCTAATTGATTTCAGGGGCAGGAAGTGGTTTTTATAAAATGTATTGCCAAGCCCTTGAAATAGATATATGTATATTTGCACATCTCTAAATTGAAATGACAAAGTCAGCTGAGATTCTCAGGACAACTCTCATCACCTGCCTGGAAGGACAGGGGTTGTGCTGAGGTGCAGGTGGCAGCAGTGGCTTGTCACTGAGCTGTGCATCCCAAATCCTGTGTCTAAACATCAGCTTTACTGCTTGGGAACACAGAGGCAGACTTGGGAAACTGAATGACTGACCAGCTGTGCACTGGATTAGCATCCTTCCTGAGTCACAGTGGAAGGAGTGCCTCAGTGTGGCAGATTAGAGCTCAGGCTTTGCATTCAACTTGTGTGGAACACTGACTCCACTAAATGTGTAGCCCAAGGCATGGTGCCTAAACTCCAGTCCTATTTCCTCATCTTTAAATAGGGAATAGAGAGTTGTGGGCATTAAATAAAATGACCTAAAAGCAGTTAGCAGAGTTAAGTCAGCAGAAAACAAGTATTCAATACATCTCCATTACTATTTTCCTCAGTGAAATCAAACTCCACCTCACTGTCTTGTTACCCAGCCTGAGAATTCTGAGCCCCACACCATGGAGCGGTGACCTGCCTGGAAGACCCACAGGAGGCAATGACCACAGGCAGAAGGAGCTGTGTATGTTCTCATCAGAAGGCATGAGGGGAGGTCATGCCAGCTGGAGGAGAGGGTTCTGTGTGATTTGCTGCCTCTGCTTGCCTGTAGACTGAAGGGGGACTTAGGAGGCAGAACCAGGCCCAATTCCTTGTGTTGTCTGCAAGGTAAGCAGTTCAAGACCCAATGCCCACTCTTTAAGCTCTGATGGGCTGCCCCACTGACTTTTCAAGGGAAGCAAGAATGGAGGATGATATAGCTTAGTTTAGTTTCTAGGAATTAAAGTCAGACAGATAAAGGCAGAATGCTCTGTGACCTTGGAGAAACAGACTCTTCGTGCCACCTAAATTGCAAAATATTAAATGTGAAAGGGACCTTAAAGAGATTCTCATATTTTATTAAGACCAGAGAAGGAAAGTAACTTCCTCACACGGTAAGCTGCAGGAATGACCAGGTGTGGAATATGCTCATTTTGGCTCCAAGTTGAGTTACGTTGCATCATTACACATCGTTTTCACTTTCCACCCCAGATAATTTACATGTCACTTCTTTCTGAGAATCAAATGTTAGAAAAATTGCAAAAGATTTGCAATGGGGAGACGTGAGTTCTAGTCCTGGCTCTGTCCTGGCTGTGTGATGTGAATGGAGTCAGCTGGCATGCTGAGAAAAATGCTAAACAAGGATCAGGAAGTCTGGCCTCCAGTCCTGTCTCCGGAGGACTTTGGGGGAAAATCACTTTGGCTCTCTTGTCCTTCATTTCAGCATTCATAAATTGAGAGAGATAGACTGGACATCAATTAATTGATCAAAACTTCATCAATTTTGAAATATATGTGGTCCGACTTCCTTAGTGGTCAAAGACCAAGCATATCATATCTCTCTATCTGAAACAGTCCACTCTGGGCATAGTAAGCACTTGAGAGATATTTGGGGATAAATCTATAGAGGAAAGAAAGGAGTTCTAAAAATTACACTAAATGAAATAAACCCGTCACAAAAAAACCACATATTGTAAAATTCCATTGACATAAAATGTCTAGGATAAGTGAATCTATACAGAAAGAAAGTGGAGCAGTGGATGCCAGGAAGAGGGGGCTGGAGTGGGATGGGGAGTGACTGCCAGTAGGTAAAGGTTTTCTTTTGAGATGATATAAATATTCCAAAATTAGATTGCAATTATGGTTGTACAACTCAGTGAATACATTACACAACCATTGAATGGTACCCCTCAAATGGGTGAATTGCGTTGTGTGTAGATTATATCCCAACAAACAGTCGATTTCTCTAAACTAAGTGGTTCTGTCTTTGATCTGTCCAGTCTCCTGGAGCCATAGCCTGTGGGCAACTGAACTCCTCTTCCTCCCAAGGCCTTGAGATTTGGAGGCTGCCAATCATGTCACAAACACAAAGGGCTATAAAGTTATATCCCCCGAGGTGCCTGGCATGGAGATGTCTAGAGATCTAAGGACATTGCAAGTACAAAGCTGTGGCTAAAGGCCCCAGCAGGAGGGCACTATGGGGAGAGGTGGGCTGAGGGCTGAGGCCCCGAGCAGAAGAGGCTCACTTTGGGCAGCTCAGAAGTTCTGATCCTAAGCTACTTAGAGTGCCCCCAAAAAGTAAATGGCCAGCCAGCTGGGTCAGGCTGAGTGCAGCTTGGTAGACTAGGTGTGGTGGATGGGAGTGTGCTCTTCACCTACAGGCTCCCAGGGCTTAGATGAGGCCATTCCATTGGTGGCATTTTGGCTTCCTCTGAGAGGTCACTCAGTGCAATGAATTCCTAGAAGGCTGATGTAATGGGCTGAGTAATGACACCCGAAGTTACCCAGACTCTAATCCCTAGAACCTGTGAGTGTTACCGTGTAAGGAAGAAGAGACTTTGCACATGTGTTTTAGTCAGGAATGTTGAGATGGGAGAGTATCCCGGATCATCTGGGTGGGCCCTAAATGCAGTCAGAAGTGTCTTTTCAGGAGGGAAACAGAGGGTGATTTCACACAGAAGATGGCAAGGTGGCCCTGAAGTGACATGCTGCTCACCAGCTTTGAGGATGGCAAAAGGGGCCAGGAGCCAAGAAATGCGAGGGATGCAGCTCTAGAAGCTGGAAAAGGCAAGGAAATGCATTATTTTCTAGGGAGGGAGTGTAGCCCCAAGGCCACAGAGATTTGGGGCCAATAAAGCTGATTTTGGACTTCTGACCTCCAGAACTGTAAGAATGAATTCATGTTGTTTTAAAACAGTAAGTCTGTGATGACTTTTTGCAGTAGCAATAGTAAACAAATACAGCTGCTGATGCCATCTTCCCATACTCTAAAGTACATCGGAGCAGGTCCCGTGTGCTTAGGGGGTTGGGGGAGATGGAGAAAAAGAAGAATCATAAACAGAACCCACTAAGGAAGAATCACCTGCCTGGGTCTGCATCCTGGCTCCGCCATATAACCAGCCATGTGCACTTAGGCGAGTGACTTGTCTTCCTTCTTCCTTTGTTTCCTCATCTGTAATGTGGTGGAAATGACAGTCTCTACCTCAAAGGCTTGTGGTGGCAAGTAAATGAGCTAATAGAGGTAAAGATCTTAGAACAGTGCTGGCATCAAGTAAGTGCTGCATAAGCATAGTTAGTGTATTGTTAAGCTGAGAGACCAAGCTCATATGGGCAAAACTACCATGGGAGTACTAGTATAGAGCAACAGTGTGGAAATCAGGCGTGCTGCGTGAAATGCCTGGATTAGGGTCAAGCATAAGCGGTTTTGAGTTTTCTTGAGAGAAACACCTCCCTTTTGCTGGAGGCTCACAGCCCACCCTTGTGTACTTGCACACTGTGAGTTCCAGACACCTGCTAGCAGAACCCAGGCATTTGCCAAACATGAGACAAGGAAGCAAGCCTTCACTTATTTGCTAAATCACCAGGCACCAGGGAGCGCCTACACTGCACCTGCTGCTCCATGGGATACTGAGATTAAGAACATAACACCCAGTTCCTATTGTCGAGGGCCTTATAATCCATGAGGAAATAGAAGGAATGTGTAGAATCATTGTAAACCAGGTGGTATCTTAGCACGGGATTCTCTGAAAGCCTAAATGGTGGGGCTGGTTGATGGAAGGTCTTTTATACCATGTAGAAAATTGTAAACTTTGTTGCACAGGGAATGGGGAGAGGCATCCAGGTTTGAGAAGAGGTGTGGTATGCTTCCATTTGTATTTGTTTGCGTGACTCTGTCAGAAGTGAGCTAGAAGCTTCAGAGAAGAAATACAAATGCCACTAATTCGTTTATTTAACACATGCCATTTCACATTAACTAACTGCACTGTGTGCCAGATGCCATATGAGGTACGATGGTAAATTTTTTATGTCAACTTTACTGGGCCACAGGATGCCCAGATATTTGGGCAAACATTATCCTGGGTGTTTCAGTGAGGGTGTTTTTGGATAAGATTAACATTTAAATCAGCAGAATGAGTAAGGCAGATTGCCCTCTCTAATGTGGTGGGCTTCATCCAATCAGTTCAGAAAGAAAATTCTTCCCAGTTAGAGAGAATTCTTCCTGCCTGATGGCCTTTGAACCTGGACATCAGCTTTTTGCTGCCTTTGGATTAGAACTGAAACATCAGCTCTTTCCGGGTCTCAAACTTGCTGGCCTTTGTACTGGAGCTACACCATTGGCTGCCCTGGTGCCCAGGTCTTCAGACTCAGACTGGAACTATGACATCCACTCTCCTGCATCTCCAGCTGCCAGCACACCCTGCAGATCTTGGGACTTCATAGCCTCCATAATTATGCGAGTTGTTTCTTCCTAATAAATCCCTTTATATATATACATAAATCTGTAGTGAACAACAGCAGACTTTGCCACTTCAAAATACAGAAATGGCTTTTTGAAGACTCAGTTACAGTAGTACCATGTGGGTGGTGATACCTTGCAAGGCTGGGGCAAAGTTCTCTAGGAAGCTGTCTATGCTCTGAATCAGCATCCAACAGATGGTACCACATCTCCCATAGCCAGAATTCATGGGTCTAGAAATCAAGGGGTGGAAATGGGAGTGGTACCACTCACGATTACACCTGGTGACACACTAGCAAAAGTTTTGCTTCCTGTTTCTGTGACCTTATACTCTGCTGGCCTAGAGGTCTAGAGGGAGGAATGCTTCCACCAGGAGACACAACAATGATTCCACTAAACCAGAAGTTAAGATGCCACATGGTCACTGTGGCCTCCTTTATACCTGTGAATAAACAGGCAAGAGGAGGAGTTCCTGAGCTGGCTGGGGTGATTCATCCTGACTACTCAGCAGATATTGGACCATGACTCCTCAGTGGAGGTAAGGAAGAGCATGTCTGTAATAAGAGATCTCTTGGGTATCTCTTACTATTAATCTGCCCTATGTTTAAGGCCAATAGCAAACTACAATTCAATCTGGGAAAAACTACTGAAAACCCAGACCTTTTAGGAATGAAAATTTGGGTCACCCCATCAGGTGAAGAGCTATGGCCAGCTGAGGTGCTTGCTAAAGGCAAAGGGAATATAGAATGGGAAGTGGAGGAAGGTGATTATAAATACCTGCTATGGCTGCATGGCCTGTTATGGAACTGAGGACTGTAGTTGCCATGAAAATTTCACCTGTGTGTGTGTGTGTGTGTATGTGTGTGCGTGTGTGTGTGTGTGTGTATATATATACACATATATATATGTGTTCCCTCTCTCACCTCCCTATTATGTAACATAAGATGTATTAACTTCCTATCATTGTATTTAAGTTTCAAGATAGCAAGAAGAGTAAACACCTCTCAAGAACTTTACCTCCTCTTCTGGGAAAGTGTGAATGCATTGTTGGTTGTACAAAGGACAGTTATATCACATTAGTTGGAATGGCCTTGTTATTGTGTTTATTTTTAGATTAAGCATGGTTTAAGGAGAGGCATATGGGTGCCAAGTTGTCAAGGGGTGGACCCATGGTGGTTAATTTTGTGTGTCAACTTTACTGGGCCATGAGTTTCCCAGATCATCTGACTTTCCTCAAGATAGCTTTACATGGTTGAGCTCTCTACTGCTCGTTTGAACAAAGAGAAGCAGAACTCACTTGGCTCTGAATGTCCTTCTGGAAGTTGGTCTGCTTACTCAGATCTCTCGTGTAAGCAGGAGTTACTATGCTCAAAGCAATATAAATTATAAAATGGTTTTCACATATGTCACCTAATTGAAACCATGAAAGGACAGTGCATGGAGTGACAATTGTCTCAGTTTCATCCCTGCAGGACTGAGGTCTAGAGATGAGAAATGATGGGAAAGATGACTCACACACCTCCCAATGTGGCAGGAGGGGGAGAGGGATTCCTAGCTGCTCCTCAGTCACAGCCCTAATGCCATCCACCCAAACCAAGGTACTACTTAATGATATGAGCAATAAAATCATGACCAAACCCAAAAGCTGGTTTCAGCCCTGATCTTACAGTTCCTCTGAGCTGCTTCAAAATGCTGTTCAGTCAGCCCTCCTGGAAGCTCTCTTTCCCTTGGCACCCCTGAGCCACACTTTTCCCTTTTCCTCATCCCTGCAGCCTCCCCTCTGCTTCCAACCCATGATGATGAGTGTTCCCAGCTCCCGGACTCACCAAACTCACCCCCTGACCCTTCCTGCACTATCTCATTCTTCCTGGTGGCTTTGTCTTCCCACTGTGATGGGCTCTGTTTTCAGATTATCCCCCTTCATGATCTCCAGGACACCTTCCCATGTGCCTCCTGTATTTCAACAGCTGGATATCCCACTCAAACTCAAATGCATCAGCATCTTTTCTCATCTCTGATTTTCATTTGAAGGTATAAAGAGATCAGAGGAAGAAAGCTGAGTTAATTGTTTTTCTCAATTCTTGATGTATCAACAGTCAGGAACCCCCACCCCATTCTCTCTCATTTTGTTTGAATTCCTTTCCCCACCTTCTTTGAGTATATTCCTCACTTCCCCAACAGGTAGCTGCTACAATGTGTTTGCGAAGATTCCCTGTACGTGTGGGTATCCTTGTAAAATGTGCGGTGTTGTTTCCAGTGTCTGTATTTTAAATTTATATTCATGATATTGTGCTGATATTCCACTCAGCATCTTTAAGATCTCCTCATGTTGCTGCATGTTCTTCTAGTTTTTTTTTTTTTTTCTTTTGAGATGGAGTCTCACTCTTGTCACTCAGGCTGGAGTGCAATGGTGCGATCTTGACTCACTGTAACCTCTGCCTCCCAGGTTCCAGCAATTCTCTGGCCTCAGCCTCCTGAGTGGCTGGAATTACAGGCACCCACCACCACGCCTGTCTAATTTTTGTATTTTTGGTAGAGATTGGGTTTCACCATGTTGGCCTCAAGTGATTTGCCCGCCTCAGCCTCCCAAAGTGCTGGGATTACAGGCATGAGCCACCACGCCTGGCCAGTGTTCTTCTAGTTTGCCACTTCTGCCTGCTTCATAGCCCAGAGTGTGTGCATGTGTTCACACATTTTATCCATCTATTGCACCACTGATGGGCACCCGGGTTTCTTCTCACACCTGCTACCACAAACAAAGCTGATTTGAACTTCCTTATATTTGCTCCTTGTATAGCAGTTTCTCTCCTGGCTCATCAGCTATGCACCTTCTTATTTTTAAAAATTATACCTATCTTCCCTCTGGCAGCTGTACTGGGCTAGCCTGGCTGAACCATCAGCAGTTCATCCATGGTCGCCTATTCCACATCCCCTCCAACATTCTAAAGTGTACTTCTTTGTAATTTTTGTCACAGTAAATAGAGTTGCACCTTTAATTATTTGAATTAGCATTTTTAAATTACTGAGTTTGAACACTTTTAATAGACATGTTAGCCATTTAGACTTCTTTATCTGTCAGTAGGCTATGTATAGCTTCAGCTCTTATTTCTACTCCATTTAGTATATTTTTTTCAGAAATCCTATTTTTTATTACAGCTATAAATTATGTGTCAGTTTCAGAAAGTGTGGAAAATATTTTCCTGGCTCATCATTAATTTAATTGCTATGATTTTTAATAATAGTGACACAGTTAGGCTTTGTGTCCCCACCTGCATCTCATCTTGAATTGTAATTCCCATAATCCCCATAATCTCCACATGTCAAGGGAAAGACTAGGTGGAGGTAATTGAATCATGGGGGTGGTTTCCCAATGCTGTTCTCGAGATAGTGAGTAAGTTCTCATGAGATCTGTTGGTTTACAAGGAGCTCTTCCCCCCTCCCTCAGCACTTCTTCTTCCTGCTACCTTGTAAAGAAGGTGCTTTGCTTCCTGATATAGTTTTGCTGTGTCCCCACCCAAATCTCATCTTGAATTCCCACGTGTTGTGGGAGGAACCCAGTGGGAGGTAATTGAATCCTGGGGGCAGGACTTTCCCATGCTATTCTCGTGATAGTGAATAAGTCTCACAAGATCTGATACTTTTAAAAAGAAGAGTTTCTCTGAACAAGCTCTCTTTGCTTGTCTGCTGCCATGTGAGATGTGCATTTCGCCTTCTGCCATGATTGTGAGGCTTCCCCAGCCACGTGGGACTGTAAGTCCAATAAATCTCTTTATTTTGTAAATTGCCCAGTCTCAGGTATGTCTTTACCAGCAGCGTGAAAATAAACTAATACAGTAAATTGGTACCAGAAGTGGGGTGTTCCTGAAAAGATGCCAAAAATGTGGAAGGAACTTTGGAATTGGGTAACAGGCAGAGGTTGGAACAGTTTGGAGGGCTCAGAAGAAGAGAGAAAGATGTGAGAAAGTTTGGAACTCTGTAGAGACTTGTTGAATGGCTTTGACCAAAATGCTGATAATGATACGTACAATGAAATCCAGGCTGATGTGGTGTCAGATGGAGATGAGGAACTTGTCAGGAACTGGAGTAAAGGTGACTTTTGTTATGTTTTACCAAAGAGATTGGTGACATTTTGCCATTGCCCTAGAGATTTCTGGAACTTTGAACTTGAAGGAGATGATTTAGGGTATCTGGTGGAAGAAATTCTAAGCAGCAAAGCATTCAAGATGTGACTTGGGTGCTATTAAAAGCATTCAGTTTTAAAAGGAAGCAGAGCATCAAAGTTCAGAAAATTTGCAGCCTGACAATGCAATAGAAGAGAAAATCCTATTTTTTGAGGAGAAATTCAAGCTGTCTGCAGAAATTTGCATAAGTAATGAGGAGCCAAATGTTAATCACCAAGACAATGGGGAAAATGTCTCCAGAGCATGTCAGAGGACTTCACTGTGCTCCTCCCATCACTGGCGTGGAGGCCTAAGAGGAAAAAGTGGTTTCATGGGCCCGGCCCAGGGTCCCCATGCTGTGTGCAGCCTAGAGACTTGGTGCCCTGCATCCCAGATGCTTCAGCTGTGGCTAAAAGGGGCCAACATAGAGTTCAGGCCATGGCTTCACAGGGTGCAAGCCCCAATCCTTGGCAGCTTCCACGTGGTGTTGAGCCTGTGAGTGCACAGAAGCCAAGAACTGAGGTTTGGGAACCTCCACCTAGATTTCAGAGGATGTATGGAAACACCTGGATGTCCAGGCAGAAGTTTGCTGCAGGAGTGGGATCCTCAGGGAGAACCTCTGCTAGGGCAGTGTGGAGGGAAAATGTGGGATCAGACCCCCCAAACAGAGTCTGTACTGGGGCACTGCCTAGTGGAGCTGTGAGACGAGGGCCACCATCTTTCAGACCTCAGAATGGTAGATCCACTGACAGCTTGCACCATGCACATGGAAAAACCACAGACACTCAATGCCAGTCCATGAAGGCAGCCAGGAGGGAGGCTGTACCCTGCAAAGCCACAGAGGCAGAGCTGCTCAAGACCATGGAAACCCACCTCTTGCATCAGCATGACCTGGATGTGAGACATGGAGTCAAAGGAGATCATTTTGGAGTTTTAAGATTTGACTGCTCTGCTGGATTTTGGACTTGCATGGGGCCTGTAGCCCTTTTTTTTGGCCAGTTTCTCCCATTTGGAACAAGTGTATTTGCCCAATGCCTCTATCCCCATTGTATCTAGGAAGTAACTAACTTGCTTTTGATTTTACAGGCTCACAGGCAGAAGGGACTTGCCTTGTCTCAGATAAGACTTTGAACTGTGGACTTTTGGGTTAATGTTGAAATGAGTTAAGGCTTTGGGGAACTATTGGGAAGGCATTATTTGTTTTGAAATGTGAGGACATGAGATTTGGGAGGGGCCAGGGGCAGAATGATATGGTTTGGCTGTGTCCCCACCCAAATCTCATTTTCAATTCCCTCAGGTTGTGGAAGGGACCCAGTGGGAGGTAACTGAATCATGGGGACAGGTCTTTCTCATGCTGGTCTCGTGATAGTGAATAAGTCTGATGAGATCGGATGATTTTAAAAAGGGGAGTTTTCCTGCACATGCTCTCTTTGCATGTCTGCTGCCATGTGAGATGAGTCTTTCACCTTCCGTCATGATTGTGAGGTCTCCCCAGCCATGTGTGTCCAATAAACCTCTTTCTTTTGTAAATTGCCTAGGTATGTCTTTATCAGCAGCATGAAAATGGACTAACACATTTCCCCTTTGCCTTCTGCCATGACTGTAAGTTTCCTGAGGCCTCCCCAGCCATGCAGACTGTGAGTCAATTACAACTCTTTCCTTTATAAATTACCCAGTCGTGGGCAGTTCTTTACAGCAGAATGAAAACAGACTAATACAAACAGGAATTATTACTTTTCGTGTAGTGAAAACAATCCTTGTTTCCCCTGAGGTTGGGGCTGTCTGCTGACCAATGCTATCTCTCTCCACCTTAGTTGGCAGCCCCAATATGAACCATCTCACCTGGGTCAAAAGCCACTCATCATCCTGGACTGTTCTCTCCCCTCTCTACCAAATGCTAGTCACCAGCCCTGCCAATTGCATGGCCTGACTGCAATTGACTCCATCTCCTCTCACCCTCACCGTGGCTGCCCTGGTATGCCCCTTGTCAGTCCTCACCCAAACGGTCTATGGCACAGTCTCTAACCAGTCTCCATGTCTCCAGCCTCTTCCTACTCCATGCCCAAAACTACTGGCTGAATGATCAATTCAGATGCACAGTCCAACTGTAACTTTCTCCTGCTAGGAATCCCCAGTGGATCTTGTTGACTCACACTCTTCCCTCTAATATGGGTGATTATCAGAATCATTGAGTGAGGCTTTTTTTTTCCTTTTAATCAGAATTCCTAGATTCTAACCCAGAATTACAGAATGAAAATATTTGGGGATATGCTTTGGGGAGCTATATTTTCAGTAGCAGATGCAGAACAAACTGTCTTTCTGCTACACACCATACCCTCTATCCTCCAAATCCTGGAGATGGCATGCCCTGCCCCCTAAAAAGTAGTATCCTGCCAACATCCTCTACCAGGCCCAGCCTCAAGGCCATGGAGGTAATGCTGGGATATTTGTTCTTCCATGCACTAACTATGTCTTGCTTTTCTGCCTTTGCAAGCTTTGTGCTATCCTCTTGGGAATTATTTCCCTTATATTAAACCTAATTTAATTCTTCAAGGATTCTCTGAGTCCACTCCTTCTTCAGGAAGTTTTTTCTTGACCATCCAGGCTCACACAGACATTGCCCCTCCTTGGTGTCCCTATGGAACTTCTTGCCTTCATCTGCTTCACACATTTTTGCTTGGTTTTCTAACTATTTGTCTCTGCCTGTCCCTTTCATCAAACTCTGAGCTCCTTGAGATGGAGTTGTTCAAATTATTGCTGTACCTAGAACAATAGGTCTAGGATTTCAGACCTGAAAAGGAGGATGAAATCAAATTAACAAAAGTCTTCAGAATATCTACAGAATTGTAAGCAAGAACGTGGCCATTTCCTAGAGATCCTAACAACATCTTTTATAATATGAGTGTGTATAAGCTTCCCAGCCAAGGGCTTAATGCCTACAGGTTTATTGGGAGATTCAATTATCCATTACTACTTAACAAACCATCCCAATTTAGTGGCATAAGAAACTTAATAATTTGTTATTTTTATTTTTATTATCAATTATCACCTCTCAGAGTTCTGGGGGTCACCTGGACTCAGTTAAATGGCTCTCTCTGGAGGTCTTTCATTCCTTTGCAATCAGATGGTGGCTGAGATGGGGTCATTCTAGAAGCTTTCTCCTTCTTGTCTACATTAGTGCTGGTTGTTGGTTAAAAACCTTAGCTGAAACTGTCAGCATGAACACCTATACATGGCCTCTTCATGTGGCCTGGGCTTCCTCACAGCCTGGTGGCTGGGTTCCAAGAATGTATCTCAAGAAAGAGGAGTCAGTGTCATGGGCTCAATGTTTGTGTTCCCCACAAACTTTGAATGTTGAAATTTAATCCCCAATGTGATGGGACTTGGAGGTGGGGCCTTTGGCAGATGATTGGGTCATGAGAGTGAGAGTCCTCATAATAGGATTAGTGCATTTGGAAGAAGGGGCCAAAGAGTTGGCTCCCTCCTTCTGCCATGTGAGGATAAAAGAGGTCAGCTGTCTGTGAGCTGGAAGAGGGCCCTTACGCTTACCTGGCAACGTGGGTACCATGACTTTGAACTTCCAATCTCCAGAATAGTGAGAAATAGATTTTTATTGTTTATACAATCCAGTCCATGGTATTTTGTTATAGCAGCCTGGACTAAGAAAGTCAGGAAGAAACTTTATTTCCTTTCATATCCAAAAGCCATAGAGTGTCACTTCTACTATACTGCATTGGTCAAGGCAGTCACAAAGGCATAGAATTTCATGGTGAGGGGTTGTAGACTCCTCCTCTTGATGAAAGACTGGCAGGCCACATAATCAGAAGAGCATGTGGAGTATTGTGATGGAATTTGGGAACTACAGCTTGCTATCAATAAGCTACTTAACATCACTGAGACTCAGTTTACCCATCTATAACATATGGACATCAGTGCTAACCTCATAGGAATGTCAGTTGTGAGGTTTAAACTTGACATCTGGCTTCTGTTCAGTAAATATTAAGCATCTACTAAGTAAAAGCAGAAACAGATTGAAATTCCTGAGGTACACGGCTATAATGAGCCCACAGTAACTTTTGGCATCAAACTTCCTGTGAAAAATGGCATTATGTAGTGTTCAAAGTTAGAGCCTCCATCTGGGAATGGGCCTTTATGGAAAATATCAGAGGAGGAAGATTGCCTGACGGTGTATACAATCCCCTCAGCCACCTCTGCTCCCAATCCTCCAGGTTTTCACCCTCTTCTGAGCTGCTTACAACCAGATCTGGGCACGTTTCCAGCATCCAACACCTTTGATTTAATTAAACAAACAGCCCAGCCTGTGTTAGAAAAAGATGTAGAATATTCCCATCTATCCTAAAAGAAAGTTTGTATATCTCCTTTCATTTTCATCTTATTATGTCTCTCGTACTCACAAATTTCCTCCCATAAATAATACCTGCTATGACCTGCACAAATTTTACAAAAGAAATAAATGTAAAGCTTAATTTTTTCTGCTGTGATAATTTATGTTTATATACCTAGACCATTGCCTAACCCAATGATTGAATACAATTATTCATTGATTTTAGAAAATTACAATTATTTTATAATCATTGATTGTAATGATTTATGTCATTGATTTTAATAAAATCACAATGACAGTTTATTCTGGCATGACTGTCTAAAAGAATATATACATATGCAAATATCCCTACAAAGAATATATGTAGCATATATACGTAAGTGGTAAGTGAGCTTAAAGAAAGCACAAACCCACCAGCATAATTAATACCAGAACATTAAATTGTCAAAATGTGAATGCAACCACCAACCACTCAACTTATCCTCTGCCTCTCCCCCAAAAGTAAGTTTCATTCTGAACTTTGAATTTGCTATCTTTTTGCTCTTTTTAAAAATAATTTTATAGCCAGGTGCGGTGGCTCATGCCTGTAATCCCAGCACTTTTGGAGGCCGAAGTGGGCGGATCATTTGAGGTCAGGAGTTTGAGACCAGCCAGGCCAACATGGTGAAACCCCGCCTCTACTAAAAATACAAAAAATTAGCCGGGTGTAGTGGCGGGTGCCTGTAATCCCAGCTACTTGGGAGGCTGAGGCAGGAGAATTGCTTGAACCTGGGAGGTGGAGGTTGCAGTGAGCCAAAATCAGGCCACTGCACTCCAGCCTGGGCGACAGAGTGAAAGTCCGTCTCAGAAAAAAAAAAAAAAAATTAATTTTTAAATGTTTCAGGAGCAAAGTGCATAATTCTGAGATGGATCCTGGTAAGAAATTATAGAGTAGTAACTGTCTCGGAACACTGAAGTGTGAGCTATGCCCACTCAAAGACATTCAAAATGAGCTAAAAGTGACAACAGCAACAGCAGCATCAACAACAGCATATATATTGCTATGTAAAGTGGATTTCCAGGCTTGGCCTGAAGGCCTCCAGCTCAAAACCCTTGGCTTTGAGGAAAAAGTCTGAACCCCAAGGCAGGGATGCAGAGCTCCCTCCAATCTTGGTCCAGCTTGCTTCCCAGCCTCTTGTTTCGCTTGTGAAAATAAGAATGCAGATCAACCAAATTTTTTATATACTACCACTGGAAATGTAGATTCGCCTAAACACTATGGAACATGTTTCAGCATTGACCACTAACAGTGGAATACCCATACTCTATGACTGAACATGTCCATTATTTCAATAGAAATAAATGCATGTGACATAAAACAACATGTTCAAGTATATTTTTTGTATATTTGTTTAAAATCCCAAACTAGAAATAACTCAAATGTACATCAGCAATAGAAATGATAAATAAATTGTGTTATATTCATTTAATGAAATACTGTATTAGTATTCTCTAGAGGGACAGAACTAATAGGATATATGTATATATGAAAGGGAGTTTATCAAGGATAATTGATTCACACGATCAAGGTGAAGTCCCATGACAGGCCTTCTGCAAGTTGAGGAGCCAGGAAGCCAGTGGTGGCTCAGTCTAAGTCCCAAAACCTCAAAAGTAGGGAAGCCAACAGTTCAGCCTTCAGTCTGTGGCCAAAGGCCTGATAACCCCTCGCAAACCACTGGTGTAAGTCCAAGGGTCCAAAAGCCAAAGAACTTGAAGTCCGATGTTCGAGGGCAGGAAGCACCCAGCATAGGAGAAAGATGAAGGCTGGATGACCCAGCAAATCTGCTTCTTCCACCTTCTCCTGCCTGCTTTTTCTAGTTCCTCTGGCAGCCGATTGGATGGTGCCTACCCACATTGTGAGTGGGCCCTCCTGAGGGTGGGTCCTCCTCTCCCAGTCCACTGAGTCAAAAGTTAATCTCCTCTGGCAACACCCAGTCATAACCAGATACATCCAGAAAAAACACCCTACATCCTTCGATCAAATCAAGTTGACACTCAGTATTAACCATCACAAATTCCATAGGAAAAAAATATGACCTAATACTACTGTGACATTTTCCGTTATTGGACACACCAAAATATATTCCATCCCACACATTTTTCTTACAATGAGAGGTTGGCACTTCTCCACTGAGAGGTGATTTTTTTTTCACTTCTCATTAAACTGGGCAAAGCCTTGTAGTTGCTTTGACCAGTATAATGTAATAGAAATGATACTGTGTGACTTTCAATCAGGAGACTAAGTTGAAAAGGAGATATGACTCATGCTTTTCTCTCTCACTCTCTCAATAAGCTCAATTTTGCAACCCAAGCGCCGTATCAGAAGGAAGCCCAACTCACATAGAGATCCCACATGTTGCGGCTAAGGTGTCAGCGTTCAGCCAGACTCAACCAGCAGACAGGTGAATGTAGAAGACTTTGAACTTTCTAGCTGAGGCCTCAGATTGTGGTTTGTAGACAAGCCCTCCACACGGTGACCTGTCCAAAGTCTTCAGTCCGCAAGTATAATAAATGATTGTTTTATACTACTACATTTGGGGATGACTTGTTATGTGGCTATTATAACTGGAACAATTACATGCAAACAAGAATGAACCCCACAGACATAATGTTGAGTGAAAGAAGCCAACATAAATGAATACATACTGGATTAGTCCACTGGTAGGAAGTTCAAAATCATGAAAACTTGTCTACTGTGGTAGAAGTCAAAAGGCTGGTTACATCTCGGGGTGTATTGACCAGGAGTAGAAATGAAAGGGGATTCTAAAGGCATAGGTGATTTCCTATGTCTCAACCCAGGTGTTCATATCGTGAGTATGTTCACTTGAAAAAATCATCAAGCCTTACACAGCAGATCCAGAACTATTTCTTCAAAAACAAAGTTTACAAAAGCAAAAGCAGAGCTGTTCTGATTGAGGTGGGCACGGAGCTCCTGATGTTCACTGGCTCTCCTACCTCTTATCCCACAAAGAACTACCGAAGAACACCAAGAGCTTTATACGGAATGTGTTTTGGAAGCCTTGTGACTAAAGTCCTTCTCATTTTCCACATTCCATTATTTTTGTATCTTTAGTGCCTAACATAGGGTCTGGTATGCAACAGCTGCTTAGCAATGAGTGAGTGAAAGATAGCTTTCATTTGTCTATGGCCCCTACCAGGGTACTTTCTGGTGGACTGAGAAGAAAATCTGTTGGAAAACTTCTGGAATTGCATTAATTATTTTCGAAATTTTGGGAACACTTTCAAATCATTTGACAAATTACTGTCCATTTTGTAAATTACTGTCTATTTGGTAATTTTTGTTCTTCCAAATAGCCTCCCTCATTGTCTAATGGAAGCTTAGATTGTGGTTGTTTCATCCGATTAGTCCCAATTACTATTTATACAATGATATTTGAGGCAACATCCTCAAAGGAGTGCTCAAAAGAGACATCAGTCGCATTTAGGGTGTTAATAAACACTTATGTTTGTACACACTCTTTCGTTTGTTGAAATCCTACTCATTTCCCAAGACTTGCATCAAATATCATATTCGTTTTAATTTTTAAAAAACTATTTGAACAGGATTGGTGATCTTTATTAAAGATTAAATATTCTGTTAGAATTGGGGTAAGAGACATTAAGGAGACTATGTACTGAATACCTCCTATGCCCCAAGTGTTGCATTAGAGAGGTTGAAAACATTATTTATTTTACTACTACTGGAAAAAAATTTTTAATTTTGGACAGAGTTTCACTCTTGTTGCCTCGGCTGGAGTGCAATGGCATGATCCTGGCTCACTGCAACCTCTACCTCCTGGGTTCCTGTCTCAGCCTCCCAAGTAGCTGGGATTACAGGCACCTGCCACCACACCTGGCTAATTTTTTCTATTTTTAGTAGAGATGGAATTTCACCGCGTCAGCCAAGCTGGTCTCAAACTCCTGACCTTAGGTGATCCACCCACCTCAGCCTCCCAAAGTGGTGGTATTACAGGCGTGAGCCACCGCGCCCAGCCACTACTGGAAAACTTTCAGGGTAGACAAGGTGAGAACTATTACACAGAAAAGAAAATGAGGCTATCAAATCAGGCCAAAACTCTAAAATCTGAGTAAAATATATAAAACAAATATTTACAAATATTTGGCACAAACAACACAGAGCCCTCATTTACCCATGCTTTCTCCCTGGGAATGATTTCCAGATCATGGCACAGGAAGGTGAAGGCCAAGTTGGAAGGGGCAACCTCACTGGACAGAGGGGGTTGAATCCAGAGGTGGGAGATGATAAGGCAGCTGAGATTGGAAAGCAGGGTGCCAGAGGAGCAACTAGGAAGAGGAAGCCCTGGAAGTCTGCATGGAAGCTACCCCCAGGTCCTTGAATAAGTGACACATTGCTAAATATGGGGAGTGACTCTGAGTTACCCGGAAATAGCAGCTGCTAAGAGGCTGAGAGGTGAATGGAATTTCTCAAGATCAAACACTGTTGAAAAAAATGCTTTGGACCCAGCCAGAGTGCTAAGCATTTACCCAAGGTAAATGAAAATGTCTATCTGCACAAAGATTTGTGCATGAATGTTCATAGCAGCTGTATTTATAATAGGCAAAAACTGGAAACAACCCAGATGAATGGATAAACAGAATATGGTAGAGCCACACAATGTAATACTTTCTCAGCAATAAAACAGAATCAACTACTAGTGGAAAAAAATAACACCGAAGAATCTCACAATTACCATGCTGAATGACTAAAGCAAGACCCAAAAGAATGCATACTGCATGGTTTCATTTACATGTAAGTCTAGAAAATGTAAACTAAGCTATTGAGTCAAACAGTATATGTCAATGGTTGCCTGAGAAGGATGGAAAGTGGGGAGTTGAGGGAAGGATAGTTAGCAAAGGAGTTTTGGTAAATCTTTTGAAAATGGTTGAAATGTTCTGTGTTTTGGCTGTGGGGCATGTGAGTGTAAAAACTGTCAAAACTTATTAAATTATACATTGTAAATGGTTGTTATTCATTCTGTGTAAATTTTATGTTAATTAAGTTATTAAAAATAAAAAATAAGGAATAAAGGACAAAAGAACATATGAGACACATAGAAAATAATAGTGGTAGATTTAAAACTAACTATATCAGTGACATGAAATACAAATAGAGTAAACACTCCAAATAAAAATGAAATGAAATACAAATAAACACTCCAAATAAAAATGAAATTTAGAGTAAACACTCCAAATAAAAGCTGAAATGCAGCTGTCTGCTGCAACATGGAAAACAAAGCCTGACTATATGCTGTTTGCAAGAAACACACTTTAATACAAAGAGAAATATACATTGAAAGTAAAAGAACTCACAAAATTAAGCATACAATCCCCACCGCAAAAAGTGTTGGAATAGGTATATCAATGTTAGACAAAGCAGGTTTTAAAAAACAATGTATTATAAAAGACTAGAGAAATATTTTATAATAGTAAAAGGGTAAATTCAGCAGGATAGACATATGTCAATAATAATAAATTTGTATGAATCTGATTGCATAACTTCAAATGTGTTTTTTTAAAATGATAGAATTGAAAGGAGAGAGAACAAGTCTGCCATCATAACTACACCGTAATACACTGTCTCAGGAACCCATAGAACAAGAATCAGTAGAACAAAACGATCAGTAAATTCAGAGACTTCAGTAACACAATTAACTGACCTAAAGGATATTTATGAAATATGACCCCTGCTGTGGTTTGGATATTTGATCCTTCCAATCCTCACATTGAAATTTGATTCCCGGCTGGGTGAGGTGGCTCACGCCTGTAATCCCAGCACTTTGGGAGGCCAAGGCAGGTGGATCACAAGGTCAGGAGATGGAGAACATCCTGGCTAACACAGTGAAACCCCGTCTGTACTAAAAATACAAAAAATTAGTGAGGCATGGTGGCGGGTGACTGTAGTCCCAGCTACTCCGGAGGCTGAGGCAGGAGAATGGCATGAACCCAGGAGGCAGAGCTTGCAGTGAGCCGAGATGGTGCCACTGCTCTCCAGCCTGGGCGAGAGTGCAAGACTCCGTCTCAAAAAAAAAAAAAGAAAGAAATTTGATTCCCAATATTGAAGGTGGGGCCTATGGGGAGGTGTCTTGGTTGTGGGGATGAATCTCTCATGAATGAGTTGGTGCTGTCCTGGTAGTGAGTGAATTCTCACTACATTAGTTCCCATGAGCTCTGGCTGTTAAAAAGAGCCTGGCACCACCCTCCCCTCTCTTGTGCTTCCTCTCTCTCACCTTGTGATTTCTGCACAGGCCAGCTCAGCTCCCATTGGCCTTCTAATATGAGTGGTTGCAGCACCAGAAGCAGGTGTTGGTGCCACACCTCCTGTACAGACTGCAGAACTGTGAGTCAGATAAACCTCTTTTCCATATAAATCGCCCAGTCTCAGGTATTCCTTTATAGCAAAACAATAAATGGACTAAGACAACATCTAGTAACTGCGTTCCTTTCAAAATTTCAGGGCCTCTTTACGAAAACATAATTATAGACATAGAACAAATTGCCACAAGTTTTGAAAGATGAAATAATACAGTGTATGTTTTCTGATCACAGGTGAATATGATTTTAATTTAAAAGAAGAGAGATGATGAGAAATTTCAAATAACTGAAAATTAAGCAACACAATTCCAAATAATTCACTAATCAACACTGTAGCAATATGCTAGAAAATACTTTAAATTATATGATGATAAAAATCAAATTTTAAAAAACTATCACATCAAAAATCATGTTATTCACTCAAAGAAGGTCAAAGTGGGAAATCTATGGCTTCCAATGTATAAATTAGAAAAGAAAACAATATTGAAAACTAATAATCTAATATTGCAGTGCAGACTTCTAAAAAATGAATAGGAAATTAAACACAAAGGAAGAAGAAATAAGGAAACAATAGCAAATGAAAAGGTAAATCAGTTAATAGCTATAAAAGAAATAAACGGCCAGGTGCAGTGGCTTACACCTGTAATCCCAGCACTTTGAGAGGCTGAGGTGGGCAGATCACCTGAGGTCAGGAGTTCAAGACCAGCCTGGCCAACATGGTGAAACCTCGTATCTACTAAAATACAAAAATTAGCTGGGTATGGGGGCATGCGCCTGTAATCCCAGCTACTTGGGAGGCTGAGGCAGAATTGCTTGAGCCTGGGAGGTGGAGGTTGCAGTGAGCCAAGATCACGCCACTGCACTGTAGCCTGGGTGACAGAGTTAGACTCTGTCTCCAAAAAAAAAAAAAAGAAAAAAGAAAAAAGAAAGAAATGAACGATGGAGAAGATTAACAAAGTCAAAAGTTGGTTTTTGAAAAGATAAATAAAATTCTTGTGTCTAGCAACACTGACCAAGAAAGACAAAGAGGAAAACAATACCAATATCAGGAATTAAAATGAGGAAAGAACAACACATCCTTTAGGCATTGAAATGATAACAAAACAGATGATTATGAAAAAATGTATTCTGATTATTTTGAAAATCTAGATAAAATAGACAAATTCCTTGGCAAACACGATTTACTCAAAATAGATAAAAAAGTAATAAAAACATAAATAGCTCTAAATTGGTTAAATATGTTAAATCTGAAATAAAAAAGTTTCCTCCAAAGAGCTTGAGGACCAGATTGCTTCACAGGTGAATATTTCAAACCATTTATGGTAGAAATTGTTTTAATCTTATACAAAGTCTTTTAGAAAATAAAATTTTTTAAAAAAACATTTCCCAACTAATTTTATGCAATGAGCATAACGATGTGAAAAACTAAGAAGACTCTTACAAGAAAGGAAAATTACAGGTTAACATCTCTCATAAACTTTGATATTAGAATCGTACAGAAGATTTTGTCAAATACAATCCAGTGATCTACGAAGAGGGTAACACAATTTGACAAAGTGGGATTTATTCCAGGAATGCAAGTTTGGCTTAATACTAAAATTCTAATCATTTTAATTTACACATGAACAGAATACAATTGGAAATTTTTATGACCTTTCCTGTAAATATATAGAAAGCACTTGACAAAATTCAATACCTGTCAATGATCAAAACTTATCAGTAAATGAGATAAATGAAACTTTTAAAATCTGTTATAACATCAGCTAAAAATTTTCTGCTAATCTCATACTCAATGATTCAGTATATATGCTTTCCCTCTGAAAAAAAGGAACAGAAAAAATGATGTCCACTCTCCTCACCTTTAATTGGCTGTGTACTGGAGACACTAACCAGGGCAGTCATGCACAAAAATTAAATTAAAATTATGAGAATTTATAAAGGGATAAATAAAGCCATTTTTCTTTATAAATGCAACAATTATGGATGTAGAAATCACCTAATCTACAGTTAGAATTAATAAATCAATTTAGCAAAGATGTCAGAAACAAGGTCTGTATCAAAACAATTATGTCGGCCGGCACAGTGGCTCAAGCCTATAATCCCAGCACTTTGGGAGGCCCAGGTGGGCGGATCACCTGAGGTCAGGAGTTCGAGGCCAGCCTGACCAATTGGCGAAACCCTGTCTCTACTAAAAAATACGAAAATTAGCCAGGCATGGTTGCACGTGCCTGTAATCCCAGCTACTCGGGAGGCCGAGGCAGGAGAATCGCTTGAACCCAGGAGGTGGAGGTTGCAGTGAGCTGAGATTGTGCCACTGCACTCCAGCCTGGGTGACAGAGGAAGACTCTGTCTCAAAAAAAAAATAAAAATAAAAAACAACAAAAAAAGACAGTTATGTTTATATATATTGGCAAGAAATAATAGAAAAATAAATTTGAAAATACTGTTTGCAATTACATAAGAACATATTAAATATATAGGAATAAATCCATGGAAATGTGTATAATATTTAAATAGCCAAATATCTAAGAATAAATCTAAGGAAAGATATGTAAGAATTCCATACGGAACAATACAAAATACTGCTGAGAAAAATTAAAGAATATCTAAACAAATTGACAGATATTCTACGCTCATGGATTGAGACATTCAATATTACTGAGATTTTAACTCTCCCCAATTCATTTATGGACTCAATAGAATTGTAATTAAAATTGCAGCAGGTCATTCTTTTTATGTTAGTGTTGTGGGTATTGATAAACAAATTCAAAAGTTTTGTGGAAATGCTGTGACTATAGAATAGCCAAGGCAATATTTAAAAAGAAGTTAGAGGATCTATAAGTTTCAAGATGTAGTATGAAGCTGCAGTAATAAAGTCAGTGTGACTATCGACACAAAGATAAATAAAGCAATAGGTCAAAATAGAGAGTCAGAAAATATGTATGGGAAAAAATGAACTTTCCACACTATCCCACAGTATGCCTTAAACAATAATAATTGGAGGAAAACCATCAACATAAGTCTGAAAGTGAAAAACAATCTTCAGAATAAAACAGTAGAATATCTTTATACTCTGGTTTTAGGCAAAGATTTCTTAAACAAGCTACAAAGAACTACTCATAAAGGAAAAACAAGATAACTTGAACCTGGTGAAAATTAAGAACTTGTGTTCATCAAAAGCCAAAATTCTAAAAAGTCATTAGTTAACCTACACCTTGGTGGAAGTCTTTGTGACACATTCTTGTCTTGTGTTTCCCAGTATCCCATGTGCAGCCCAGTGCCTGACACCCAGAGGTGCAAACAAAAGATGTGCTTTCTCCCTGCCTCTCTTCCTTCCCCCATCTGGTGGCCTTATGCTTGTCTTGCGGGCATGAATTTCTGTATCAGCAAAGGAATCAACGTTCCACTATGCCTGGTATGAAGAATCATATAAAGGTTCACTGTCTAGTTGTGGGTCTTTTATTCTGCAAATGTTCTAAAGAACACCTAACAGAGAATAAGGATAGAAGATTTAACTTGAATGGCCAAATACATGCACAAACCAAAACCCACATGGACAACAAAGTACATTCATCAGGGGCATAGACTACAGCCAGACAGTTGTAGGTTTCAGTTCCAGAGATGGAATGTACTTGTTGACTTTGGACAAAACACCACGCCTCCTGAGTCTCATTTTTCTTATCTGTAATAAAATAGCATAACTGTATAGTAGATTGTTTTTAATAATTAAAATACCAAAACCTATTCCATGAACTACCAATTCCCATGATGCAAATAAGTATTCCACATATAAACTATTTCATTATCAAATATGTTTTGACAGTTCTGAATATAATTTTTTTAACTTCAAGACTCCTACAAATAGAAAACTAGAAAAGAGGGAATTTTTTTTCCTAGTGAACATTGTAATTCTCCAAGGGAGGCTAAAGTATTGAGTTTTTCAATGCATCTCTGACCTATGGAAGTATTTTTCATGATAAAGGACTAGTGTTATATGGACACACTTGGGGAAATGATGATGTAGATTACAGTAGACATTCCAAAATGCTATCTGCTATTATGATGATGATGATGATTACTACTACTACTATTATTGCAAATATAACTGATTATTAGTTTTCAGCAACAATAATAATGCAAGAGCCCTAAATCTAAGTCACATATTAAGATTTATGAAGCATAATTTTCCAAACAAAATTTTGCCTGTTGGATTTTCCTTGACTCATCTCTGAATTCTACTAGTTTTAGAATAGACAAATTGGAAATATAAAAATCCCTTCTCCCCTTCCTAATTAGTATGACGGATTATTGAAATGAGATTGTTCCATCACAGTAGAGATGATGCCATTGCTTTTAATTAACCATACAGGGATTTGAGCTGGTGGGAAAAAAAAAACATAAAAAGAGAAAAATCCCTAACATATTCATTTGCCTGGCTTGATGACTAAAGAAGTCCAAGAAATAGCATAGCTGTAGGCTTACCTTTACTCTTGAGTTCCTAATACAACAACAGATTTATACATACCCCTTTGCGTATTTATAATGGTGTTTCCATGACATGGGGCTGATGAAAACATGGACAGAAAGTGTTAGAATCACAAAATTCTTCAGCACCAACCTTGCTTCCACTGTCTTCTTGGAGTACACCATTCATTCTTCAGAAAGTTTAAATCATCATGTTGGTAGGTGATGAGTCATTTTCCATTATTCATGATTACATTCTTGTACGCAAACACCCTCAATGCGCCAGCATTTGTTTTACTCACTGTGATAGAGACCCCAGAGCACCACACTTGTGGCTCTAGGCCCTTCCAAAGCATTCCAAGAGCTCCAGGATGCATGGAATACCAGCAATAACCTGGGTCCGGGGGCCTGCCTTTGGGTTGCTATTTGGACTCTTTCCCAGGGGAAATTAGGGTAAGGCTCTTGCCATTCCTTTTCTCTTTCTAGCAGTAGGCCAAGATGGGCATGACACCTTTCAATTCCAACATCAGAAGACCCCATGGCTTCAGTTCACATTAAAATGACAACACTGGGTTGGATAAAAAATATGAGAATATTCAGTTTGTCACCAGCCCTGGCTATTTTACCTCTACTCAATAGACAGGTACTGAGTGTCTAGCTACCCAGCCCTGGGCTAGATACTGGAGAAACAGAAGCTCACAGTTATGTTGGAGAGAAAAATATATGCAAACTGATATAGTATGACACACTCAGTGCTGATGTAAACATAGTACCAAAGAGATTAATAAAGAGCTGAGTGACTGCAGCAAGCTTTACAAAAGAAGTTAACTTAAGCAGAGTTTGGAAGGTTGAATACAAGTTTGGCAGCTTGATAAGGTGTTAGGAAGGGCACTCTAGGCAGAGAAGACAGCACTTGTGAAAGTGCTAAGCAGCTGAATACACAGATGGACAATGGCCGAACCATATACAAAAATAAAGTTCTGACTTGCAATTGGCAGCAATCAGTCCAGAATGTCAACCAATTATCTGCAGCAACCAATCCAGAAAGCCAAACAACCACCCCTGTAACTATCAGCCTAAACTGGCCAGGTTGTGATAAATAACTGATAGTTTCCCCAACTTCCAACAACTAGAGAAAGCCTAAATTCACTCCTAAGCAATCACATGGGTTGCCCTACTTGTAATTAGCCCAACTCCAGCTTCCCTGTGCCTTCAGTCAGGGAATACCTAATACCTTACCTTTTTTTTCCATTATACAGCTTTCTACTCCTCTGTATGACAAATGTAAGTGATGGTGGCTGACTCTTTGTTATAGCAAACTCCGAATAAATAGCCTTTGTTTTTTCTCATTGGGTGATATTCTTTCTCATAGTACAGAGACATAAAACCTAGTGTTTTGTGTAAGTAATTAGTAGTAGATACTTATTGTAGGTGGTGTGTTTGTGTGTGTGTTTCTGTGAACGTATGCATGCATGAATTGAAGGGAGGGCAATGCAGATGAATTTGGAGAAACAGGCAAGAACAAAGCCAAACAGACTTCTGTACAATGTAGTAGCTAACAATTTCTGTATAATAACATTACCACAATCTTAGTTGCTTAAAACAATACACATTTATTATCTCAATTTCTGTACATCAGGAGTCCAGGCATACCTTGGCTTCAATCCAGGTGTGAGCCAGGGCTCAGTCTCATTTGAGGATTGACTGCGGAAGGAACTATTTCTTAGCTCATGTGCCTGGTGTCAGCATTTGTTCCTTGTGGGTTGTTGGTCTGAGGGCCTCAATTTCTTCCTGGCTTTTGGCTGGAGGTCGCTATACCAAGCAAACTAATGCCTCCCCAAAGATGCCCATTCCCTAATCCCCAGAATCTGTTACCAGACTTTGTGGGTGTGATTAAGGCTGATAAATGAGAAGAGGACTCTGTATTATCCAGCTGAGTACAATCTGAACATGTGAATCCTAAAAGTATAGAACCTCTCCTGGGTATAGTCAGTTAGGGAGAAATGTGACAACAACAAGGAAAAAAAGCAGTCAGGCTGTTGCTAGCTTTGAAGATGGAGGAAGGAGAAATGAGCAAAGAAATGCATGCAGCCTCCAGAAATGAAAGGCAAGGATCAGATTCTCCTCTTGGGCATCCTGAAAGCCCACAGCCTAATCAACACTTTGATTTTAGTCCTATGAGACCTGTGTGGGACTTCTGACTTCCAGAACTGTGAAAGAATTAATTTGTGTTAAATCACTAAGTTTGTAGTAATTTGTTTTGGTGGCCTTAGGAACTGACACAGTCACCTTCCATTCCTTGCCATGTGTTTCTCTGTATAGGGAGCTCAGAGATGGCAGTTTATTTCCACAAAGCCAGCAAGGGAGAGAGTCTCCTTGCAAAAGAGGAGTTACAATCGTATGTAACGTAATCCTGTGCATCCCAACACCTTTGCCAAATTCTATGGGTTAGAAGAAAGTCACAAATCCTGCCCTCACTCAGAGGAAGTGGCTACACAAAGGCATCAACACCATGAGGTGAAGGGAAATGATTTCTGGGATATGACACCAAGAGCACGGTGACAAAAGCAAAAATAGACAAATGGTACTCTATCAAACTAAAAAGCATCTGCACAGCAAAGGAAACAATCAACAAAGCGAAAAGTCAGCTTACAGAATGGGACAAAATATTTGCAAATCATATATCTCATAAAGGGTTAAAATCCAAAATATGTAAAGAACTCATACAACTCAATAGCAAAAAAAAACAATCAAAAAAATAATTTAATTGTAAAAATGGGTAAAAAATCTGAATAGACCCTTCTCCAAAGAAGATACACAATAGGTACACAAAAAGATGCTCAACATTACTAACCATCAGGGAAATGCAAATTAAAGCCACAATGAGATATCCCCTCACACGTGTTAGGATGGCTGTTAACAAAAAAAAAAAAAAAAAAAAGATTAGTATTGGAAAGGATGTGAAGAAAAAGAAACTCTTGTAAACTCTTGGTGGGAATGTAAATATGTATAGCCATAATTGAAAACAGTGTACAGGCTCTTTGAAAAACAAAATTTACCATACTATCTAGTCATTCCACTACCAGGTATATATTGAAAAGAATTGAAATCAGGATCTCAAAGAGATATCTACACGCCCATGTTCATTGCAGCATTATTCACAATAGCCAAGATATGGAATCAACCTAAGTGTCTGTCAGCAGATGCATGGATAAAAAATGTGATATATACATACGATGAAATATTATTTAGCCTTTAAAAATATCCTGCAATTTGATATAACATGGATGAACTTGGACGATATCATGCAAAGTAAAATAAGCCAGACACAGAGAGCAGATATTACATGATCTCACTTACATCAGGGATCTAAAGTAATCAGACTCACAGAGACGGACAGTAGAATGGTGGCTACTGGGACTGAAGACAGAGTGAATCAGGGAGGTGTTGTTCAAAGGAAAAAAAAAAAGCTTCAATTTTGCAAGATGAATAAGTCCTAGGGATGTACAGTACAGCCAAGCATCTATAGTTAACAATAGTGTATCATATACTTGAAAACGTTTTATGAGGGTAGATTTTATGTTAAATGCTCTTATCACCAAAAAAGAGGGAGGGAGGAAACTTTTAGAGGTGATAGTCATGTTTATGACATTGCTTGGAGTGAAAGTTTCATGGCTGTATACTTACAAACTCATCAAGATGTATATATTAAAAATGTATACGTTTTTATGTCAATTATACCTTAATTTTAAAAATCTGCAAGAAAGCAAATTTGAACACTGCCAATATAAGCTCACAACTTTGAATCCCTGTAGTGTTATGTGTCAGTCATCCTTGCACCAAAAATAAATTCAAGGTGACGCATTCCTTAGCTAGCCACCCCTTCAAAACAAAACCCACTGGATAAGGGCTGGGGGAACCACTGCATCTGGAGTCTGTGTGAGAGGAGAGAGAGTGAGAAATTTACTTCCTGGCTCATTCCACTCTCTTCTTCCTTGCTGGTCAAAGTACACCGTACAGGGGGTTAAGTCCCTTATGTTTCTGGGATTGTTGCCTAGACCCTTGAGTAAGCAGCTTGGAAGCCAGAGCATCTCGTGGTCCAGCCTAATCCATGCTCAGGTGCAGCAATTTCTCCCTTATCAGGTAAGGCTGCACACACACCAGGGCTCCTAGGCCTGTGGGAGCTTGTACTATGGCAGCTGTGAGTAGAGTTTTCAGCAGCACAAAGTACATAAGCCACCTCCTTCAAAGATACAAGGCATGTAGCCAAGCCAGGAGAAACGGGAACAGAAGGGGAGGAGCTGATCTAGGGTAAAGTATAATCCAGATTCAGTTCAATCTGAACATCTAAATTGAAGAAAAACGTGGAGATACAAGATGTTGTGAGTAATGTATTGAAACAATACAATAAAATGATACCCATGAATACCACATAAACAATACATTAGGGTCAGTTAGGTATGATAATTAGCAGCATTAGGCCTTTAAGAACTTCAGATAATTCTTAGAGTTTATGGACGAGCACATTTAAAATAAAGAAATAAAAGGAGGATTCAAAATCATAGGAAACTAGTAATATACTAGTGAAACCACCCCATAAACGTTTTTTTTTTTTTTTTTGAAATGGAGTCTCACTCTGTCGCCCAGGCTGGAGTGCAGTGGTGTGATCTCTGCTCACTGCAAGCTCTGCCTCCTGGGTTCACACCATTCTCCTGCCTCAGCCTCCCGAGTAGCTGGGACTCAGGCGTCTGCCACCACGCCTGGCTAATTTTTTGTATTTTTAGTAGAGACGGGGTTTCACCGTGTTAGCCAGGATGGTCTCGATCTCCTGACCTCGTGATCCACCCGCCTGGGCCTCCCAGAGTGCTGGGATTACAGGTGTGAGCCACTGCGCCCGGCCACCACCCTTATAAACTTTATAAAATTAATCAGAAAATAAGGGAAAGGGAGAGATGAAAATACACTCAGCTTGCAACACATTCGGCATTGATCATTAAGTCAGCTTGCTCTCTGACAGGTTTCCTCATAGCTGTTTGGTGCCTATCATCCTAGAATCAGGTAGACCCTGTTACAAGATCCTAGTTCTACTTAACTGCTCTATCAATAGCCACTTGAACATTACAAAATGTTAACTTTTCCCTTTGAGATATTCTTTTAGGTCTTGTATACCAGTGAAACCACTGACGTCGGCTGGTCTAAAGGATGCCACTTACTCCAGCTGTCTGAGGGACCCCATGAAAAGCTGATTCACCAAAGAATACAGTTTCCACATCTTGATGATTTCATACCCCCTACCTTGACCAGTCAATGACCCCAACTTTCCAGCCCCTTGCCCTCCATGGTCCCCTTAAAAACTCCAGCCCAGAATTCTTGGGGGAGATGGATTTGACGGTCTCCTCCCATCTCCTCACTGGGTGCCCTGAAATCATTGAACTCTGTCTGCTGCAAACCCTGCTGTTTCAGTGTAATGGATTTGTTACTACACAAGGGGCATCCAAACCTGTTGGCCCTATAACACCAGAATAGAACATCAAGTGAGTAGAACATCTAGAAATAAAAATATAATCATTAAAATTTTAAATAAAATTAATGAATGGGCCAGAAATGCACATATGAAGAAGGTGGCAATATAACATGTAAACCTGATATTAGATCTGATTATACTGCCATATTACTCTAAACATAATCCAGAGGGAAAGAGAATGAAAATTATGAAAGATGCAACTTTACAAGGATCTCAGAAAAGGAGACATTATACCCATTATAATAATAGAAACAAGACTATGACTGGGTCAATAGGTAATGAGGTAATGGCCAGAAAGATTGAGAACTTCCCAGACGTGCTGAAGGACATGAATCCTCAGACTCAGGAAGCACAGGAACCCCAAGACAGGTGAATAAATAGAAAATCACACCTAGACATATTGTAGTTAGGTAAAATAGCACCAAAGGCAGAGAAAAGATATAAAAACAAAACAGAACAAAAGTACACACAACGTTTCAAGAGAAGACAGTGATGACTTACACTGGGATGACATTTAGATTAAATTACTAGATTTTAGGAAAGATGTTTTATTCATTAAGATATTTGAAAATGCAGGAGGAAGTGGCAGTGTTTTTCCATCCTCCCAGCCTAGAGAAAGAGGACAGGTAAGGATACAAGAGATGCTTAACTAAAGAGTGGAGAGGCCAGATAGTACCAAATTGTCCAAGAACTTTCCTGTTCTTTGTCCCTGTAAAGTTTCACCCTCCTTCTGACAATGATGCTGCAATAAACAAAACCATGCAAATTAGCAACCAGGGGTGGAGTGACACATAGTTAATGAGCTCTATTTGACAGGATTGGCTTGGGTAGAGTGAGCAGAGTTTGCAAAGATAAGGAACAGTCAGCTAAATGGGAATGCACAAGGCATATGGAGGACTCTGCTGATCCTGGACCCGGGCCCCACCGCATAAACAAGCTATGAGATTTTAAAAATTTATGTTGCCTGCTTCACATTGCCTCTCACTGACAGTTCCTACCTGATGAGGGTAGGAGACCTGTCTCTGCTCTGCATGGAGCGCTGGGTTAGGGACTTTAACTCCTTCAGGGCAAGTGCTAAGGTCTTGGTGGTGTTGGTTTCCCATACATCCCAGGCATTTCTTTATTCCCAATTTGTCTAGGTTTTAGTCTGCTCCAAACATCCAGTTCTCCCTTGTTCACACACGCATATCCCACCTCTATGTTCCGCGCCCAAGGATTGTGACACTGGGTGAAAACAGTATAGCTATCTACACAGTGGAGTCCACAGAAAGGAAATGAGACCCTCAGATTAAGGCAAGAGCATATTTTCATGACTTTTTAAGATGTACTGAGAATGATCAATCTCTAAGTATTTGGGGGAACATAAAAAAATAAATAATCAATCAATTAATAAAAAGAAATACAGGCTGAGGCTGGGCACAGTGGCTCACACCTGTAATCCCAGCACTTTGAGAGGCCGAGACGGGCGGATCACGAGGTCAGGAGATTGAGACCATCCTGGCTAACACGGTGAAACCCCATCTCTACTAAAAATACAAAAAATTAGCCGGGCGTGGTGGCGGGCGCCTATGGTCCCAGCTACTCGGGAGGCTGAGGCAGGAGAATGGCGTGAACCCGGGAGACGGAGCTTGCAGTGAGCCGAGATCGCGCCACTGTGCTCCAGCCTGGTAGGCAGAGCGAGACTCTGTCTCAAAGAAAAAAAAAAAAAGAAATACAGGCTGAGTCATATCCACAGGCTAATTGCTTTCTTTCATAGTCATCTCTACCTGAGAAGAGGTCCTGTCTGGAAGCATTTTTGACAAAGACCTTTGTAAAAACTGAAGGAGGTCAGGCCATACCCACCCTAGGTTTCCAGTTTAAATTATTCCTCCTTAAGAGCCTTTCTGTCTGCTCATTTTAAAGAAACAGAAATAAATTTTTCATTATTCTTATTTGAGACAGCAATCAGCAGGGACAAAATCTACCTAACCAGGCGGGGACACAGTGTACTTTCAAGTGTGGGAAGGTCAAGTGTGAGATGGAGTAGGAACCCCTCTTTAGGGGCTTACAGGGCCCCCAAAGCATGGAAATAAAGGAAAATCTTGAGTTCCTTCAAGGGACATTGCAGGCACCTAGCTAGTCTTGGGAAGTAAATGAGCAAGCTGGTAAGCCAGAAGGTAATAGCAGCCTAAAACAATAGCCAACAAAGTTAGAGCCATAAGTTGTTTGGTTCCTCCATAGAGACTAAAAATAACATTTTAACATATGTCTCTGGGTTGTTTTTCAGAAACCTGGGCCCCCACCAAATGGATACTCTGGTACACAGACCTCAGATGAGGGGGAGCTGAGGACTGAGCTCTGCCCACCCTTCTTTATTCAAAATGTCTTCCTGGGGGCCTGGAGAATGTCATGCCCATGGGCCAGACCTAGCATTTCTTTCTGTTGTCCCAAAAAAATTAAACAAACTACCCTTCCTTAACCAATTGCAAATCAAACTTTAAATCTAGGCTGGGTGCTGTAGCTCATGTCTGTAATCCTAGCATTTTGGGAGGCCAAGGTGGGTGGATCATTTGAGGTCAGGAGTTTGAGTCCAGCCTGGCCAACATGGTGAAACCCGGTCTCTACTGAAAATACAAAAATTAGCTGGGCGTGGTGGCACGCTCCTGTAATTCCAGCTACTGAGGAGGCTGAGGCAGGAGAATCACTTGAAGCCAAGAGACAAAAGGTTGTAGTGAGCCGAGATCAGGCCACTGCACTCTAGCCTGGGTGACAGAGTGAGAGTCTGTCTCAAAAAAACCCAAAAAACCAAACCAAAACTAAAACAAAACAAAACAAAAAAACCTTTAAATCTACCTGTGACCTACCCCACTGCAGGAAATCCCACCTTTTTAGGCCAAACCAATGTTTAGTCTCCACATGTTGATTTATGATTTTGCCTGTAACTTGTGCTTTCCTGAAATTGACCCCTGTCTTTAAAACCTTTGCTCAGAAGCCATCAGGAAGCCTGGGCCTTAAGCATGGGCTGCCGGATTCTCAATGCTCAGTGCTCTACAAATAAACACTCTCCTTTCTCCCACTGCCAATGTGCATGTGGATGCTTGGCCTTACTGTGCCAGGTGAGAGGACCCAGTTCAGTTCAGTGATAAGTAGAGAAGGTCAGGGTATCTGACCTTGTTTTCCTATTTAGGTTTATTTTATTTTATTAATTGATAAAGAGCAATTTTATATATTTATGGAGTACAAAGTGATGTTTATATACACACATATATTGTGGAATGATAAAATCTGGCTAATTAATATATCCGTCTCCCCAAATATTTATCATTTCTATGTAACACCACCCTGCCGTCCAAGTGTGAACTCAAGAGGACAGGAAACAGCCTCTGACCTTGGTGAGCTGACCTGGTGCCCTCAGCCAGGCCTTGGTGCTCTCCTGCTGAACGCAAACATCCCATAGAGTATCAACATCAGACAAGGCCACTCTGTGCCCACGAAGGAGCCAGATAAAACAACATCCCTCAGTAGTCATGAACACAGACTTTGTCCACGCCACAAAAATGACCAAGCACCTCCCTCTCCTGGCTCATGTGAGTGACACTGCTACTTGACCAAGCATAGCATTAGCCTCACTCTAATTGGCCCTCTCTATAGATAAGACATTCCGGCATGGCGACGCCCCTGTTTCTTGATCACATCCAATCCAGAGCAAAGCCCGCTTCCTGAAACTCTCCCCAGTGTCACCTAACACAGGCCTAAACCCTGCGTTCACCTTCTGTAACACACCCTTACTGACATGAGCCAAGGTGCCCTATTCTGTGTGTTCTGCCTGCAACATTATGAACCCAATTGTGTGTCCCTGGCAGAGTTGTGCTTTAGGATATTGATATTACAGTCTCATCAGAGACCTTTTCTCTGCCCTCATCCCAGGTGAGGCATGAGTGGCGGGTCAGGGAAGAGTTTGGTGGTCTTTCACTCTGCTTTCCTGGTGCTCAGAGCAAAGGCGTCCCCCACCTCTTACCACCTAGTGTTCCATTTCTCCATGCACCCACCCTTCTCCCCCTTTAAAAACTGTAAAGTGATTGGGACATAAGCATTGCTGGAGGACAGCTGCCCCCACACAACCAGCCAACAAGTGGAGTTTTTAAACTCCATATTTGAGTTTAAAAAGTGATGTGGGAATGGGACAAGCCAAGATGAAAGGGGTTAGAGGAAGCATATGTGAATGCAAGACCTCCAGACAATGGGGAGACGGGTTCCTCCTCTTTTTTTTTTTTTTTTTTTTTGAGATGGAGTCTTGCTCTGTCACCCAGGCTGGAGTGCAGTGGCACGATCTTGGCTCACTGCCACCTCTGCCGCCTGGGTTCAAGTGATTCTCCTGCCTCAGCCTCCTGAGTAGCTGGGATTACAGGTGTGTGCCACCATGCCCAGCTAATTTTTGTATTTTTTTTTTTTTGGTAGAGACGGGGTTTCAGCATCTTGGCCAGGCTGATCTTGAACTCCTGACCTCGTGATCCACCTGTCTCGGCCTCCCAAAGTGCTGGGATTACAGGCATGAGCCACTGCGCCCAGCTTTCCTCCACTTTTTAAAACTCTGATTGCTCTCTTACAAACCAACCTAGTGGTCATGCCCATCATGTGCCCCTCTCCCCAGGCTCCCTCCCTCTGAAGGCAGACCCTGCTTCTGATCCTCGTTCGCTAATGATATTCTGCTCCCTACGCCTTGTGCAGTGCCTGGCACACATCAGGCACCCAGAAATATGATCCATGAGGGAATTGGCCCATGGGGCTCTCCTTGCTTAACTAGAAAGCGTTCATTGCCTCTCTTTCATTGCCTTTCTTGTCTCTAACTCAATGCACAGGAATTCTATTCACCCTCTAGGGCCCAATTCAAATGATACCTCCCATATGAAGCCTTTTCTAGAATTCGCAATAAGAAGGATTCATTCCTTCCTCTGTACACCCTGGTGAAGTCAGTAAATCCCTATGGAAAAATAAAAACATGGGAATGAATGAAGACCAAATACACAGTATGGAAACAGCTCTAAAAAGTCACCTTGATTTTATCCAGTCATTGCATCAAAGCTCAGAGTCCCAGAGGGTGAAGTCCAGTGGTAAGCTCTTCCCTTGCTGTTTGTCCATGTCACTGCTCCTCCTGGGGTACCTCCTCCCATCACCATCTGTAAGAACTGTCCCCATCCTTCCAATCCAGTCACAGCTCCTCCCAGCCGTGGAGCTTTGTCTGACCTCTGCAGCCCCATGCAGCTCTCCCGGCTCTGGACTCAGGGAGCCCATTAGCTGTTAGCTGTAACGAGGTGCTGACAACAGTTGATCTTCTGCCCTCTGGGGCTGGCAAAGGCAGAAATGTAAACAAACGATTATGGTGAACTGTAGGAATGTACTCAATGGAGATATGAAATTTTGTCATTCTGTATCTGAGCAAGGAATAATTAACCCTCAGATAGGTGTGTGTGTGGGGGGTGTTTTATTCAAAACAAAAGTCAACTCAAAGACTCTTGAATGTTAGATGCTGCTAACAGAAAGAAGAAAGACCACCTGCAAGGCACAGAAAGAAACAAAAGCTGAACTGTTTCCAAATTCACAGAAAGGAATGTCACTCATGCTGCCCAGGGTGCTGGAGGCAGGGCCTGGTACCTGGGAAGCTTTGTGCTGGGGAGGATGACAACACATCTTGGAGAGATATTGGTCTGCATCCTGCCTCGTCTACATGCAGGCAGCAGTGAGAGTAATGAGTCACTGCTGCTGTGCTCTCCACCCCAGACCATGGCTCACACTCAGTGGCCTGAGCAGCCCAGGAGGCTGAGGACAGCCAGGTGGACCAGCAGCCAAAGAGGCTGCAGGGAGCCAGCAGATGTGAATGGCTTTGTGTTCCCACTGGGCCGGACCTTGGCCACTCTCTGGAATTCACTTTAAAACTTTGGTGGAAAAGTATCAACTTTGTCAACCACTATGGACTTAAGCAAGGGCCTGCAGGTGGCTCCAAAATGGAGGGATGGGGGCTAGTTAGAGCTTTGGAGAAAAGGAAATTATAATGAGGACAATCATAAGAACAGCCAAACACTTGGTCAGCTCTGCATCAGCCTTTCAGGGGCTCTATTACCTCTGAGGCTCTCTGCAGCCGCAAGCGCAAGCCAAGTCTTGCTCACCTCACTTTACAGCTGAAGCATTGCAAATATTTATGGTCTACTGGCCCTGAGTGGTTATTGTACTAAGCCCTTGACATGCCCACCTCACTTAATACTAGGCAGAGCCCCCCAAGGGAAGTCCTGTTGCAATCCCCATTTATCAGATGAGCAAACCAAGCCTACTGGACTTTTAGTATTTGCACACAATCACACATTGTGAGATGGTTTTGAACCCACATCTAAGTGACTACAAATGATAGATAGAAATTCTAGGGGAAAGAGTGTAAGTCGGGAACCACGGAGGGCAAAGGGGCAGGAGGGAGAATGAAAACATTCCCATAAAGTAACTTCAGTCCAAATTAGAGTACATGCTGAGAGTCAGAAAAGCAGCTTCACTTTTCATGGTGGCCTTGAGCAAACCAGCTCATCTCTTAGGCCTCCCATTTCCAGAGTGGGAACAGTAGCACCTACAGTGTTAATAAAAAAGAGAAAGAAAGAAAGTATGGTTAATCCAATTTTGAAAACAAATATAATGCTGCTGTATGCTACAACATGAATGAACCTTGAAAGCATTATGTTAAGTGTGTGAAAGGAAAATATCTTGGGCCCCCCAAATCACTGAGCTAAGGGGAAAATTCTGCCTGGAAACTGCTCAGGGCAAATCTGCCTCTCATTCTATTCAAGGTCATCCCTCTGCTCACTGAGATAGATGCATACTCTGGTTGCCTCCTTTGGAAAGGCTTGTCAGAAGCTCAAAAGAATGCAACCATTTGTCTCTCACCTACCTGTTACCTGGAAGCCCATCCCTGCTTCAATTTGCCCCTGCCTTGCGGGACATAACCTATGTACTTCTTATATATATCGATTGATGTCTCATGTCTCCCTAAAATGTACAAAACCAAGCTGTGTCCCGACCACCTTGAGCACGTGTCGTCAGGACATCCTGAGGCTGTGTCACGAGTGCATGTCCTTAACTTTGGCAAATAAACCTCCTAAATGATTGAGACTTTTCTCGTCATTTTTCTCAATTGACAAGTGAAAGAAACCAGACACAAAAGACCACATATCGTGTGATGCCATGTATATGAAATACCCAGAAAAGGCAAATCTATAGACAGAAAGGAGATTAATAATTGCCAGTGGTGGCCAGGAGCGGTGGCTCATGCCTGTAATCCCAGCACTTGGGGAGTCCAAAGCGGGTGGATCATGAGGTCAGGAGATAGAGACCATCCTGGCCAACATGGTGAAACCCCAACTCTACTAAAAACACAAAGATTAGCCGGGAGTGGTATTGAGTGCCTGTAGTCCCAGCTACTTGGGAGGCTGAGGCAGGAGAATTGCTTGAACCCGAGGGGCAGAGGTTGCAGTGAGCCGAGATTGTGCCACTGCACTCCAGGCTGGGTGACAGAGCAAGACTCTGTCTCAAAAAATAATAATAATAATTGCCAGAGGCTAGGGGTAAAGGGGAAGTGGGGGATGACTTCTAATGGGCATGGGGTTTATTTTTGGAGGTGATGATATGTTCTGGAATTAGATAGTGGTGATCCTGCAAAACTCTGTTAATACACTAAAAAAACACTTTAAAATGATCAATTTTATGGTATGTAAATTATATTTTAGTATAAAAAAGTCAATTTATGTTGACATTCAGGCTGTGTACCAGGCTCCAGATTCTTTTTTACACCCTGGAGAAATCTATAACTGAAGGAGGAGTTAGGGGGAGGGCATCACACTGTTTGAATCTGGAGTCGTGTCAGCACTTTTACATTCATAAAATCATGAAACCTTGGCCTCCCATCTTTGAGCACATATGTTTGTTTTAATTTTACTTACAGGAAATGGAGACTGAGAAAGGAGTGATTTCAGTGGAAAGTAATGGGAATATTAAGCACTTTCCAGCCCCAGTAGAACAAGGAATGTCAAGGGAACAGGGTTGCCAATGACTATTACCAGTAGTAAAAATAATGACAGGCCGATGATGATGCTGACTCCCAAGAGTGGAGAGGCTACCATGTCCTAGAGGCCCTCATAAGCACTACATATGTATTACTTGAGTCTGAAACAACTGTACGAGGCAGGTGTTAATATTATCCTTAATAAATTAACAATATTAATATTGTTCAGGCTGCTATAACAATCTACCATAGACTGGGTGTCTTAAGCAACAAACATCTATTCTCACAGTTCTGAAGCCTGGGAAGTCCAAGACCCAGGCACTGGCAGACCTCGTGTCTGATGAGGGCTTCCCTTCTGTTTTGCAGATGGCGGCCTCTGTCTTCCTGCTGAGTCCTCACATGGTGGAGAGCAGAGAGCCTACCAGCTCCCAAAGTCTTCACTAATTCTAGCAACAATCCCAAAGTCTAGAGTTCAAAGTCACACCTAACTATCATCGAAATCAGTTATGGGTGAAGCTAGAGGTATGATTCATCCTGAGGCAAAAATCCTCTCCAGCTGTGAACCTGTGAAACCAAACAAGTTATGTGCTTCCAAAATACAATGGTGGGATAGGCGTGTGAACCCAAAACATCTGAGACAGGTCTCAGTCAATTTAGAAAGTTTATTTTGCCAAGGTTAAGGACATGCCCATGACACAGCCTCAGGAGGTCCTGATGACCTGTGCCCAAGGTCATCGGGGGACAGCTTACTTTTATGCATTTTAGAGACATGAGACATCAATCAAAATGTGTAAGACGTACATTGTTTCGGTCCGGTAAGGTGGAACAACTCGAAGTGGGGTCTTCCAGGTTAGAGGTAGATAAGACACAAAAGGTTGCATTCTTTTGAGTCTTTGATCAGCCTTCCACTGAATACACAATTTAGTCTGGCTCAGTGAATCTGCATTTTTACGTAAACAATAGGGCAGAGGAAGCAACCAGATATGCATTTGTCTCAGGTGAGCCTCAGAGGGATGACTTTGAGTTCTGCCTGTCCTTTGTCTACAAGGAATTTCCTGGTGGACACATTGTGAGGGAGGTATGTAGCTCCTTATCTTTGTAGCTATCTTATTTAGGAATAAAATGGGAAGCAGCTTTGCCTGATGTAGTTCCCAGCTTGACTTTTCCCTTGACTTAGTGATTTTGAGGTCCTGAGATTTATTTTTCTTTGACAAGCATAGGATAAATATTCCCATTCCAAAGGGGAAAAATGGGAGAGAAGGAAGGGATGACTATTCCCAAGCAAATCCAAAACCTAGCAAGGCAAATCCCATGAGATCCTAAGGCTCAAGAATAATCCTCTGACTCAGTGCTCTGCTCCTAGGGCCACTTGGGAGTCAATGTCACCGCTGGGACTCAGTGGGCAGCTTTCCACATCATGGCTCTCTGTAGTGGTCCCGCCCATGATGTGGCTCTCTTACTGTCCAGAGGAGGCTGGGAGAAGTTTAAGGTTGCTTGGCCACTTGAAACCTAGAGGAATCCAGCATGGTGCATGGTGCAGTGGGAGAATCCTGGCTTCCAACATCATATGTTCCCACTGTCAGAGTTAATACTGGGCTAGTCAGCTAAAGGTAAAGGCAGCTGTTTGCATCATTTCCCTTCAGAAAATACAGGAATTGGTTGCACGTGATGGCTCATGCTTGCAATCCCAGCACTTTTGGAGGTGAAGACAGGAGAATCATTTGAGGCCAGCAGTTCAAGACCAGCCTGGCCAACATGGTGAAACCCCATCTGTACTAAAAACACAAAAATTAGCCAGGCGTGTTGGTGCACACCTGTAGTTCCAGCTACTAGGGAGGCTGAGGGATGTGAATTGCTTGAGCCCAGGAGGCAGAGGTTGCAGTGAGCAGAGATAGTACCACTGCACTCCAGCCTGGGAGACAGAGCAAGACTCTGTCTCAAAAAAAAAAAAAAAAAAAAAAAATACAGGAATTGCATAGTCCAATGTGATAAAGAGAAACATTATTTCTTAAGGAAACCTGTGATTATGTTTCACAATAAAATGATAAACAGAGAACTGGATGGTGAATTTGCCAGTTGTTCTTTGTTGCTGTGGGCATAAGGTCCCTGTGATGGCAAGGTGACTGTGTGTATAAACTCTCTAAATTTTCACCAGTGGCTTGATATAATATTATATTGTGACGGTCTTTATACAACTGGAAGGAAAAATGAGTCCCGGTGGTCCCCTGCTCTCAGCCCAGCCTGGCACACACCCATGCCTAACTACTGCATCTGTTCCTTTGAGGTCTCTCTGGGGAAAGAGGTTTGGATGGAAGTACTCACTGTCTTCCAAAAAGAGAAGGCACAAGGACAGCTACTTATTTGGGAAATAGCTGTCAAATCAGTTACATTGTGATTAAATTAGCAGCATCAGAATTCTCACAGATAGTGTGTTTAGCCTGTATTCCTTGCCAGGATAGCATTTCAAAACCAATGCCATTGTGAGAAGAGGAAACAACGGGAGCTCACCAGTATCTCATATATGCAAATTGCTCTCGTGTTTCTACAGTGTTTATGCTATTCCTTATTTGATCACCTCATGCCTGCATTATCCATTACAGTAGCCGGTAGCCACCTGTGGATATTTAAATTAAAATTAAATAAAATTACAGATTCAGCCCCAGTCACATGAGCCATATTTTAAGTGCTCAATAGCCACATGTGGCTAGTGGCTGCCACCCTGGACAGCGGAGGCGTAAGTAGCAACCCATTTCCCAGCCCATTCATCTCCAGTGCTGGGGGTTGAATTTAGAAATTCATTTAGAAAATGGTTCACTGCCGGCTGGGCGCGGTGGCTCACACCTGTAATCCCAGCACTTTGGGAGGCCGAGGCGGGCGGATCACAAGGTCAGGAGATCGAGACCATCCTGGCTAACACGGTGAAACACCGTCTCTACTAAAAATATAAAAAATTAGCCAAGCGTGGTGGCGGGCGCCTGTGGTCCCAGCTACTCGGGAGGCTGAGGCTGAGACAGGAGAACGGCGTCAACCTGGGAGGTGGAGGTTGCAGTGACCCAAGACCGCACCACTGCACTCCAGCCTGGGTGGCAGAGCAAGACTCCATCTCAAAAGAAAAAAGAAAAAAGAAAATGGTTCACTGCATCACTGTGGCCTGCCTTGTCTGGGGATGAGACCCCCAACCCACCACACTTCATACCACAGCCATTGCAACATGTGCGTGTGCATGGTCTGTACGGGTGGCCTCTGCTTGCTTGCCACCATCCTCTCCTCCCTCCACACTCCTCATGTCCTGGGCCCCACCATGCTCTTGGGACCTTTGCCCATTAGTTCCTCTGGCTGAGACAGCTTTTGCCCAGGTCCTTTGCAGGCCTGGCTCCTCCTTAACCTTTAGACCTCACCTCACTTCCTAGGAGGGCCTCACCCTGTTCTAGTCCAAGGGTGCCTGGTCATTATTCTCTTATTTTCCCTTTTCTCCTTCTGAGCACATATCATAATTTGTCATGACATCATTTTCCATGGATATATGTATTCTTTCTCACCCCTATTTGAGTATAAGGCTGTGGGCAGAAACCAGGTATCATTTTTGCCACTCTGTCCCCAGAATAATGTGGCATTGACTGGTAATGTGACTCTGGGTAAGGTTCCCGTGGTTCAGTTTCCTCATCTGTAAATTGAGAGTGATGAGACTACCTATGTCATAGTTGTATTTGGAGGATGCAAATTTGGAGGACTCATTTTTGGATGAGTCCAGGAATTGCAGAAATTACTTGGGACCAAAGTAGCAACATGGGAAGGACAATGACTACAGACGCCCACTGTTCCGTTGAATGTAGCGACATCGTGTTTTCATTACGTTTTATTTCTCAAGTGTCACAGACATCACTGGCTGTCTCTTGGCTTTAGCCTCCATGACCCCTGTGAGATGTCACTGGCCCCATTCTCCTCTGCCCTCCATGAGGCCACCTCCTCTCAGTGATGCTTTGCCACTGTGGGATGTTGCTGTTACCTATTCATGCCTCTCTTCTCTTCTGGACTGTGAGATTCTCAAAGGCAGGGATGATACCCAGTTAATGTACACATCCTCAGGGCCTACATGGTGGCCAGGTGTGGAGGGGAAAAGATATCATGGAATTTATGCTCTCTAGTGAGTTCCTTCCTGACTATAGTGAGGGAGAGAGAGTGAGGAGGTAGGGAGAGATGAGAAAAAAATATCCCCAAGGGTCCGTATTAGTTTTCTATTGCTTTCTATGGCCAACCAATCCTAGGGAAGCTCAGAAACCTGAAAACATCTTCTACAGGTGATACAGCACTGCAGGAGGAGCTGGGAGCAGGCCATGAAGGGCCAGTGCTGGTTTTCCCACTCATAGTGTGTCCTGCTGGGTAAGTCACTTACCTTCTCTGAACCCCAGTTTCTTGTTCTATAAAATGGAGATAATGGTGCTTGTTCTGTGGGTTGTTCTGACAGCTCATTGAGAACATGCACACACACACACACACACACACAGACACACACACCACACACACATACATACACAGTCCCTTGCACATAACTTGAACTCATTGAATTCCAAATGCATTCTGAATTGCAAACCAAAAAGTATTTGAAACAGGCCTCAATCGAGCTAGAAGTTTATTTTGCCAAGGTTAAGGACATGCTCAGAAGAGAGGTTCATGCCTTTCTCCAAAGATAATTTTGGGGGCTTCAATAATTAAAGGTGAAAAGTAGGCTGGAGCAGGGAAGAAGGAGGGTAAGGTCACATTACTGAGTCCATGTGTTGCAAGAGAAAAGGAGCAGGTAAGAGAACAGTCAGTCATGTATTCATTTCATGCTTAGTGAATTGGCACTTTACATAGTGTGAGGTGAACATAGAGATATTTAATCATTGGGAGCGCTCTCTTAAGAACAAAAGGAAAGGCAGTTCCATGCATGACTCAGCTTTCGGCTTAATTTTTGTTTGTTTGTTTTTTTGTTTGTTTTGTCTTGGCAGAGTGAATTGGGGTTTTGAGTCTTTATTTTCCTTTCACAGGTTGAATTTTATTTTGGCTCTGGCTTTCATTCTGCTTGATATTGTTGAGGCTTTTTCACTTCCACAGTTTAGTGAGTGGGAGGGAGTGGCACCCAGTGGCTTCTTTTCCACCACTGTTCAACAAGTGGGACGGAGTGTTACAGCTATTTTACTCCCACCGCCCACAGCTCGGTGAGCAGCAGCACTGCAGCTCTTTTGCTCTCGTAGTTCAGTGACTTCCGGGTTTTTGTACCGTGACCAAGAGGAATAAGGTATATGAACACTGGAGAGTGAGTAAGGCAGAGTAGAATTTTACGGAGTGACAGAAAGAAAGCTCTGAGCATCAAGAGGGGACCCAAAAGCAGGCAGTCGCCTGTGAGTCTGAGTCCAGGATTTTTATGGGCTTAGAATGGGGAAGTGCATGCTGATTGGTCCATGGGTGGGCTTAGAAAAAGCACCATTCAATTGGTTAAAAGGCATCATTCAGAAGGTACCAATAGAGAGAGTAGGTAAGACTGGGATGGAAGTTCTCATTCTAGTTGTGGACTCTATCTGGAAGTGGCAGCTCAGTTTTCAGGCTTTAAACCGTCCTTGGCTTGAAGGTCAGGTTTCACCGGGAACCCACCTCTGTCTGCCTAGGAATCTGTCAGTCTCCTGTTGCTACCAGCATCAGGGTTGTTTCCCCCTTCTCATCAAACTGCATGCCATGTGCCAGATGCAGGTTACAACTGAAAGGTAGGTTCCATCAGAAAACAGAAACCAAGCAGAAAGGATTTAAAGTAGGTGTATTTGTATTTTAGGACTGTCATAACAAAGCACCACAAATGAATGGCTTAACAAACAGAAATTGATTCTCTCACAGTTCTGGAGGCCTGAAGTTCAAGATCAAGGTATCAGCAGGGTTAGTTCCTTCTGGGGCTGTGACAGGGAATCTGTCCTAGGCCTCTCCCCAGCTCCTGAAGGTTTTCTGGCCATCTTTGGTGTTCTTTGGGTTGCAGAGGTATCACTCTGATGTCTGCCCTCATCTTCACACAGTGTTCTACCTGTCTCCATGTTTCTCCTTTCCATAAGGACACCAGTCTTTATTGGATTAGGGACCCACCCTATTTCAGGGTAACCTCATTTTGACTAGTTACATCTGCAACTAGCTACTCCCAAATAAGGTCACATTCTGAGGTCCTGGTGGGGTAGGGCTTCAATAAATGGACTTTCGTGGGGGATACAATTTAACTCCTGAGAGTAAGGAATTTATTGCATAGATAACAGTTAGCTGAGCTGCCAAAGAGGAGAGAGATCAGCCCCCGCAGGAAGGTATTGCTATCTCTGTGGAGTCCTAATTAAAGGAAAAGAGTCAGGCTGGCAGAACCAGGGGAAAGCAAAGAGATAAAGCAAATAAGCTACAGGTCTGCCTTTCTTTATGGCCCAGGATGTATAGCCCTCCTGCACAGATAATGTTCATAACTCACAAACTTTCTGTTTATCCTCAAATGCTTCATTTTATCATCAAACATCTCCTTGGTGAACAGAAGAATGCAAGTTAGCTCCCTGCTGCCGTGGCATTATCAATCAACCCAAGAGCCGTCCTATAAAATCTCCAGCAAGTCTTTGTTTCCTGGCAGTCAGCTCCTCTTCTGCTGATTCTGCCCATTGCTCCTTGGCAACGTATTTTCCTACTTTGTCTAATAAATCTGACTTTCTTTACCTACAATTATCTTGGTAAATTCTTTTAACCCCTCACCACTGGCACCGATAGATGCTGCTTACCCACAACAACCTTGACCAGGAAGAACCAAGAGGTGGTATTTGTTGAACCTGGAGATTAGGGTTTCCTAGCAGCAGCTAAAACCATGGCAGCTGCCACGGATCTGGCACTGTGGAGGAGACGCAGTTCTGGCCAGAAAGGCTACCAAAAGTAAGAGTAAAGGGGAGAAATACCCTGGCTTCTCCCTTCCTGCTGCCTTCCAGTCTTCCTGTTGGCCTCATGTGGGAAGCCAGGAACCAGGGCGTCTGCGAAATGCAGTGCCCTGCAATGCCCTTGAGGATGTGAAGGGGAGGTCATGGATCTGAGAGCAAGGAGACCACAGTCAGCGCCATGCTTTTGCGTGCGTGCCCTCATCAGCCTTCCCAACGTCCACGTGGGGGAGGAATCACAGCCTTCATTTTACACATGAGGAAACCAAGACTCAGAACTCTTGAATACCTTACCCAAGGTCCCAAAGCCAGAATTCTGCATCAGAGCAGAATTCAAACTCGTTCCTGGTTGGCTCCAAGGCTGTGCTTTTTCTACTGCACTGGATCAGTCAGTTGAATGGCAGGATTGCACGTAATTCACACATTATCCTTCCCGGGACCTAGCACAATATCTACCGCATATCAGACATCGATAAATGGTGACCAAAATATAAATGGTAGTAAGTGATTCATTACCAAATAAATAGCAAAAATGGCAGGTGGTTTGGAATTTAGGGAAGAGGGAGAATGGTGTTAGCCAGAGTGGTTTCTGTAGGCAGAATATGAAATTGGAGCTGGTCTTGTGCCATAAGATACCAGAAGGACAGTGTCGGTGCAAAGAGTCAAACTCTGTAAAACCTTTGAAGAGATTGATTCTGAGCCAAATATGAGTGACCATGGCCTGTGACACAGCCCTCAGGAGGTCCTGAGAACATGTACCCATGATGGTCAGGGTGCAGCTTGGTTTTATACATTTTAGGAAGGCATGAGACACCAATTAAGTACATTTAAGAAATATTAGGTTGGTGCAAAAGTAATTGCAGTTTTCACCATTACTTTTTATTTAATTTAACCTGAGAGATTGTTTTAATGGCAAAAATTGCAATTACTTTTGTAATACATTGGGTTTGGTCCAGAAAGGCAGGAAAACTCGGGGTGGTGGTGGGGTGGTTATAGGTAAATTTAAACATTTTCTGGTTGACAATTGGTTGAGTTTGTCTAAAGACCTGAGATCAAACAGAAAAGAATGTCTGGGTTAGGATAAGAGGTTGTACAGACCAGAGTTTTATCATGCTGATGAAGCTTTTAGCTAGCAGGCTTCAGAGAGAATAGGCTGCAAACTGTTCCTTATCAGACTTAACGTCTGTGTTGATGTTAACGCTGGAGGGGTATAATGAGGCAAGTGGGACCCCCATTTCCTGTCATAGCCTGAAACAGTCTCTCAGGTTAATTTTTTTTTTTTTTTTTTTTTTTTTGAGACAGAGTCTGGCTCTTTTGTCACCCAGGCTGGAGTGCCGTGGCACGATCTCAGCTCCCTGCAACCTCAGCCTCCCTAGTTCAAGTGATTCTCTTGCCTCAGCCTCCCAAGTAGTTGGGATTACAGGCGCCCACCTCCACGCCTGGCTGCTTTTAGTATTTTTAGTAGAGACAGGGTTTCACCATGTTGGCCAGGCTGGTCTTGAACTCCTGACCTTCAGTGATCCACTTGCCTTGTCCTCCCAAAGTGCTGGGATTACAGGCATGAACCACTGCATCCAGCTCTCTCAGATTAAATTTAAAGAGCCCTGGTTTAGGAGGGTGTCCATTCAGATGATTAGGGGGCCCTATTTTATTTTTGGTTTACAACAGCGTTCTCTAGCTTGTGCAGTTGTACTTGTTTCGGCTCGGATGATGGCCTCAGCAAGTTCTTTCCTCAGTTTCCCTCCCAGGCCTCATTTCCTTTATCTAATAAATGTGGGCTGTTTTAAAGCAGAGGTTGTAAACTCAAATTTACAAATAGGCCAGCAGGTGTTTAAAGTGAGAAAGAGGCAATGACAGAAATGCCAGCGTGAGGATGGGGAAACCACAGGGGTGGAACTTACTGTGGCAAATTCTGATGCACCCACTCTCCCAGGGGCAGCTCCTCAGCTCTAGCCCACTGTGGCTTGTGGAACGTGTGTGCTCATTGTGGCCTTACACACGGCTTCCTCCAGAGAATCTGGGTATGTGAGTTTGAATGTGAAAATGCAACATCCTTCAGTGATGGTAATTAATTCAGATTTTTAAAATGCCATGTGAGCAATAATAACTGTAATGATATGAATGATCACCTTAAAGGCCAAGTGTGACCTGCAGGCTACTGGTTCTGCCCTTCTCTCCCCAAAACCTGACAGGGTGTCCTGCCAAGCAGGCCTTTTGGTGGCCCTCATCTCACCACTGTGCCTTTGGGAGGGGCTGATATTTTGTTATTTAGCTTTCAGAGAGAGAGAGGAAGGGAGAGAGGTTTGTGCTCCCTGCCCCTGAAGGTTGAGATCTTGCTGCCTGGAGCTGACAAGCTCTTGACTGCCCCCAGCTCAGTTAGTCTTCAAAGGGCTGCTTAATTGTTCTTGGACTGGCTCCAGGGAGCATCTGGCTCTTTGCTGGTGTCTGTTTACAGATTTTCCACATATTCTAATTGTGTTGCTCAACCTCAGAAAAGTGGACTCAGGCTCAGGCTGAACCTGCATCCTAGAGGGAGAGGGTCAGGAGCTGAAAGAGCCTATCAGAGCCCTGGTGAGGGAGGAGAGAAAAGGTTGAGTGGGGCAGGAGGGATGGCCCTGACCACCTTTTCCTGCTTCAGACATCAGCAGCAATGACCAAAGCAGTGTGCATTCCTTTGTGGTGTGCTCACCACCCCCGCCAGGCCCCTCACCTATGTCATCCTAATTCATCCTCACAGTAACCCTGTTGTTGAGGCATTGCTATTTCCCCATTTTGCAAAGGGTGAAATTACAGCATAGAGAGGTTAATGTCTTGCCTAAGGAAACTGGTTTTTAACTCTCAGGGCTGCCAAAGTGAGTCATCTTCTGGATTGTCCACGTGGCTTCCAGTGTCAGGTAATGGAAGACTTGGCCCTCACACCGCTCTGTATGGTCCTTCCTTTCAGCATCCCCAGGGTTTTAACCACGTGGCTTCCAGTGTCAGGTAATGGAAGACTTGGCCCTCACACCGCTCTGTATGGTCCTTCCTTTCAGCATCCCCAGGGTTTTAACCACGTGGCTTCCAGTGTCAGGTAATGGAAGACTTGGCCCTCACACCGCTCTGTATGGTCCTTCCTTTCAGCATCCCCAGGGTTTTAACCACGTGGCTTCCAGTGTCAGGTAATGGAAGACTTGGCCCTCACACCGCTCTGTATGGTCCTTCCTTTCAGCATCCCCAGGGTTTTAACCACATGGCTTCCAGTGTCAGGTAATGGAAGACTTGGCCCTCACACCGCTCTGTATGGTCCTTCCTTTCAGCATCCCCAGGGTTTTAACCACGTGGCTTCCAGTGTCAGGTAATGGAAGACTTGGCCCTCACACCGCTCTGTATGGTCCTTCCTTTCAGCATCCCCAGGGTTTTAACTGCACACATCCCCATGAGGCCTGACTCCTTCCCACGTACACCTTTGTGTCTCCTTCAGCTGCTCAGTAATCTGTGGATGAAGGGAGATGACTCGTTCCAGCCTGGGGAAGAGCTGGGATCCAGCCCTGACTCTCTGATCACTCACTGTGATGTTGAGTTGCCCACTTTTCCTCTCTATTTGTTCTTTTGCCAGCTCGCTGACTTTGGCTCCTTCTTAAATTGCATTGTTTTTTAATTACTTAATATTCAATTTGCTCTGAGTTTTTGAGCTTCTTAACATGGAAGCTTAGTTGATTGATTTTACAAGTTTTCCCTAATATTTGCTTTGAAGCTGAAAATTTTCTAAGCACTGCTTAATCTGCATCCTGTGATATTTTTCTTGTGCTTTCCTTAATACTCAGTGCACACTATTTTCTAATTTCCTTTGTGCTTTTTCTTTTTGGACCCACAGGCTACTTAGGAAAGCATTGCTAAATTTATAATTATTTGGGGATTTTCTAGATATCTTATTGTAATTGAATTTTATTTTGTTCAGACAACGTACTGCTTATATATATGTTCAATACTTTAAAAAATTATGTAGACTTTTCTTATGTCCTGGTATATGCTCTATATAAATGGTTCTCAACTAGGGGAGATTCGCCCTGCTCCTCCTCCACCCAGTCATTTGGCAATATTTGAAAATGTTCGGTTATCACAACTGGGACAAGAGTGCTACTGACATCTAGTGTTGGAGGCTGGGATACATTCTACAATGCCCTGCTCCACCTTCCCCACGACCCACCATCCCCACCCCATCACCACCGCTCCATCTCCACATTTTCATCCCGTTGAAAATGTGAATAGTGCTGAGTTGTAAAACCTTGTAAAATATTGTTTCAATATTCTATAACATGACTGATTTCTGTCTACTTGTTTTATTTTTTATTCAGAGAGCAGCACTAAAATTTCCAACTATAATTGTGAATTCATCTCTTTCCCCTTTAGTTCTGTTAGTTTTGTTTCATAGTTTTGCTTCACATTATACAAAAGTATAAGATGGTGAGAAACTCTGTTCTTAAATGCATATGTATGTTGAATTGTTATGTATTCTTGATGAATGGAAACTTTTATCATTATAAAATGCCTCTTTATCTCTTTGTCTTCAACTTAGTACTTTTTCTAACACTAATATGACTACAACAGCTGTCTTAGACTTAACTGTTTGCATGATATATCTCTTCCTACATTTTTCTTTCTGCTGTATCTCTGTATTTAAAGTATGCATATTAGAAACAGAATGTAGTAAGTTATTGCTTTCTAAAAAATCTAGCTAGCTGAACCATCCTTATCATGTTTTTGAGCTATTTAAGCTATTTATATTTAGTGTAATAATTGGTTTGATTGTCTTAAAGTTTAGTATCTTGAAATTTATCTTCCCTTTATCCCACAAGTTTTTGATCCTTTAAAAAAACTTTTCCAGAATTCTTTAATGCAAATCTATTGTATTTCCTATATTGACTTTTTCAAGTTTGCTTTATTTTACAAATTTATGCTAGGAAGTTCTTATATACAGAAAAGTTTTACATATACATTGTAAAGCACATTTATTTATGTCTATATATCATGGAATACACTTTCTCAAGTATGGATAATGACACATTATACAAAAGTATAAGATATAAAGTTATGAAGTCAACTTTTCCATTACTGCCTCCCATAAATATTTAAAATCAGTTTCAGGAAAATACAAAGTCATAGGAACAGAAAACACATCGGTGGCTGCCAGAGACTAAGGGTGGAGTGGAGGAGAGGGAATGACAATAAAGAAATAGCATGAGGGAATTTTAGAGGGCGATGGTAATGTTCTGTATCTTGATTGTGGTGGCGGAAACATGACTATGTGCATTTGTCTAAATGAGCCTAACACCCCAAAGCATAATTTTATTGCATGTAAATAAAGTATATCTTTAAAAAGGCAGTATGAAAATAATTAAAAATATTTTTTTAAATGGGGGCTGGGGAAGGCTGTTACATCAAGACATCAAGGCACAGCAAGAACATTTGAAAAATGGATAAAAATGTTCCAGAAAAAAAAGTTTTGTTTTCCTTTTATTTTAAATAATAAAGTTTGTAGAATGAACTTTTGATTGGAAGAGATCAAATTTTTAAAATTTAACAAAAATAAGCTTACTTTGTATTGACTTCTAAACCCCAGTTCTTTGTGTTATTTTTTAGTAGTTGCACTACAGATAAAATATACATCTTTAAAACATAAGTCTGATTTCAAATAACATACTACTTTTAGAATAATGTAAGAAGCATATAAGAGGTCTTTTGGATAGGACCTATAATTCCATTCATAATACCTTTTATCCTTTGTGCTCTTCTGATATTGTTTTAAAATTCTGAATACTTAAAATCCATGCTTACTTTTGCTTTTAACAGCCAATTGCCTCCGCGCGTGTGTGTGTGTGTACACACTTGTCAAAACAGATACCTATATAAATAAATAAAAAGGTGCCCTATAATTATTCACATATTTTTCTTTTCTCATTTTCCTTATTTCTCCTTATAGATCTGGGCTTTCTTCTGGCATCTTTTTCCATCAAGCTTAAGAACGTCTTTTTAGCTTCCTTATAGTGCAAATATGCTGGATGTGAATTCTTTCAGGCTTTACCTATCTGAAAATATCTTTGTTTTGCCTCAATTTATAAATAATATTTTGATGGATTTAGTCTTCTTAATTTGCAGTTATTTTTGTCTTTGAAATTTTCATTTATTTTTAATTGACACATGGTAATTGTAAATATTTATGGGGTACAATGTTATATGTGTATATGTTGCAAAATGATCAAATCAGGGTAATTATTAGCCTATTCATCACCTCATACAGTTATAATTTCTTTGTGGTGAGAACACTCAGAAACAGCTCTTCTAGCTATTTTGAAATATACAATGCATTATTGTTAACAATAATTTCCCTACTCTGCATTAATAGGACACCAGAACATATTCCTTCTATCTAAGTGTAATTTTGTACCTGTGGATCAACCTCTCACCATCCTCCTTTCCTCCTCCTTTCCTCTGGTTCTGGTAACTGTTGTTCTACTCTATATTTTTATGTGATCAGCTTTTTTTTTTTTTTTTTTTTTTTGAGACAGAGTCTCACCCTGTCACCCGGACTGGAGTGCAGTGTTGCGATCTTGGCTCACTGCAACCTCCGCCTCCCAGGTTCAAGCGATTCTCCTGCTTCAGCCTCCCAAGTAGCTGGGATTACAGGCGCCTACCACTACGCCCAGCTAATTTTTTGTATTTTTAGTAGAGACAGGGTTTCACCATGTTGGCCAGGCTGGTCTCAAACTCCTGACCTTGTGATCCACCCTCCTTGGCCTCCCAAAGTGCTGGGATTACAGGCGTGAGCCACTGCACTCGGCCTGTGATCAACTTTTTAAGATTGCACTTTTGAGTGAGATCGTGGGTTTTTTTTCTTTCTGTGTCTGGATTATTTTGCTTAACATCATGTCCTCCAGTTTCACCCATGTTGTTGCAAATGACAGAATTTCATTTTTTATGGCTGAGTACTGTTCCATTTTGTGTGTGTGTGTGTGTGTGTGTGTGTGTGTGTGACATATTCTTCATCCACTCATTGGTCATTGGGCACTTAGGTTGATTCTAGATCTTGGCTATTGTGAAAGAGTATTGCAACAAACACTGGAGTGCTGTATGTCTTCAATGTACTAATTTCATTTCCTTTTGATATACACCCAGTGGTGAGATTGCTGGATCATATAGCAGTTCTTTTTAATTTTTTGGAAACCTCTATACTGTTTTTCATAATGGCCGTACTAATTTACAAACCCAGCAAAAGTGTGTAAGGGTTCCCTCATCTCCATATTTTCACCAACACTTCTTATCTTTTGTATTTTTGATGTTAGCCCTTCTTACTTGAGTGAGGTGGTATCTCATTATGACTTCGATTTGCGTTTTTCTGACATTTAGAGATGCTGAGGAATTTTTCATACACCTGCTAGAATTTGTATGTCATCTTTTGAGAAATGCCTATTAAGGTCCTTTGCTCATGTTTTAATTGGGATATTTTATTTATTTATTCATGCCGTTGAGTTGTCTAAGTTCCTTATGTATTCTGTATATTAACTCCTTGCCAAATGTATAGTTTGCAGCTGTCATCTCCCATTCTGTAAACTGCCTCTTTACACTGCTGATTATTCTCTTTGATGTGAGGATCCTTTATAGTTTGATGTAATCCCATTTGTCTATATTTTTGCTTTTGTCGCCTGTGCTTTTGAGGTAATATCCAAAAGTCCTTGCCCAGTCCAATGTTGTGAAACATTTTCTTTACGTTTTCCTCTAGTAGTTTCACACTTCTAGCAGGTTTTTCTAATAGTTTTATAGTTTCAGGTTTCACAGCTAGGTCTTTAACCAATTTTGAGTTGATTTTTGTATATGGCGAGAGGCAGGAGTCTAGTTTCATTTCTGTGTGGTTATCCAATTTTCTCAGCACCGTTTATTGAAGAGAATGTCTTTTTTCCAATGTGTATTCTTGGCACCTTTGTTGAAAATCAGTTGGCTGTAGGTGTGTAGATTTACTTCTGGGCTCTGTATCCTGTTCTGTTGGTGTATGTGTCTGTTTTTATGCCAGTAACATGATGTTTTGGTTATTATAAATATGTAGTCTATTTTGGAGTCAGATAGTGTGGTTCCTCCAGCTTTTTTCTTTTTGCTCAAGATTTCTTTGGCTATTTGGACTCCTTTTTCATTTCATATAAATTTTAGGATTGTTTTTTCTGTTTTTGTTACTACCATGTAATTGATATTTTGATAGAAATTGCATTGAAATGAAGTAGAAACACTAGAAATGAAAAATATGAAAGAAACAATTGATAGAAATGGATCAGAGTTTGCCCAGTTGTTGGGTTTTGAGACTGTAAGACTGTAAGACAGTGATTGTAAAAAAATTTTTTTATACATATATAAAAACTATATCAAAGGTGAAAATTATGACAAATTTTTCAACTGTTCACACATATCATCCTGTGTGTTCCTGCAGACAGGAACAATTTTATTTTAAATATATTATCCTATTGTCTTTTGTTTTTTGTTGTTTCTAATGAGAAATCAGTCTTTTTTCTTTTTTTTGTATCATTGTTCCCTTATATGTGATGTATCTTTCCTTGGGCTTATTTTAAGATTTTGTCTTTCTGTTTTGTTTTCAGTGTTTTGACTGTGATGTGCCTAGATGTGTTTCTGTTTGTAGTAATTTCATTTGAAATTATCTTGGTTTTGTGGGTTGATAACTTTCGGCGATTCTAAAATGCCTCAGCCACTATCTCTTTAAATATTTCTTTAGCTTCATTCTCTGTCTCCTCTCCTTTACCTCCCCTTTGAATACAACTATACACTTTTGACTACTTGATATTGTTCTCTATCAGGTTCTCTGTTTCTTTCTATATAATCCCCTTTTTCCTCTATATATTTCAGTTTGATACTTGCAATTCACCTGTATTCAACTGTACTTTTCCTTTCCCCTGCTATGCTGCCAGTAAGCCTTTCAAATAGATTTTTTATTTCTGGTGTTTCTACTTCATTCTTTTCAGTGCAATCTCTATCAAAATATCAATTGTTTTCTCTCTTGACTATGGGTCAATTTTCTTGCTTCTTTTTATGTTTTACAATTTTTGACAGAATGTTAAACATTGTCTGAAAATGAATAGCAGAGATGGATTTAAATAATGTTTACCTTCAGATAATGACATACTCTTTTTTTTTGGAGATGGAGTCATGCTCTGTTGCCCAGGCTGGAGTGCAGTGGCACGATCTTGGCTCACTGCAACCTCTGCCTCCTGGGTTCAAGCAATTCTCTGCCTCAGCCTCCCGAGTAACTGGGATTAGAGGCACCCGCCACCATGCCTGGCTAATTTTTGTATTTTTAGTAGAGACGGGGTTTCACCATGTTGGCCAGGCTGGTCTTGAACTCCTGACCTCGTGATCCACCCACCTTGGCCTCCCAAAGTGCTGGGGTTACAGGTGTGAGCCACCGCGCCCGGCCCGATAATGGCATACTCTTCATGACTCACTGCCAGTGTGGGAGGAGGGGGTGCTGAGTCTACCTAATCTGTATGTTAAATGGCATTTTTTACACTTTTATTTAGATTTAGTGCACAATTGACTTCAATTATTTCAAAAGAAGTAAGGAAACGTTTCCTTGGGATCTGGACATTGAAAAAAAATCTCTAGAAATTTCTTTATGCCTTACAGCCTAGCTGCCAAATTTTGACTGTGGTATGTGTATCTGTCTGTCTATCTGTTTTCTCTCTCTTTCCTCAGATTTCAAATTTTATAATCTCTGGGACTTATTTTCTTTCTGGTGTTTCTCTTGTCCTTGGATTTCTATACCTTTGGAGATGCCTCTCTCTGACTTGCTACCTTGGTCTGAGGCTTCAGAAGCAATGTATTTAGTACACTCAGCAACACCTTGGACTACTTCCAAGGGGTTTCTTTCCACTGTCTCACCCTGCCTTCTGTCTTTGCAAGTCCCCACCGTCAACCTTAAGAAGGTATCTGTAGTACATGCTACAAAGACTTGGAATAACACAAAGGGGTTTCACCCTGCTCTCCTGTCCTGCCACTATGCAGCAGACAAAGCACCATATTAGCATGAGTTGTTACTGTCATGATGGATTGCCGCAGCCCCTTGCACTACTGTTTTTTTCTGTCTGGTGCATCCTTCTCTCCAATGATACACCCTAGCCTTATCACTTAAAGGTTTAGTTTGGTTCTCAATGAAGTTTCTTATGTACTCCCAGCCTGGGTAGAGGGTCTCCACAGCATTTTTCATATCATCAGATACTTCTTTTAACCAGTCTCTTCTATATCTTAATAATCTGCTTACTTCAATGTTTCTTCCCAAAGGTGTGCTATTTAAAGAAAGGGGCTATGTCTCTTTGTCTATGTGCCCCCAGTGCCTGGCACACAGTAGGTGTTCAGTACATGCAGAAGCTTCATCGTTAGGAGTTTAGTGCCACATGAAGCCATCAAGCATGTCAGCGCTTCAGATTTGTGTATGCTGCTGACTCATCCTACCAAACTGGTTTAACAAATTAGTTATCTTTGAGATTTGAAGTTAGATTGAATGTCCATTTTTTTATTGAGCAAGAAGGGGAGCAAACCATTATAATAATGACTAAGAAAATCTTGATGAGATGACATTTAAAGGGCATTGTCAGGAATCCAGATCCCAGGTCATTGCCTCCTCATGTGACATTATCAAATTTCTATCTGTATGGCCTCATAGAACTAAATAAGGTCTTGAAGCTAGTTTTATTCAATCTCTTCATTTTAAAGAGGAGGAAGACCAGAACCTAGAAAGGTTTCTGATTCTTTTATTTTTTTTTTTTCAAAGAAATACAGAAATTTGGTAGAAAATCCTGGCCTGGAAACTGGAATCCTATTTCTAGCCCATAAGACAATGCCTCAAAATATTTAGTTCAACAAGTATCCCCACCATACCCAAATTCCTGGCCACTCCCCAAACTCATGCCCTCCTAGCGCAGGAGGCTCCTAGCATGCACACCTACCTGAGTCACACTCCTGCCACTCCACTCTTTGAACCAATTCCACCCATTCTTCATCATGAATGCCATTTTCCACCTCTTCTGTGAAGCCTTCCCTGATAGCCCAGTTGTCAGTCCCTCCTCTGGAATCCCACAGCCCCTGTCCCTTACCCAGCCCCAGCACACATCATACTGTATTGCACAGCCCTTTATCACATCTGTTTCCGCCATAGAAAAAGAGCTCCTCATAGGCTGGGCACGCTTTTTTTTTTTTTTTTTTTTTTTTAATCTCTGTATCTAGGGCCCAGATCTGGCCTGGCAGGCTCACAGTGGGGACTCAATAAATACCAAATCTTAGAAGAATGTAACTCCTGTTCTGTGTTAAGGATTGCTCCAGGACCTCCACTTCCATCCTCTCTAATCCTCACGAAACTCCTACCAAGAAAGGATTACTATACCATGGTTACAGGGGAGGAAGCTGAAGCTAAGAGAGTTTAATGAACTTGAATGAAGGTCAAGCAGGTAAAAGAAAACCAGGTTAGTAACTTGTTGTTTTTTTTTTTTTTTTTTGAGACGGAGTCTTGCTCTATCGCCCAGGCTGGAGTACAGTGGCATAATTTTGGCTCACTGCAAGCTCTGCCTCCTGAGTTCAAGCAGTTCTCCTGCCTCAGCCTCCTGAGTAGCTGGGATTACAGGCCTGTGCCACCACGCCAGGTTAATTTTTGTACTTTTAGTAGAGACGGGGTTTCACCACGTTGGTCAGGCTGGTCTCGAACTCCTGACCTCGTGATCCACCCGCCTCGGCCTCCCAAAGTGCTGGGATTACAGGCGTGAGCCACCGTGCCCAGCCAGTAACTTGTTTATTTTGATTCCATATCCATTGTTCTTTTGATTGTATCTTAAGGGGCTGGGAGTGGGTACTAAGAGAAATGTGAGGCGCTAATGTGATATATTGCACTTTTGTGTATAGATGCTCTATTAGTCCATTTTCGTACTGCTATAAAGACATACCTGAGACTGGCCGGGCGCGGTGGCTCACGCCTGTAATCCCAGCACTTTGGGAGGCCAAGACAGGTGGATCACAAGGTCAGGAGATCGAGACCATCCTGGTTAACATGGTGAAACCCCGTCTCTACTAAAAATACAAAAAGTTAGCTGGGCGTGGTGGTGGGCGCCTGTAGTCCCAGCTGCTCAGGAGGCTGAGGCAGGAGAATGGCATGAACCCAGGAGGTGAAGCTTGCAGTGAGCCGAGATAGCGCCACTGCACTCCAGCTTGGGCGAAAGAGCAAGACTCTGTCTCAAAAAAAAAAAAAAAAAAAAAAGAAAACTGAGACTAGATAATTTATAAAGAAAAGAGGTTTAATTGGCTCATGGTTCTGCAGGCTGTGAGGAAGCCTCTCAAAGTGCTGGGATTACAGGTGGGAGCCACCACGCCCGGCTAATCTAGATATTTATTAAAATTATTCACCAGGCGTGGTGGCTCATGCCTGTAATGTCAGCACTTTGGAAGGCTGAGGTGGGTGGATCACCTGAGGTCAGGAGTTCTAGACCAGCCTGGCTGACATGGCAAAACCCTATCTCTACTAAAAACACAAAAAATTAGCCGAGTGTGGTGGTGGCTGCCTGTAATCCCAGCTACTTGGGAGGCTGAGGCAGGAGAATTGCTTGAACCCGGGAGGAGGAGGTTTGCAGTGAGCTGAGATCACATCATTGCACTCCAGCCTGGGCCACAGAGTGAGACTCTGTCTCAAAAATAAATAAATAAATAAATAAATAAAGTACAAATTACACATGACAACATATGAAATATTAGCCCTATTTAGATGCCAAAAAGCCCTGAATCTTTCTGTTCTGTGGAGGCTGCCTGAGCAGTACCCCGTATCTACACAAGATGGAAGGAGGACTGTAACACTCTTCCAGAGTCCACCTGCCTAATCCATTTCGCACTTTCCCTGGAGACCTGAGCTATGCTCACCACTGCCTTTCTGGTCAGAAGCTGTTCTTGATCAGGACTGAAGTCCTTTAGTTTGACCTTCTGTCCCAGCTGCCACAGTGGAAAGCCATTAAGCCGAAGTGAAATTAAATGACTGGTCCAATTAGAATTGAGGGGAAAGTCAGTAAGCGGGGAAGGGAGGCCGGGCAGGCGAGGCCATGGCCGGGCGTTCGTCACGCTTTGCACTGTGCGTCACTGCACCGAGTAGAGGAGGCTTGAGGTGATTTCTCCCATGGGAAGTAACTCTCCACCTTTGGAGGATGGGAGTCTGCAGGGCTGGGTTTGCCTACAGACCCTTGGGGATCTGTGAGGCCACCATCAAACAGCAAAGGGAGGCTCAGGGAGGCCAGGAGTCTCACCCCATCTGAGCAGCAAGAAGAGGAAACCTGGAGTCTGGATTCCAGACTGTGGGCCCATCTCCCCATCCTCTCACATTACCTCCAGAGACACTGGGATCCACCATAGTCACCCTTTACTTTTTGTTGCAGAGTCTTTCAAGGATACTGGGAAAGCTTATTTCTCAATCAAAGGGTCCAGATATTACAAGCCATCTGATACGTTCACAGACCTAGCTGCATCTTCTTCGGGTCTTGCTTCAATGAACGTCTCCCTCTGTCTCAATCCTACTCTTTCAGGGCACAGGGATCAAAGATCTAGAGACAAAGATATAGCCCCCTTCTCTTAGCCTGGGAAGGTATGCACAGGAGGCTGCCTGCAACTCTGTGCCAGGGAAGGAAGGCTCCCTGACCCGTGAGGGCAGGCCAAGAATCAGAAGATAAGCCACCACTCATAACCAGCAGAGGTAACCAGTGACTCCCTGATGGGCCCTTGACAGGCTTGAGGCTTCTGTGGCCCTAGGGCCCTTACCGCAGCACGCCCTTAGCCCGTCTCCTTCATCATCGTCATCAGCAGCAGCACTACCCCACTCCTACCTGCCACAGGACACTCTATCTAAGGCCTCCTGCCCCTTGGAATCATCTGGCTCACTCCTCCTTTAGGACTCAGCTTTTATGGAGCATGTCACATGATCTCTCACGTTTCTCACAGTAATCCATGTGACACAGGAAAAGTTATCCTCCTTGGAAAGACGAGGAGATGGGAATTTAGTGAGAACAGTGACTTGTCCAAAGTCATACAGTGTAGGCCGGGCGTGGTGGCTCATGGCTGTAATTCTAGCATTTTGGGAGGCCGAGGTGGGCGGATCACAAGGTCAAGAGATTGAGACCATCCTGGCTAACATGGTGAAACCCCGTCTCTACTAAAAATACAAAAAATTAGCCAGATGTGGTGGCATGCACCTGTAATCCCAGCTACTAGGGAGGCTGAGACAGGAGAATCACTTTAACCCAGGAGGCGGAGGTTGCAGTGAGCCGAGATTGTGCCACTGCACTCCAGCCTGGTGACAGAGTGAGACTCCATCTCAAAACAAGCAAACAAACAAACAAACATCCACGAAAAACAAAAAACAAAGTTAAAGTGAATTCCTCACTTGCCGCAGAGGAAATCCAGTCAGAATAATAGTGCAGAAATCGTCGTGTCTATTTAGAAGTCTGGAAACTGAGGTTTCACCTAATTGAGGGAAACCATACCCTACTCCCTTTTTCTGCCAATGACAAGCCAGAGCTACATGCATGCACACACACACACACGTGCCTACACATGCACACAGGGACATGCACTTATGTGCACATGCTCAGATAATCATATACTCACACAGACACATATATGTGCATACACACACATGGACACACACTCACAACATGGTGTTTTCATGCCACAGCCACGCTTACATACACCACGGTCCAACATCAGCTCAACACTACCAGGTTGAGAGATCTCAATTTCCTTGAATACATCAAAGACTATGCAAAAGATCTCATCGTAACATTCAGTGGTAGTAATTCAGTGAAAAATAATTCAAACACACCATCTTAGAACACAACTGTTAATACGTATAAGATACTTAAAACTGTTTACAGCCTTTAGATCAGTAGCTCCACTAGAGAGAATCACTCTTTAGAAAATAATGAATACAGAAAAAGGCTTGGGAACAAAGACGATTTTAGTGAGTAGTAATAATAATGATTGTCTTCCCAACAACATCTCTAGTCTCTTTCTCCTTGGCTCCCTTCTCCCATATAGTGGATTTAGGTGGCTGCAGCCTTTCCTAGCCTCCCCTACAGCCAGATAGACAGAGGAGAGAGCAATTTCTAACAAGACCAAAGGAAGTGTCTCTGCTTAGCGCTGTGCCGGGGGTGGGTGGGGGAGGGTGGGGGGGAAGGTGGGGGGGTGGGGAGAAAGGTGGGGGGGTGGGGGGGAAGGTGGGGGGGTGGGGGGAAGGTGGGGGGATTGGGGGAGGTGGGAGGCGTGAGTGGGGGGTGGGGGGTGGCATTTGGGAAATCGAGGAGAGTCCTGTATGGTGCTCTTGCGTCCTGCCATTTCTTGTCCGTCTTTTGAGAATGGGATCTCTGGATTTACGGAATTCCTCTTGCAATGCTGAGGGGAAAGGAAAGGTAAGAGAATGGCAGAAGAGCCAGCCCGAAGAGCGTCCACTGTGAAGCTGCAGGAACAATTCTTTAACTACTCCTCTAAACGCCTTAGGAAAATGGGTACTGTCTTTTGGTTTGACCCTTAGCTGCAGGAGAAAGCAGTAAAATGATGCAATAATTTTGCAGGATGTTCCCAATATGAAAAAAGAAGAAACCAATCAAAATATTCAGGGCATGGAGAATAATTTACTAATATACTATTTACATAAAGTAGAATTCACTATAGGGATTTAAAATAATATTTAGGATATGTTTGTAGTGATGTTGGCCAATATTTATTAAATTCAGTGATCAAACCATGACATATTTACTTACTGTATATTCTCAGTAATGTTCAAAATAGCTTTTTCTTAATTAAAAAAAGAGTCTGAGAGAACCAAATTGCTTGTCTGCAGTGAATATTCATGAAGTTTAAGATTTGTGAGGATTTTTAATTTTGATATTTAAACTTTTTAGTAGACTTCACATTTTCTACAGCATTTGTTTTGTATTAAGAGAAAAAACAGAAATGTATGTATGAGAAAACTGAAAGCAAGCACACTCCTTTAGTCTCTACAAATTCCTGGATTTCTGCAGGAGACTTTATAAATATAATTATAAATACAAAACTATATAAATCAATAAAGCGAATACATAAAAAGTCCATTCATATAAATATAAATCAAATCTCAAAGTAGACTTAAATATAAATACAAATATGGAAGAATCAAATTTCATAATTTCAAAATGGTATTAATGGTGCCTCCTGGTAGCTGAGAGAACAGAGATACCTTTTGCGATGGGACTCTTACACAGTCCAGGTCACGGGGAAAGTCTCCTATACTTGTCAAGGGCTTGCCTCTCTGGCCTCTCTGTATCCTCTCTAATTTATACCTGGCAAATTATTGTCAGATTTGATACACTATGCAGGAAGCAAGTGATTTTCCCAAGGAAAAAAACCGCTCTATAAAACCAAGTATCCAGCATCACCAAGGCTCTGTGCTGATGCCACCTCCCCAATGACCCCTTCCTTATCATTCTGTCTCATGCCCCTGTTTCATGTCCTTTAACACACGCACGTGGGAGACAGGATTCTGTGCATTTATTTACCCACCACTGACTCACTGACTTCTTCTTTTTTTTTTTTTTTTTTGAGACAGAGTCTTGCTCTGTCACCCAGGCTGGAGTGCAATGGCGCAATCTCGGCTCACTGCAAGCTCCACCTCCTGGGTTCATGCCATTCTCCTGCCTCAGCCTCATGAGTAGCTGGGACTACAGGCGCCCACCACCATGCCTGGCTAATTTTTTTTTTTTTTGTATTTTTAGTAGAGACGGGGTTTCACTGTGTTAGCCAGGATGGTCTTGATCTCCTGACCTCATGATCCGCCCGCCTCGGCCTTCCAAAGTGCTGGGATTACAGGCGTGAGCCACCGCGCCCAGCCTGAGCCACCGTGCCCAGCCTACCTACCACTGACTTCTGCCATCCAAATGGGGAGTCCAATTAGAACTCTGCCTAGCAGACAATAGGTAGGTGCTCAATCAACATTTATTAAATGAATAATTTAATTCATTCATTTAAAAATTGGGCCCCCTCTGTACTCAGCCCCAGTGTTAGGTGCTGGGGATGAAAAGATAAACACAGCCCAAACCTTATTTAGCATGAGGTTGCCTGAGACTTCAAAATGTGAAGCATTTGGGCAGCAAGTAGTCATCACATTGATGGGTTCACAGGTGATTTTGGAATTTAAGTTTTAGTTTTATTCCTGGATAAATGAATACACTCATGTCATAAATGTACTGGCACATGCACACATGTGATCACATGCACGCATGTGTGGATACCAACCTATTGTTACTCTGGTGATTATAGAAGCACAAGGAAATCCTGTTGAACACAAAACCTTGTGAATATAGTGTTGAAAATTCAGACTGTGATGGATAAGGAAGAAGCACCGGACTTTCTGTGCCACACACAGAGAAAGCCCTGACCATTTCTGGCCTGAGCTCCCAAATACATCTCTCACATCTTCCTTACACAATGCTTTTGATAAATAAGTTATGAGCACTAGTAACCAGGTGCTAAATAGCACTACCAATTAAGTTAAGTGTTATCATCTTTGGCTTAATTATCCTGCAAAATCCTGAAACTGATCTTACAACCAGAAAAAAAAAATGTGATTTGTTGAATGAAGTAGAGTGCCAGTAGAAATTGTGGAGGGAGGGAAACAAAAAGAAGAAATATTTCTTTTTTTTTTTTTTTTGAGACGGAGTTTCACTCTTGTTTTCCAGGCGCGATCTTGGCTCACCGCAACCTCTGCCTCCCAGGTTCAAGCGATTCTCTTGCCGCAGCCTCTCTAGTAGCTGAGATTATAGGCATACGCCACCATGCTTGGCTAATTTTGTATTTTTAGTAGAGGCGGGGTTTCTCCGTGTTGGTCTCTCTGGTCTCAAACTCCCGACCTCCGGTGATCCGCCCTCCTTGGCCTCCCAAAGTGCTGGGATTACAGGTGTGAGCCACCGCACCCGGCCCAAATATTTCTTTTTTAAATGTTGGTGATAAAAGAAGTAGAAGAGACATCATCAGCCAGTGCATTGATCACAGTTTCTCTCCAGAGGAAATAGGATGTAGATATATCTAGAAAGAGATGTATTTTAAGAAATTGGCTCAAGCACTTAGAAAAGCTGGCAAGTCCAGAATCTGTAGGGTGAGCCAGCAGGCTGGAGACCCAGGAGAGTCAATGCTGCAGTTCAAGTCCAAAGGGATCCATCTGCAGAATCACCTCCCACTCCCAGAAAGTCAGTCTTTTGTTCTATTCAGGCCTTCACCCGATTAGACAAGGCCCACTCACATTGGGGAGGGCAATATGGTTTACTCAAAGTCCACTGATTTCAATGTTAATCTCATCCAAAAATGTCCTTACAGAAACATCCAGAATAATGTTTGATCAGATATCTGGGCACCATGGCCAAGCCAAATAGACACATAAAATTAACCACCATAAGCCAGAAGTATAACCAACTTTATCTCAGCACCCTTTGCCTCCAGTGTACCCCTTCCCTCTCTACACAACCCTTCAGTGTTGGTTCCAACAGCCCCTTGCCATGTCCTTGCTGGGTCCCTGTGTAGTAGATAAGCAAATAGGCTGGCATATCTACTATGCCAGTGGCATTAGGTGTAGGTTGCTGGCATCCTGCAGGTGGCTACACCCAGTTCAGGTACCCATCATGGCCAGGCAGTGTGGTTGGGGTGGCAGTCGTGGTGGGTGGTGGAGGACGTGGGGCTCACTCCCCCTTCTGCTCAGACCACAGGCAGAAATGGTCTCTGACGGGGGCAGGTGCAGGCAGCCATGCAGAGTCATGAGGGTCATGAAAACCAGGTGGCATTGGGGAGTTCTCAGAAAGAAAGTAATGCCCACACCTAAGGGCATCAGTTCACTCATTGCCTCATCTTTGGAAAACAATGTGCCCATGATCAGGCATTTTATGCTACACGCTCACGCAAAAGACAGCGAGTCAGTCATGGGCTACCTGCCAGATCTGCGGCCCCAGGGCCTGGATGTGCCCTAAGCCCACCCATGACTCACCCGTTAGCATCAGAATCTAAGGCGCAGAGTAGGACAGTGTGGGATGCCGGATGAGCGACAGGAATGAGGTGGCCCATGAGCCATAGTGGATTTCTGGGAAGAGTGGATAATGACTCCAAAGGCATGGGGTGGGAGTCCATTTGGGTCTCCAAAATAAAGCTCATTCACCTCCCTGACCACAATTCACTCTGGCTGAATGCACTTTTCCCCGCCGTTCATACTAATGCCTGTGCTTTGGGGTTTGCAACAAGGATGCCTGCAGACCTTAGACAGCAGTCCTGTGCTTAGGATCCAGGCTGGCTCAGAAAGGGGCCAGAGCCCTGGGCAGGGACGTTACCCCCGCCGCCCGCCAGAGGGCCCACTTCCGTCAGAAATCAGCCCCTGCGGAGGCGCCGGTCGCTGCCCCGAGGCCTAGAAGTGCCCATTTTGTGGCTGCCTCTTGGAAGGCTCTTTGTCTCGCTGCTGCCCTGCTCAGCCCATGTGTCCCCTTAGCACTTTCCTTGGCTTTTTGTGTGGGTCCGGGGAAAGAGCTCCATTCTGGGAGGCTGAGCCACAGTCCCAGATGAGCCTCTCCTGGGTGGCCAGAAGAGACCCCAGGGGCCCCCAAGCAGGAAGAGTTCTCTGCCTGATGCCAGAGTCCCCTCCTCCACATCCTTCCTCAGAGCTTACCTGGCCTTCCTGGGGCAGCTCACTCCCTCTGGAGGCAGCTCCATCCACTGAAAAGTAATGCCAGTCGGCTTTTACTAGGCGCCTGTCATCTGTCACATGGCGTCAGGCACTTTCCTTGCAAGGGGTTTACCCCTGGTGGGATGCTGCTGTTCTTACGTGGTGCTCGTGTGTAGCAGAACAAACACTGAATTAATGATGATGGATGAATAAGCAAATTAACTGATTGCAATCTACATTTTACAGACAAGGACTGGAGGCGTAGAGTTGTTGAATAAATTGCCCTCAGTTACACAGCTAAGAAGGTGAAAATGCTGGAATTCAGATAAAAATTGGTCAGACTCTAAATCCAGGATCTGTGCCTAGCTGTCTGTGATCCCTTGCTCAAACCCTTCCCAGGACATCATAATTAGAAAGTGCTTTCTTCTTCTGAGCCGAAATCTGTCTCCCCGGAGGTTCCATTAATAGGTTCAAGGTTCTTTCCCTTGGTGTCCGAGCAAAAGGAAGCAGCCCAATGCTTTTCCGTATTAGCTTCTTACTTATGTGAAGGAAGTGCCAACCTCTGGGACTTTGATTTTCTACATACAGAATCTGAGGCTCAGAGAGGGGCAGCGATCTTATGAATCACCTGCAAGTTCTGGACCTGCGTTTAGAGTGTTGAGTGCTCATTCATGCAGTTCCCTGGGTTCCCACAGAAGAGAGAAGGTGGATTTTTGAAAAGTGGGATTCAGTGAACAGCATTGCTGCAAAATCACCTAAATCGCCTTCCTGGTATGTGATCCTTGGGTTCTTTTTGTTGATAACAGTACCTTCCAAGAGAAGATTGAGTGGTTCACGAGTAGTTACTCCTCCTGCCCAGTGAACAAGAGGAGATTTGGAGAGAATGGCTGTGGCGTGCAATATACTTTTTGTGCATCAAACTTCTGGGGAAGCAGGGCTGCATCCCAGGAAAGCCGGGAAGGCTGAGGTTGTGAGATGTGATTGGCCTTGGGCAGTGGGTCTTTCTGACTTCTATCAGGGGCATGGGAACTAGAAGTGGCCCTCCTGGAATGCACTGCAGACCGTCGTTTTGTGTCTTTGCATAGCCTGGCTTCTGTGGAAGGTCAATGCCCATCTGCAACACAGCAGCAGGGAGGTGCGGCCTTTGGGCCAGTGTCCTTCCTCAGGAGCAGCTGCATGCATGTCTCTAGCCCATGCCTTTTCCTTCTCATGGTCTCAAAGCTCTGGGTTCCTTCAAGAGGCACTGGGAGGAGCTTGCAGCCCTCTCCTGCCCCTCTACCTGGCAGTCACAAATACTACATCTACACCAGCACAGTCTCATCAGATCTCCGTGGTGTCAAAATTGTTAGGCTGTGCTCTGCACAGTGCTTTATGGAAAACCGCTCCCTGCAGAAATAAGTATAGGAAATACTGCCTGGAGAGTGACATGCCTGGGCGTATATTAATGATGTTTCATGTTCCATTATGAAGAACCTGTTGAAATGTGTTTAACTTGGTATTTCTCAAATCGTCATGTTGTTGTCATTGATTTTCTTCTCTCCTCCCCCTTCTCCCTCCTCCTCTTCCTCTCCCTCCATTTCTTTTTCTTCCCTTCCTCCTCTTCCTTCTTTTTTCATGAAACATCTATTTATATCTCGTAGGAGATAGTTTTGAAAATATTTCTCTGACCCATTTCTGACAGGGAGGAGATTGAGGAGATGAACTCTTTCTTTTCTTTCTTTCTTTCTTTTTTTTTTTAAGATGGAGTTTCACTCTTTTTGCCCAGGCTGGAGTGCAATGGCGTGATCTCGGCTCACCGCAACCTCCACCTCCCGGGTTCAAGTGATTCTCCTGTCTCAGTCTCCCGAGTAACTGGGATTACAGGCGTGCGCCACAATCCCTGGCTAATTTTTTGTATTTTTAGTAGAGATGGGTTTCAACATGTTGGCCAGACTGGTCTCAAACTCATGACCTCAGGCCTCCCAAAGTGCGGGGATTACAGGCTGTTTAATGATGTGAGCCACTACCCCCGGCTGGAGATGAACACTTTCCCCAGTACAGGAGTCTGGAAACCAACTGCCTCCTGCCTGGAATCTGAGACAGGGATGGAAAAGCAGGGATGGGGAGGAGGGGATGGAGACGGAGGGAGCCCGGGGTATCTGCATGCCAAATCCGTGCCCTGTCGCCTCCATCTTGTTCAGAATTGGAATTTCTGCCTCAGTTTCCTGTTCAATACTTGAGCTCCTGTCTGCGACTGGAGGCTATATGACTGTCTGACTCTGTCCTAAACCAAATATTTGGAAGCTCCTCTGCCCTGTGGACTCCAGGCATTTCTCCAGTCCATGACTCCTTGCTGTCGGTCACTCCTACCCACCTGGAGAGGATTTCTTATCTTATTAAAGTAAGAGCTGCAGTATGTTCTAGATGTTTTAATTGAATGCAATCCTTGTAAAAATAATGACTATTTCCCAGTACTAGCTTTATTTTCCAGATGAGGAAACGGAAGTTCAGAATGTGCAAGCCACTTGCCCCAAGTCATCCAGCAGAGGTAGATGTGTGAGTGCCTGCTGTATCAGCCTGCGGGGAAGGCTGTAGTTCAGCACTGGGAGCGGCAGCAGGGTGGTCTCAAGGCCATCACACAGGGCTGCCCATGCCTAGAGGGGCTCTTAGTTGGTTGAATACTCTGCCATCATTGGCAATGCTTACGAGTGTTGTCATTAAACTTGCATCTTGCAAGTAAAGTCTGCTAAGTCAATGGAGCATGCAAGTGAACACAGATCTGCCCACATTTCAGCCTCTCCCCTTACTTTTCTGTTTTTGTTGTTGTTGTTGTTTTTTGTGAGACGGAGTCTGGCTCTGCTGTCAGGCTGGAGTGCAGTGGTGTGATCTCAGCTCACTGCAGCCTCCACCTCCTGGGTTCAAGCTATTCTCCTGCCTCAGCCTCCCGAGTAGCTGGGACTAGAGGCACACACCACCATGCCCGGCTAATTTTTGAATTTTTGTAGCGGTGGGGTTTCACCATGTTGGCCAGGATGGTCTCGATCTCTTGACCTCGTGATCCGCCCGCCTCGGCCTCCCCAAGTGCTGGGATTACAGGCGTGAGCCACCACACCTGGCTCCCCTTGCTTCTCATTTGCATATTACTCAAGGCTCCAGGAGCACAGCATTGCAGTCCCTGAGCTCCAGGCGTGAGTGAGGCTGAAAGGCTGCACAAGCAAAGCACCCTACTTCTAGAACTGGCTACGGGAGGCACGGATGGCCCTGAGACACCACCTTTCCTTTGGAACCAGAACTTGCTCCAAACATGAAAAGAAGGCAATAGAAACATGAACAGCCGAGGGATCCCTATCATATCATTTCTCTGTGGGGGTCACCTAATTATGCTGAAAATATGATACAGAAGTCAAAGATTAGATGAGGAAACCCACAGTTCCTTTCCCGTCAGTCCTTCCTTGCTGGTCAGCAGGCCGGAAATCAGAGGTGGAGAGTGTTATGGAATGTGTGCAGACCACGAAGGGAAATAGAAAGAGCTGAGTTACTTTTGGGTCGCACTTCCACTGCCTGGTCAGACCAAAATACATTCGCATAGAGTAGCAAGCTATGAAATACAAACTGTGTGGTCTTGGTAATTCTGTATATGAGTTAAAGGGCCTTATTGGCATTTAAAATTGGCATTACGCAATATAATAAGGGATAATAACACTTAGCTAGTAATGTAAAATTCTAATTTTTCTTTACTTAGAACAATATTAAATACTATATAAAAACCCTGATAACAGGCTGGGCACGGTGGCTCATGCCTGTAATCCCAGCACTTTGGGAGGCTGAGGCGGGTAGATCACGAGGTCAGGAGATCGAGACCATCCTGGCTAACACAGTGAAACCCCATCTCTACTAAAAATACAAAAAAAGAGCTGGACGTGGTGGCGGGTGCCTTGTAGTCCCAGCTACTCGGGAGGCTGAGGCAGGAGAATGGTGTGAACCCAGGAGGCAGAGCTTGCAGTGAGCCGAGATTGCGCCACTGCACTCCAGCCTGGGCGACAGCGAGACTCCGCCTCAGAAAAACTAAAAAATAAAAAAAAATAAAGCCTGATAACTTGAGAGAGAAAGACAGAGATTGTGGAAGAAAGGAAAAAACTTGATATTTCAGTACCAGCACCTTTATCCTGCTTTTTGAACAAGACACCCCGAATGTGCGAGCCACTTGCCCCAAGTCTGGGACTGGTTCGTAGCCGGTCCCAGAAAGAATATCTTAAAGTTGAAAGGGAGCTTGGAGCATTTTCCTCTAACACTCTCATTTTACAGATATGGAACCTGAGCCCAGGAGCAGGGCGCTGTGTGAACGAGTGACAGTTGCTCATATATCCACCTTCCTGGTCGTGGCCCCTGGCCCCATGTGGCCCTGGTTCAGGCTCTGCAGGGCTGGCAAGCCGCCCACAGGAGGGGCTTTTCTCAGAGGCTGCCTTGGGCCCAGCGTTCTCTAAGGTTCTGCTCTGAGGGCAGAGGCTGCCTTTTTCACTGTTTTCTGAGAAAGGCCCAGAAACCCCTGCCCCCTCCCCAGCAAAGTCTCTTTAGCCATGTGAAGTCCCATGCTGGGAGGCCCGTGGCCCACCAAAGCCCCTCATTATGGCTGACACAATGCAAGAATGTCCCACTCAGCCTGGAATCCCGGCCGTATTCACTGTATTGTACCCGGAGAAAGAAGGGCGCCTTTAAGTACGGGGAAAAGAAGGGGGCATGTCTCGCCGTGAGCATAAGAGCTGGTGCCCACCCTTTGGTGCCTGGGGCCTCTGCTTTCCCACGGCTCCTGCCCTCTGGCCTTGGCCTCATCCTACTGGCTTTGAATCTGAAGGGCGTTTCCCAGGGTGACCTATTAGAGCATCTTGGGTGCATGAAAAAGAAAGGTGCTTATGTTGGAGAGGAAACCGGGCTGTGGGCATAGAAGGCTGAGCTGGGGTGGGCCGGGCCTTGGGAGGGGCGGGGAGCAGGTGGGGACTGGGAGGGCAGCTGGCCTGGGAAATTCTCTCAAGGGCCCACTTTGGAGCAGAGCTGTTGACTTTGCTTCAAAGATCTTTTCCAGCACTGCTTTTTCTCCCAGATTGGAAGCCTTTCATTTGTTCGACCTCTAACCAAATCTGTTTGGTCATCCCTTAAAACTACCCCCTCTCCTTCTTCTTTCCTTCTCCCCCATCTGACTGGCCCTCTGCTCTTGGTTGAGTCAGGACAGCAAGGAAGCATCCTCTGCCATTTTCCCCAGCCTGCCTGTTCCAGCCCCAACCTGTCTCTCCCATAGTCCCTGACCTCTTTGCAGCCTGGGATCAGCACTGACCTTGAGTCTGCCCCTAACTTAAGACAGAAGGGACTTCAGCTCCAAAGGCATCCTGGTGCTCACTCACACTGAGGCTTGGTCTTATCTGCTACTCCAGTGCTAACATTGGGGCCAACCACTCTCAGGTGTCTTACAGCCACTTTTTTTTTTTTCGTTTTCTTTCCTTTCTTTTTTTTTCTTTTGAGGTGGAGTCTCGCTCTGTCACCCAGGCTGGAATGGCATGAACTCGGCTCACTGCAACCTCCACCTCCCAGATTCAAGTGATTCTCCTGCCTCAGCCTCCTGAGTAGCTGGGACTATAGGCACCCGCCATCACACCTGGCTAATTTTTTGTTGCCGTTGTTGTTGTTTAGTAGAGATGGGGTTTTACCATGTTGGCCAGGGTGGTCTCAAACTCCTGACCTCAAGTGATCCACCCACCTCTGCCAAAGTGTTGGGATTACAGGCGTGAGCCACCGCGCCCAGCTGACTTTTTTTTTTTTTCTTGTAGTGAAACTCCCTCCTTATGGTGTGTGTGGCCTCCTGGTGTATGAAAAGACTCATAAGACTCAGATGCAAGCTTGAATTTTGGATTGGCCACTTTCCAGCTGTTGGAACTTGGATGAGTGTCTTAACTACCCTGAGCCTCCAAATTAGGGTTGTTGAGAGGATTAAGTAGATCAGATCTTCTAAACTGTAATCTCTGGGGTGGGGACTTGGAATCTCTCCAAAATGTTCCAAGGTGATTCTAAAGACCAGACAAATTCTGGGACCACCAACAAAAGAGACACACAAATAAATAGCAAAAAATCTCATAGTAGTGACAAGGGAGAGGGATAATTCCTTAAGTTTAGATCTTTGGTTATCAAGAAAGTTTATTTTTCATAAACAGTAGTTACCCGGGAGGGAAAGATAGTCGATCCTCTGGGAAACATCAATGGTGTCACTAAAGAGGACACTTGAGAAGGCAAATGGCAGTAGGTTAGATAAGGGGGACAGCCTGAAGGACATCCCAGGGCCACAGAGCCTGGAGAAAGGAAGAAGGCCAGGGCCTTCCCTTTGCAAACCCAGACAAAGCCCTGGTTCACAGTGTCAGGCGCTGTGGTCCAAGGACACATGTTTCGGAACCATGCAGAGACTTTGTCAAAGAGCAGATGACTGGGCTTCACCCCAGACCTCTGCGCCAGCATCTTCGGGGTATCTCTGCCAAATCCAAGACCTGTTAAAGTTGGACAGTGAATTGCCTGGAGTTGCTAAGGTCTCTTCTAGCTCTGATGTTCCAGCACAGCGTTCTCCAAAAGATGCCTTATTTGTGTAGAAAAATATGGAGCGTATATCCCAATGAATGTATTTTATTTTATAAAGTACGCACGAGTATGTCTCTAAATGCTAATATGTTTTGTATAAGATGTACTCACAAATAAAAACTTGAAAGTTGTTATAAAAAATAAAAAGAAAGTCAGGCCGGGTGCGGTGGCTCACACCTGTAATCCCAGCAATGTGGGAGGCCTGAGGCGGGCGGATCACGAGGTCAGGAGATCGAGACCATTCTGGTTAACACAGTGAAACCCCATCTCTATTAAAAATACAAAAAATTAGCCGGGCGTGGTGGCAGGTGCCTGTAGTCCCAGCTACTCGGGAGGCTGAGGCAGGAGAATGGCGTGAACCCGGGAGGCGGAGCTTGCAGTGAGCCGAGATCGCGCCACTGCACTCCAGCCTGGGCAACAGAGTGAGGCTCCGTCTCAATAAATAAATAAATAAATAAAAAATAAAAAAAATAAAAATAAAAAGACACTCAAATGCAATAAAAAAAACTGCCATAAGGAGATCAGCTGGGGCTCAAAAATTTTGATCACGTGAAATATGGGGTCTTGTAAAAGTTAAAGAAAAGCAATTTTTTAATTGGTCTGAAATGTCATAAAAAAGCAAAAGGGAAAAAGATAGTGAAACTTATATCCAACTGACCGAGCACAAACAGAAAGTCTAGACCTTCATGAGGCTGACAATCATTTCCTGATTGTCATTTCCAGAGACTCTGTGTGGTGGGCATGTCCTTAATCTTTGGAAGCAGAGTGAGCTCCCTTCTACCCCTGCCTTGCCCAGGGAGCCTGAGGTCTGGGATCATTCAGGGATTGCAACCTCCCACCTGAGTTTACTTTCACTCTGCAAATATTTGTCGGGAGGCTTTCCCACCCCTCAGCGAAAGGTAGGTGACTGCAAAGCCAGGCCGGGCATGTGAGCACAGGCAGTTTGTCAAAATAACTGATACTGCTAAGCCAGCGGGCTGGGACAATGGATGTTTGCAGAGCAGATGGGGGAGGACATGTAATTCCTATAATACAGACACAGGCATGTAATTTAGGAAAGTGGATTTGTTTTTCTTGAATAACAGGGACGGATAATGCCATGCCATGTAGCCAGGACTGTCTCTGGAAAATTCAGACATTATTATTTCTCTGTCCTGCCTTTCCAGCTCTGGCTCTACAGGTGTCCATCATAGGATGCAATCCTCCAAGCCCGTCCTCACTGGCCTCCTGGCCCCCGTCTCGTCACCCTCCAAGTTGCTGCTATGGACACAGATCAACCTCTGGGTGCAGCGCACCTGGCAGTGAGGTGTCAAGCGAGCCTTCAACCTCTCCCCACATCAATTTTCTCACCTTGACATTGGGGATCAGAGTGCCTATTGTGTATCCACTCATCCATTCATTTCAAGCATGTTCATGGAGCACCCATCACATGTCTTCCAAGCAACGACAGAGGAGATGTGAGGACCGACTGTAACAACCTAAGAAAGCACTGAGCAAATGAGAGATGCTCCACATATGTGGCTCTTTCACTTTCTCTTCTTTCCCAAAACACCAGTTTATAAATCAGCATCACAGCTCCAAAGCCTCTGTGTGTCTTTTCCCCTGCCAAGGATAAAGTCCATATTTCTTTGTTGACCTTTAACATTTAAGATATCTAAGACAAATCTATCTATCTATTTATTTATGAAAATTTAAGCTGTACACACCCTTTGACCACCTGGGGCCACTTCTTGGAAGTCCCCTACTTCCCATTCCACCCCAGTATACACAAACATAGATACACAGCAGAGTGATGTGTGTGTGTGTGTGTGTGTGTGTGTACATAAAGTTGTTTATGGAAGCACGTTTAAAGAAATGGGAATAACCATCTATCAGCTAAGCAATCATGAAGAAAACTGCAGTACTTCCACATATCAAGCTTAGTGAAGCTCTGCCTAGCATGGTATCTGGCATACTGGCATACAGTGGACACAGAATATCAGCAGAAAGAAAGTACAGACAAATAGAATACCAGGTGACCATTAGCAGGATAAGGCAGATCTAAATGAATCAACATTGACAGGTGCCCAAGATATATTGTTAGGTATTAAAAAAATCATGCTGCAGAATAGGACGTATAGACAGTCTGTCTCTATTTTACACAAAAGGATGTGTCTGTGTCTGTACCAGACTAAACATCTTTGAATGCACAGAAAATGTCAAGAAAGCTACCAAAAATAATTACTTCAGCAAGGATTCTTGGAAAGATAAATGGAGGATCCGCCTTTACCAGTCTGCTTTGTTGTTGTTTTTTTTTTTTCCAATTTAACAACATATCATGGACATCTCTCCATAGTCATGAACATTACCCCTATGTCACAATTTAAATGACTTACGGTCATTTGCTTAAGCAATCCCCTAGGGTTGGACATTTGATTATTGCCAGTTTCTACTCTTATAAACAATGCTGAGCTGAACATTCTTGGGAATATATTTTTGCCCACAAATAATATATTCCTGAACATATCATTGTTAATTTTATTGGTGTTACTTCTGGCTGTCTTTGATCACTGCATGCCACTTGATTGATTTCAAAATTAGGGATTGATTTCAAAATCTCAGCTTTTTCTTAGCTCTAAGACAGAATAAACTAACCTTATCTGTGAAATGGAAGTTTATAAAATGAGATGTTGCCAGCTAAGATGATGTAGGGCAATGACAGGGAAGATCCCTTGGCATGAACAGTCATGCCACCCCTAGGATGCCCAGGAATCATAGAAGGAAGGGAATCAATAAAAGGAAGGAGTTGTTGATGTAACTGATTCAACTTCAAAAATAGGGAAGCCCAGGGCATGGGAACCCTGAACAAGGGAAGAACCGGACTTGGGAATTAAGTGGCTTTAGCTGGGTCCCGCCATCAGCTAATGGCACTGTCTTTTTGGCTGAACTGTTTTAAATGCTACATGGGGTGAGACCAAGTAGGAAGGAGATTCTGATTAGCCAGGAAACCAGAATTTGACTTTTCAGGCAATAGTCGCAACTAACTTTTCAGAAATCAGAGAATCTTAGTGCTAAAAAGGAAGATTTTAAGTCATTTTTCAGGCTGAAATAGAGATGACAGTGCACAACTCTAGAAAACAGACTTAGATTTGAAGTCAGGTTCTCACCCTTCCAGTTGAGCAACTCTGGAAAGTTCTTTAACCACCCCAAGCCTTCATTTCCATATTCGCAAAACAAGGATGTTATCATCATCCTGCCAGGTATGGAGCACATTATAAATAAGACACATGATGTCTGTGTCAGGCCTCTCAGCCCAAGCTAAGCCATCATATCCCCTGTGACCTTCACGTAGACATCCAGATGGCCTGAAGTAACTGAAGAATCACAAAAGAAGTGAAAATGGCCTGTTCCTGCCTTAACTGATGACATTACCTTATGAAATTCCTTCTCCTGGCTCATCCTGGCTCAAAAGCTCCCCCACTGAGCACCTTGTGACCCCTGTCCCTGCCTGCCAGAGAACAACTCCCTTTGACTAATTTTCCTTTACCTACCCAAATCCTATAAAAAGGACCCACCCCTATGTCCCTTCGCTGACTCTCTTTTCGGACTCAGCCCACCTGCACCCAGGTGAAATAAACAGCCTTGTTGCTCACACAAAGTCTGTTTGGTGGTCTCTTCACATGGATGCGAGTGAAAGTCTGGACGTGTATCTGGCACTTAACCAATGACCGTAGTTATCGATATTATGATGTTGCTTTCTTTTCTTGAGAAGTTAAGGAGTCCTAGGAGGAGACATAGGTCAATGATTAAATCTAAGTCATGCAGTAGTTCTTCCTTCCTCTGGGACAGGTGCTGTCCTGGGCACTGGGGACCTGGAAGTGACAGAATTTCCTGCCCTCCTGGACCTTTTTCTGGTGGATGAGACAAATAATAAACATATACATAAAAGATCCGTAGTCAGACAGCTCTAAGGGCCTTGAAGAATGGAAAACCCCTGTAGGGAACAGAGAAAGAGGTGTGGCTAGTGTGGAGGGGTGGCTGTGAAGTTCTCCCTGAGGAGGGCCTTTGACCTCAGGGAGAGAACTGGACCCCTGAGGAGGGCTCCAGCCAGAGGGTTGACAGCAGAAACCCAGTAGCAGAACCCAAAGTGGGGCTACCTGGTTGGAGGCAAGGCGAGGAGACCATGGTGGTCGCAGCTCCACTGTGGGGAACCCACCACAGTGTTACCGATTGAAGGTGTCCAGGTTCTTGCCGTCTTGAACAAAGAATTGGACAAAATGCACAAATGGAGGGAAGCAAAAGCATAGATTTATTTGAAACAAAAGTACACTCCACAGTGTGGGAGCAGCCTGAGCACAGTGGCTCAAGAGCCCCAGTTACACAATTTTCTGAGGTTTCCATACTCTCGAGGTTTCCCACTGGTTCCTTGGTGTATGCTCTACGTAAATGAAGAGACTGAAGTGAAGTTACAAAGTCATTCACTCGGAATGCACAACCTATGTAAATGGAGAGGATGTTATTTGGTGTGTGTGGTCTACGTAAATGGAGAGGATGAAGAGAAGTTACAAAGCCATTTGCATTCCCATCATTGCGGAAGTGCTTCCATTTGCTTTAGTTCTAGGAAGTCATTGTGGGTAGGCCTTCTGTTCCCTGCCTCCAGGCCCCTATTCTCCTGCCTCAACAGATGGGCCTTTGGCTAAGGAACACTGAGGCCTGGTCTTCTCTATTTCATTCTAAGCACATGGGGTGGGGGTGGGGTGTGTGTGGTGGGGGAGTAGGGAAGGAGATTGGATTTACTCTTTCCAAGCATCTCTCTGGTGGGGGTGGTTGGGGGAGAATCGCCTGGGGTAGGGGAGGGAGGAGGTTGACCAGACTCCGTTTGAGTAGATCTTCATTTCAAACGCACCCCTGTTCCCTAAAGAAAACCAGGGTGACAGGGCTTTTAGGCAACTAAAGCCAAAGGCAGAGAAGCCTACGGTGCTGCTTCCTGGAGAAAACGCAGTTATTCAGTTTGTAGTCATCACTGGGTGTTCTCACCCAGACACTTTTATCTGAAAGCTCTGAGACTGAGGCGTCCATGCTTGCCCGGGCCCTCCTGTGGGATGCAGCTGTGGGAGGTTCCAGCTCAGGATGGCTGATCCAGGCAGGCTGGGCAGACCCAGGCTGGCCGCCCAGGGCCCAGGTGCAGAACCAGGCCCAACTTTCCAAGACCAAGTGTTTCAGGAAGCTGTGGTTATTTGCCCCACATGGGAAGAATCAGGTTTTCAAAAACCCAAGAAACATTGCAAACCTTATTTTATATTTTTGCTAGATATCGATGTGGGTACATGAACTTATAGAAATAAATAGAGTGTTACTATAAGTAATCTGTTCTACTCTTTAAAGGAATAATGCAACAAAACTGAAGGCAATTTTATCAAGTAAAATATTGTAGCATGTATATTATTTTAAAAACAAAATGTCATGTTACGGAAACCTACCAAAGTTTTCATCTCTGTGAAATGTGCGTGAGGGATGGTTTTGACAGATCTCCGAGAAGGTTAAAAACCAAACACTTAATGATTTGATAGAAATAAATTCTTAGCACATATTAAGCTGCTTCTATACACGTGGCAATTTTGCTAGATGCTATGGGAGATCCACATATCCCCTGCCCTGGGGAGTTGTATAATCAACCTGAGACAAACAAAATCTAAACTCATAAAGAGCCAGTTGGAATTCCAGTGCTTTGCCGCTGTCAAATAGGTAGGTGTACGATCAGTTTCATGCATTCACTCAACATATTTAGAGGAGTGCGGAACAATTACCACATTGTTCTAGGCATTTAACAGTAAGTAAAGCAGAAACAGCTCCTTCCTTCAGGGAACTTACATTTTGGGTCAGGTTGAGGGTTGGGGGTTAGGAGACCACCATATAATTAATAAAAGAACCGTACTAGAAGGTGTACAGTTTTCTAGAGGCCACCTACAGTTCACTGAGCACTTGCCTATGTCAGGCTCTGTGTTGGGTGTGGGAAGTCCACGAGTCGAGAGAGGACCCATGACTTCTAGAAGCTTCCAGACTTGTAGACACAAGGGCTGAAGGGACTCAGGGGAGGAAGACAAAGGCCATTGGCATGTTGTTGTGTAAAATATCCTGCATGCAAGAATGGAGAGATCAGAGATGGCAGGGGTGGTGTCCGGGGTGTGAACAGAGAGGAGTCAGGCCTCGAGGTCAAAGGGCCATGACTACATGGGGGAAATCTGACGCAGGGTGAGGTGTGGGTCTGGAGGGGAGGGGCCTCTCACTCAGAGCCTTGGTGAAAGTGACTGGAAGCTGAGAGTTAGATCCATGTGGGGGTTCCATCCAACCTCCCTCTCCCCTCCTTAACCAGGTGCAGTTTAGTTGCCTGGAACTTCCTCCAGGCCTTTGTGAGGATAGCACGATATGGAGCAGAAGAATTCTGCTCTCAAGACCCAGGTCAGCATTCCGCTTGAGAAGGGCCGGGGCCTTCTCTTTCCTTCTCTGTGTCGCCGGTTCTTCATGGGTAAAACAGGGGAATAAAACCTGGTGGCTCCTAGTCCTCTCTCTAGCTCCACAGCCTGTGGTTTCTGTGAGAACTTTACATTTGCTTCACTCCCAACCCAGCCTTCCCACAGGATTCACTGGTTTGCAACCGTTGTGTGGTCTATCAGAGTCTTTGCAGTATTCCTCCCTGTCTATCTTTGTAAACCCTTCTAAAACTTGTGCTTCGTAAGTTCCCTTCCCCTGCACTCTGTCAAGGATCTTCAATTCATCCTGGAGTTCTTTTCCGTCTTAATCTGTTCTCACACTGCTAATAAAGACATACCCGAGACCGGGTCATGTATAAAGGAAAGAGGTTTAATGGACTCACAGTTCTACATGGCTGGGGAGGCCTCACAATCATGGCAGAAGGCAAAGGAAAAACACAGGCACTTTTTACGTGGCAGCAGGCTAGAGAGCTGTGCGGGGGAACTGCCCTTTATAAAGCCATCAGATCTCTTGAGACTTATTCACTATCACGAGAATAACATGGGAAAAACCTGCCTCCATGGTTCAGTTACCTCTCACAAGGTCCCTCACACAACATGTGGGGATTATGGGAGCTACAATTCAGGATGAGATTTGGGTGGGGACCCAGACAAAGCCATAACACTTTCCTAATAAGAGTGTGAATCGCTAACAACAGTATAGGCCAGCGCCAGAAGATTATTTAATAATTGCCATCCATGCTTAGGGAAAATAAAGCATATATGATAAAAAGCTTGAGGACAATATAGAAGAGAAAAGTGATGGCCGGGCGCAGTGGCTCACGCCTGTAATCCCAGCCCTTTGGGAGGCCAAGGCGGGCGGATCACGAGGTCAGGAGATCGAGACCATCCTGGCTAACACGGTGAAACCCGTCTCTACTAAAAATACAAAAAAAATTAGCCAGGTGCAGTGTCAGGCACCTGTAGTCCCAGCTACTCGGGAGGCTGAGGCAGTAGAATGGCGTGAACCCAGGAGGCACAGCTTGCAGTGAGCCAAGATCAGGCCACTGCAGTCCGGCCTGGGCGAAAAAGTGAGACTCTGTCAAAAAAAAAAAAAAAAAAAAAAGAGAGAGAAAAGTGACATGTGACCTATGGGTCATTTTTCTTAGTTACTTTTTAGTCATAGAAAACAAAGTGGAAAAATATATAACAAGCCTAAACAATGATTTGCTTTTGGTAATAGTATTATGCGTATTTGTCTTACTTTTGCTTCTCAATATTTTCATGTATTTTTTCCAATGAAAATATTTTAATTTTGAATTAAAATAAAAAGTCTCATGCTTCCAGGAAGCTTCTCCATCACTTGAGCCAACTTTCACCATTTTCTTTTTCTTACAAATTCTTAGGAGCCCACAAGCAGTCTACCATGTCTGCCAATTGTATATAATCTTAGCTTTCTCTGTTGTGTTTCATTGTGTTTACCTCTTGTTTCTCCAAGTAGATTATAAGAATCTAAAGAACAGAGGAAGCAGTATTTATTTGGCTGCCTCTATTGTACTTGGCAGATCCATATGGAAACCATTTCACGAGCATCTTCTATCTGCCAGGTCTGGGGCACCTGTTATATCATGACTCTTTTGCAACAGATCCTTAAGGGTGGAAGGTTATAGTCTGCACTTTAAGATGTTAGAACTGAATCTCAGAGAAGTTAAGGAACTTTCCTGAGACCCTTAAACTAACCCACATTACATGGTTCCAACAAAGAGCTTGTCCCTGGTTCCATGCCCAGCTGGGCAGCTCATGAGTGTTTGGTATTCTGAAACCTCCTATCCTCCCTGTGGAGTGTGTGTCTCCCAACCATGCCAGTTTGGTCCCATCACTGTTTTGTGGCTTTCATATAATCTGTCAGTCCTGTGAATCTTAAAATGTCAATCTCATATCTGATTGAGAACCGATAGGCCGGACCTGTGTGAGTCATTTAGAGTGAGGCTTTCTCTCTGCCATTCATTCTTTTATTGTTTGTTTGTTTTGAGACGGAGTCTCACTCTGTCGCCTAGGCTGGAGTGCAGTGGCGTGACTTTGGCTCACTGCAACCTCTGCCTCCTGGGTTCAAGCGATTCTCCTGCCTCAGCCTCCTGAGTAGGGATTACAGGCACCCCCCACCATGCCTGGCTATTTTTTTTGTATTTTTAGTAGAGACAGGGTTTCATCATGTTGGCCAGGCTGGTCTCAAACTCCTGACCTCAGGTGATCCACCTGCCTTGGCCTCCCAAAGTGCTGGGATTACAGGCATGAGCCACTATGCCCAGCCATTCTTTTGCTCATTTATTCAAACATTTCACAAATACTGTTAACACCTTTCATGTATCAAGCACCAAGGTAGGTGTGGAGGTATGGCAGTGAACAAGATGATGTATTTACTGTCTTCATAGCTATTAAAGTCAAATTCAAAGGCAGAAAACACAGTTTTTTGTTTTCTTTTTGTTTGTTTGTTTTTTTAAAGGAAGAGGTCGGGCATGGTGGCTCATGCCTGTAATCCCAGCACTTTGGGAGGCTGAGGTGGGTGGATCACCTGAGCTCAGGAGTTCGAGACCAGCCTGACCAACATGGAGAAACCCCGTCTCTACTAAAAAATACAAAATTAGCCAGGCATGGTGTCACATGCCTGTAATCCCAGCTACTTGGGAGGCTGAGGCAGGAGAATCGCTTGAATCAGGGAGGCGGAGTTTGCAGCGAGCCGAGATCGCACCATTGCACTCCAGACTGGGCAATAAGAGCAAAACTCCATCTCAAAAATAAATAAATAAAGGAAGGAAGAAAAAGAAGAATACAAAAGTTCAATAAGTGAGAATTTTTTAAAAGGGTTGGCAGGCCCTCACGAATACCCTGTCCCAACCACTAGAATTTTAGAATGTAAAGAGATTCCACCCTGTGATTGTGTTATGCTCTATGGCACAAGTGGCCTTAATATAGGGGGATTACTGTGTAGGCAAAATCTAATCACATGTGTCCCAAAAAGCTGAAAACTTTCTCTGGCTGGTGGTATGAGGCAGAAAAAGAAAAGAGAAGCTGGGCGCGGTGGCTCGTGCCTGTAATCCCAGCACTTCGGAAGTCGAGGCGGGTGGATCACGAGGTCAGAGGCTCGAGACCAGCCTGGCCGATATGGTGAAACCCCATTCTCTACTAAAAAATACAAAAATTATCCAGGTGTGGTGGCATGTGCTTGTAGTCCCAGCTACTCAGGAGGCTGAGGCAGGAGAATCGCTGGAACCCGGGAGGCGGAGGTTGCAGTGAGCCACGATTGCACCATTGCACTCCAGCCTGGGTGACAGAGTGAGACTCTGTCTCAAAAAAAAATAAAAAGATAAATAAAAAAAAAATAAATAAATAATAAAAGAAAAGAGAGCAGCCTCCAGTGGCCTGGATGAGGACACTGTCAGCAGTCAGCTATCCTTGGGGCTGCTGCAGTAGGAGGGTGACTTCTGGAAGCTGAGAGCAGCTCCCCGCTGACAAGTAGCAGGAAAACAGGATCCTTGGTTCCTCAGTGGCAGGGAACTGGATGAGGTCTTCCAACAACCTAAGGAAGTTTGGCAATGGATTCTTCCCCAGAGACTTCAGAAGGAGACTTAGCTGGGCCAACATTTGACTGCGGCCTTGGGAAACCCTGGAGAGGCGACTCATGATGGATACAGACAGGTTTCTATTTCCACAGAGAAATATAAATCATGACTGGCAATTACCTGAAAGTTATTCTGCTATTTACCTGTGACATTAATGATCACAGTGATAGAATGAGTGGTAGAAATGAAAAAAGAATTAAGTCATATGGGGACATTTTCTTACTCTCTGTTAAACGCATATCCACATATTTGTGTGTGTAATGATATATATGCAGATTTTCTGTTCCTGTTGAATACATCTTAGAAATGTGTCATCCTGGCAAAGAAACAGTCCAGAAGGGGAAGGAAGTGAGGCAGAGTGATTTTAAGAATTGTCTTTCCAGAATCCATGCCCAGCCTCGTGGTTGCTGGTTGCAGAGATGGAAGAACAAAGCGAATGCCTCCTAATGCCTTTCTTTGTGGTAGAGCATGATGTCTCCAGAGCTGTGGATCCATGTTCATGAAGAGATTTGGTTTTGGGAAGCAGCAGAGAGAAGGGTTTGGGAGCCAGTGCTGTGTATGCGCCCCTAGTCCTGCCACCTCCCTAAAGCTTGTGCACTCAGGTGTGAAGGCAGGTGCTGTAGGGTGGGGAGGAGCCCACCTGTCTACACAGGCTCACCTGTGCTTCTCCAACCGGTGGAGGCATTTATCCCTGTTTCCCAGCAGCAGCAGATGGGAAGGCTGGATATTGAGGGGTTGCCTGGAGTGGGGTGTGTGGTGGGGAAGATCTAGCCCTGTCCACCATGGTGGGTGGTTCAGATAGAGGCAGTCCCAGCTCAGGCTGGGAGCTGCAGGGAGTGGCATGTGCTGGGCCATGGATAGTGGCAGTGCAGGGGCTCGTGGTGGAGAGCAAATTCTGTTCCCAGAGCCAGGACCTGTGCTAGATCACAAGGGCCATCAGAAGGGAGAAGCTGTTTTGGGGACCCTATTGTGGCTGCCCCTCAAATGTGCCAAGTTCATTTTCTCAGTGAAGACTTTGCCCTGGCTCTTCCACCCTGGTATACTCCCTTTCAGTCCTCCCCGTGTCGTCTGCCCTCATTTCATTTAAGTCTCTATTGAAAGGACACCTCCCCCAAGAGGTCTTCCCAGACTTTGCCCCTACCTTGTCTAAAACAGGAGCAACCCAAGGCATCTCTGTTTAACCCTGTTCCTTGTAACTACCTGGATGTCCATGACACAATGTTTTGTATAATCACTATCACCCCCACGGGTGGTACACAAGCCCCATGAAGTTCCCGTTAGTTCCTCTTGTTGTCATATCCCCTGTGCCTGGCACATGCTAAATGACCACCACGGAGCCTGCTCCTCTCCAGCCATTGCTATGGCGCCCTGCATCCAGGGATAAAGCGGGTCATGTGGGAAGCGAAATAGCTGGCACTAGGCTGTAATGCTTTGGGGTCTATGGTAAGCTGAACTCTAGCCTTCAAAGATGCTCAGGTTCAAAATCCTGTGAATATGCGTGTTCCTTTACATGGTGAAAGGAACTTTGCAGGTGACAGTGAGTGATCTTGAGATGGGGTATGCTCCTGGGTCATCTGGTAAGCCCAATCTCATCACCAGGATTTTTATAAGGAGGGAGATGGAGATTTAACTGCAGTGGTGGGAGCTCTGGCAACAGAAGCAAGAAGTCAGAGTGATGCAGGGAGGGGCCACAAGGAAAGGAAAGTGGGGAAATTCTAGAAGCTGGGCTGGGCATGGTGGCTCATGCATGTAATCCCAGCAATTTGGGAGGCCGAGGTGGGCAGATCACCTGAAGTCAGGAGTTCAAGGCTAAAAAAAAAAAAAAATGGAGTTCAAGGCCAGCCCAGCCAACATGGTGAAATCCCGCCTCTATTAAAAATACAACAATTAGCTGGGAGTGGTGGCAGGTGCCTGTAATCCCAGCTACTTAGGAGGCTGAGGCAGGAGAATCACTTGAACCCGGGAGGTGGAGACTGCAGTGAGCCGAGATCGCATCATTACACTCCAGCCTCAGCGACAGAGCAAGACTCCATCTCAAAAAAAAAAAAAAAAAAAAAGAAAGAAAGAAAGAAAAAGAGAAAAAAAATTCTAGAAGCTGGAAGAGGGGCAAGGAACAAATTATCTCTTGCATCCTCCAGGAGGAACTCAGCCCTGCCACCACCTTGATCTTAACCCTGTAGGACTCATTTTGGGCTCCTGACCTCCAGAACTGCAAGATAATGCATTTATGTTGTTTCAAGCACAGAACTTTGGGGTAATTTTTTACAGTAGCAACAGAAAATGAAAACAAGGTCCAAGACTGCTCAATGTGGGTCCCCACCTGGGAGTCACACAGGGACAACTTTCTTCTCACTGTGAAACCGGAGGTGAAGCTCTCACGGAGATACGCGATTTGAGAGCAGCTAGCAGATTCCCAGGTCTTGTAACTTTGGCCAATGAAGGTAGCTTGGGTCAAAAAGAGCAGCTCAGTTGTAAAGAGGCCCTGTGGGGATCCACCTGGGCTTCACAGTCAAGTCCCTACCACCACCTTCCAGCCCACCAAGGAGTCCCAGAAAAACCGTAGAGGGGACTTCTGCAGAGGGATTTTTGTTTTTTTAACTGGGCAGTTGGGAGCTCAGAGCCCTTGAGATTCCATTAGCCATGGTAGGATGCCTGCAGTCCAGTTGCTGGAACGGTGGCTGATGTATATTTCCTTGGTTTTAAAAGCTGATTCTGTCCCTCCAGACTTTTGTTTCCTTTGGGGTCTGGATTATATTCTATCCAGCTTTGCACTCCCAATGTCTGACATTAGTAGGTTCTTAACAAATGTTAAAATAAACGGGGAAAAAAGCCCTTGGGGTCACGCATGGCTGGAACTTCAATTTCCCTTCTGATCTCCCTTTACTTTAGAGACCTCATTTTACCTGTGTCAACAAGTATGTGCTGGTGAGGCTCTACCTTGAACCTGGAGATGATGCTAGTTCTCTCTCTCTCTGACGTTCCAGAACTTATTCAACTGAGTAGTCTCCCAGCGCACCTCCCCTACCACCTCCCAACTGTGCCACTGGCAGCAGGCTCTGCAAGGCCCTGCCCTGGCCATGCTCCTGCCCCTCTAAGGCACTTCTGTGACTCCTGGTCCTCAGGACCAAGTCTGTCCCCTCAGCAGGCCTTGCCAGCCCCCTCATCTGTGCCCTGCTCCTCACCCAGCCTTGTCCCTGGCCATGGCCCTCCACAGGTCCCAGGGCACAGGAGACTCGACTCTCCACGGGCTCAAGTCTTTCCCTCTGCCTGGTGAGCTCCCAATTCCCCTTCCAGCCCTGATTCCAGGGCCTCCTCCTCTGCATGGTGGCTTTGCCCATTCTTCAGTCTTCCACCTGCTCAGCACACCTCTCCTTAGCCCTGAATATAGGGTTTGCACCCCTTACTTTGTTCTCTGACTCATCTTTTTTTTTCTTCATAGCACTTATTATAACTTATTGTAATTTAATGTTGTGGTCTCATCCCTCTTTTCTGTCTGTGTTCCCACTAGTGTTACCGGAAAAGGATCCCAATCCAGACTCCAGGAGAAGAATTCAAGGCAAGTTCATAAAGTGAAAGCAAATTTATTAGGGAAGTAAAGAAACAAAAGGATGGCTATTGCAGGCAGGGCAGTGGCACGGGCTGCTCGACCAGATATACTTATAGTTCTTTCTTGATTACATGCTAAACAAGGGGTGGATTATTAGTGAGTTTTCTGGGAAAGGGGAGGGGATTTCCCAGAACTGAGGGAAACTTTTAGACCACATAGGGTAGCGTCTGGACGTTGTCATGACATTTGTAACCTGTCATTGCACTGGTGGGAGTGTCTATTAGCATGGTAATGCATTATAATCAGCATATAATCAGCAGTGAGAATGACCAGAGGTCACCATCTTGGTTTTGGTGGGTTTTGGCCAGCCTCTTTATTGCAACCTGTTTTATCAGTGGGGCCTCTGTGGCCTGTGTCTTGTACCTACCTCCTATGTCATTCTGTGACAAGAACGCCAAACCTGCTGGAAATGCAGCCCAGTAGGTCTCAGCCTCATTTTATCCAGCCCCTATTCAAGATGGAGTTGCTCTGGTTCAATGCCTCTGACACTAGTGTGCCCAGAGGCGCACGCGCTGGGCTCTCGCAGGTGCAATCATTCTCTTCTCTGCGTCCCGCCCTCCTGGTAACTGACAAGCACCCATCTCAGCCCCTCACCTTTCTCGTGATACGGCCAGCCCTCTCTTCTACTTGATGGGCACCTGACATGGTGAGGGTGGTGGGGTTCAGTCAACACATGTGAAATGAATTTCCACAAGAGTGGCTGGAAAACAAGACCGGAGAGGGAGGAAGCAGCTGGATTTTTGAGCTCCCTGGGTCACAGAGGAGCCCGATACTGCCTGTTTATGAAATCGTTGCTACCCAGCAGGCAACCAAATAAAGACACCCCAGAGTTTAGGAGACAGATTGGGAGCTGGGGGTGGGGGAGGTCACACAGATTAAACCATGTTCTCATCTAGTTCAAAATACTCCTGCCTGGCCCATTTTTAGGAACAGTGCTCAGAAAGAAAAAGTAGAAGGGTGCCCCGGGCCTGCACCTGTTCATGGTCTGCCTTTGGGGGCTGGAAAGCCCATTAGCCAGGCGAGTGTCCTCATCAGGCCAACGTGGGCCCATATCCCTGCTCTGCTGGGGGCGCTGGCAGACTATAAAGGCTCTCTCCGAGGCTTCACTGTCCTCATCCCAAAAAGAAGGACGCGATGCCCCTGTCCTCAGAGCTGAAGTCACAGCCAGTGAACAGGGCTGCCTGTAGGTGGAGCCCCTGGCACAGAGGGGTGCGCGTTACCTGCTCTCACCTGCTCAGACAGGAGGGGGCCTCTCAGATCTGGAAAAAGAGCCAAGCGCGCCCCCTCCCCAGGCCCCCTGGTGGCGCCAAACTTCCCAAAGTTTCGGGCAGCTGCGGCACTAGTCGGTGGTCTATTTCAGACCCGCTGGAAAAGGGAGCAGAGTATCAGTGAAGTCTATAATTGGACAGAAAGTTGTCAGCCCCTCTTTTGGGCTTCCCAGGGCCACCTCGTTACTGCCTGGACCCTAACGCTGTCCAGTCCCCCACAGCCCTCCCGAGGTCCCTGCCCACCTTTCCCCGCAGCCCCTCGCCACTGTCCGGGGCCTCGTCGGCCTCTCTCGTTTTCTCTGGGGTCCGCCCCTGCACCTCCGGCCCCTCCCCGCTCCCAGCCCCCTGATTTTCCTCCTCCTTCGCGGCTTGGCCCCCGCCCGCTCCCGCCCCGAGCTCCTAGGCCCGCCCCCGCCCCAGCTCCTCCCCAGCCCCGCGCTCTTAGCCGGGGAATCCCAGCGCTGAGGCCAGCTTGCCCCTGGGGAGGCTCCAGACAGCTTTGTTCCTGGGCAGTGGCGGGGCTGGCCGAGGCTGCGGCGTTTCTCCCCAAGGAAGTGTCTTCTCCGCTTTCCCTGTTCTTCTGTTTCTCACACACTTTCTATCTCATTCTGTAACTTTCAAGCCTTTCCTTCTAACTGTATGTATTTAGTTACTTGTTTTCAAGCTGGTTCCCTCTCTGGCCCCCTGGCCTGGGGAAAGCCTCCACACTTACTGCGGGTCTTGTTTAGAGTCTGAGTTTGTGAGATTATTTGGGGGAGAGTGGGCGAGTGGCTGACAGGTGACCCCCAGGAGGAGGATTCCTGGGGCTGGTGTCTTCTCCCAGCTGCTGCTTCCAGTGGGCCTGGGCCCAGGACTGGACCTCCGCTGGCACCCCTGAGTGCCTCCCTGCCAGGTAAGACCCGGGTTCTCTTCTTTGCTGCAGTGCTGAAGGTCACAGACTTCAGCTGACGCCCATCTTCCCAGATGACAGTGAGGGACGAGAGGCGGGGGGTGGATGCGGGCTGGGGAGATGTTCTCTCCAAATACAGACGCGTTTCCTTCTGAAGCCTGAGCACACTTCGCTCTTTAGGGAGTGACTATAGTTGGAAGCAGATGTGTCTGTGTCTTGACTTAACTTCAGAGTAAAATAGCGGCAAATCCGTGAGAACACACCTGTTTGATTCTAGCTGAGCAGCGAGGAGCTCAGCGATGGCCGCCGAGAGTCAAATGCGAGAGCTTGTTTTCAGATTGCTATAATACTTTAAAGTAGTTGAGATGTACCAGCTCTTTAAACTTTCAAGTAAGAAGTTTGCAGTAAAAGGAGAAAAAGATGCGGGGGAAATGGAGCAGGGGGTGGGGAAAGAATAGTCTTCGTTTGGTTTTACATTTACTGTCAGGGAACTTAGCTTTCTTGATCTAAATTTAGATCTCATTTCTATTTGAGCATTTTATCCCCCCTCTCCCAGCCTTCTCTAGGTCAGAGAGGTGTTTTTGTCCTTCCCCCAATCCCTGCGTATCATGTTCTGTAGCAGACCAGAGTTTCGTGTGCCACTTTATTGAGCACGATTTGAATTAGCTGTGTTATTGGAAAATGAGTCCTCACTTCTCCCCACTCAAGGCAAGACTCAGGGATGACAGGTGGACATGCTTATCAACCATCTGCAGAAGGAGGCACCGCCTGCCGGCCTGTTCCAGAGCTGTGTGCCGGGTCCCCCTCCTCAGAACTTCATTCCATGACTTGTCATCTTCCAGAGCCCCATCCTGACACTTTTTTTTTTTTTGAGGCCGAGTTTCACTCTTGTTTCCCAGGCTGGAGTACAATGGTGCGAGGTGCAGCCTCGGCTCACTGTGACCTCTGCCTCCCGGGTTCAAGCGATTCTCCTCCTGACTCAGCCTCCTGAGTAGCTAGGATTACAGGCATGAGCTACCATGCCCGGCTAATTTTATATTTTTAGTAGAGATGCGGTTTCTCCATGTTGGTCAGACTGGTCTCCAACTCCCGACCTCAGGTGATCCGCCCACCTTGGCCTCCCAGAGTGCTGGGGTTACAGGCATGAGCCACCACGCCTGGGCCCATGCCGACACTCCTATGTCTACGTGGGTCTTTCTCACTCCTAATCTGTCTCTCATTGATGATTTCTACCAGGCAAATCATGGAAAGCTGAAGGCCACATCTTCAGGCTCCTGGTTAAGTTCAAAGGTTCCAGGAAAATTTGAAATTGCAGGGCTTCATTTTTGTTAGAGGCCTGCTGCATGGGGTACGCTGCCCAGCTGCATGCAAGTTGCAGTTGAAGGATGTGAGCTTTGCTGCTAGTCTTGTCTTCCAGTGCTAACTCTGTTGCTCTCTTTGGCTGCCCTGGGTCAAGCAGCTATCCTCAGTGAGCCTCAATTTTCTCTTTTGCTGATGGAGCTGATGGAAGAGATAGAGATAGATAACACAAGAGGCATCTGGTACGTGGTGAGCATGCAATATATCTTAGTTTGCTTCTGTTTCACACACCTGGGGAGCTTCAGCAGGAAGCACCCCCACCTCATTCTAGATTTCCTTGTCGCTGTGCTACTGAGGCACTGCGCAACTGTGGGAAATGGTCACTTTGATATTGTTGGGCCTGTCTTATTAGACAAGATGCTGCATCCAATGAGGATTTTCTTTCCTGGGGTCCAAGAGTGGCTCCCAGGGATCCATGCATCCTTTAAAACATTTGGAGCAGAAGTTTGTGTCTGGTTTTTCTGTGGTTTGGTCAAACTTTCATCAGATTCACGAAAGGTTTTATACCTACAAAATGATTAAGTAAATGGCCCCTAAACGGATGCAGTCCACAGACAGTTTTAAGGCTTTGTGTGTAGTTTCAGTTATTGCCAACATAAAATGATCAGGAGATTTCATGTTACAAATCTTAGTCTCTGGTTTCTCTTTTGGCTGGAATCCCTGCAAGGCTGTCCATGGCTGGGGTGAGGATTAGCCATCCCCTTTAGACAAGGCATGTGCCCTCTGGTCATCCGCTGTCATCTGTGTGACCTGCAGGGCCTCTGAAGACCTGGGAGCTTGCTTGCTCTGAGTTAGAAGATCAGGGTTATCTCTCTCTGATTTCATTGTAAGAGGGTCACAGATAAGTGGAAGTGCATTTAGAGGAGACAAATCAGGCTTTCCTGGGAATAGAAGTCATAGCTTATGTGGAAGGATACTACCATAGAAAGGTCTTCTAGTGCAGAGAAGACAGTGGCCCCAGCCATTTGGAGGGCTGCCCTGTAGAAGAGGCAGCTGGTCTGCTGTCTTGGTCCCCAGAGGGTCCAGCTAAAAGGATGAGTGGAGGAGCTTCACTGGATGTTGGAGTCCAGTTCAGTTGGAAGACCTTTCCAAAGACAAGAGGGATTGATTCATTAGGGAGTGAGTCCCCCACTACAGGAGGCATTCAGACAGATGGGATGGCTGTTGTAAGGCTGATCTAAACCTGGAATGCTTGAGCTAGGTAAGCTTTTAAGGTCCTTCCTAGCTTGAGATACTGCAATTACCAAGCACTTCCCTTCCAGCCTTAATAGTCTGCTGGTCCCCTCCTGCATCCCTCTCTTCCTTCGAAGGTGCTTATGATGTTTTTGATAGAGGTCAACATGGGTGGTGTGGTTACTATGGGCCAGGACCATGGACTACGTGTGTGTCATTCATATCTCAGTTTTAGAAACAAGGAAATGAAAGATGAGAGTTTGAATGATTTACCTGGGGATAGGCAGAGGGAACAAAGAGGAAGCAGGATTCAAAGCTCATTTTTGTTTCAACTAAGACCTTTTTGCACATGCTGGGAATGATGCGGGCCTTCCAAAGAAAACCAGAAAATGAGAAAGGCCCACAGGAATGTTTTAGGGTAGGAAAGTTCCCTGAGGATTTTTTTTTTCAGCCAATCCCCTATTCAAGAATTCAAGACATATTTATCAGGTTACCAGATAAAGATAACTGCAAACTCGAGGAAGACCAAGCCCTAGTAAGATGGGAAAAGTGCCATTATCCCATTTCACAGACCAGGGAACAGAGAGAGTTCTGGGAAGTGGGAATGACTTGCCGGAACTGCATTTTGAGACAGAACTGAGTCTCAAACATAGGTCTCATGAGGCACCAGGACACAGAGGGATTGACCTTTCACTCTTCCCACCTAGGATCCAGCATTTGTGTGTGCCCATGTGGTTCTGTGTGTACATGTGTATGTGTGTGTGCATATATGTGTCTGTGTGGGTGTGTATGTTGAGGGGAAGAATTGGTGTCTGAGACAACCAGCCCAAGGCCAGGTGGCCAGACCGACATCTCTTTGCACTTTGCCTGAGGCCAGCATGAGGTTTGTTGAATCAATGAGTGAGTGAATACATGGCTACATGAATGAATAATTGAATGAATGAATCATATGACATGACCATTCCTCAGCTTTCTTATTTAGTAAAGTCAGCTCCTTGCTTTGTGGTGTTACTGGAGTTTCGTTTTGTATTGCTTCTTCACATTCCTGCAAGCGGATGGACCAAGATAGGTGAACCAGTCCCTGCCTGCTGCTGCAGTGAGCATTTTTGTTTGTGACAAGATTTCCCCCATTTGGCAATGATGTATCTCAGATTATTCTTAAGGAGTGGGATTTCTGGGTCAGAGGGCATTGGTATTTTGATGGTTCTCAGGACTTATTGGTTATTAGAAGCACTCATGAGAGGCTGAAAGCAGGGCTAACATCCTGGCACAAGCAAAGGGAAGTCCTGGCAGATACCCAGAGAGTGTTTGAGGGTGGCCCTGCCAGCCCATTGTGGTTGCGAAGATGCCCTGCTGGAAGCAACTCAGAGGCCTCCTGGGACAAACTCAGCCATGCTACCTCCCTCTTGCTGTCCACTTGCCTTAACTTGTACACTCCCAGTTACTAAAACCTCACTACTAGTTAACCCTGGCTGTGTTCTGATGGGTATCTTAAATTTTTTTTTTAAGTTTGGCTTATAGTAAGTTTTTTTAAAAAAATCAGAATTGATACCATCTCTTGGTTGAAACTGTATCCTAAGGAGAAGCTTTTCCTTTGACTGCACACCGGCAGGTCCAGGCCAATTGGAGCTGGCCTCGCCTGCCCCGTGGCTGAGTTGTCAGGGGCACAGTCTGCTCTTGATGCTATAAAGACAAAAAAAGAAAAAAAAAAAAAGGCAAGTCAGCCACAAAGATAAATAAGGAAAAATTAAACAAAATCTCATTTAAAAAATTGAGTATAAAACTTCACTTATGCAAGATGAATAAGTTCTGGAGGTCTGCTCTGTAACATTGTGCCAATATGTAGCAACATTGTGTTGTAAACTTAACTCTATTAGGAGGATAGATCTCGTGTTAAGTGTTATTCCTATAATAAAACAAAATAAAACACAAGTACAAATAAAACAGCCACAAGCTTCGTTGTGATTATACATTAAGGGTGATCACATATAGTTTTGCCAAATAATTATGACTATGATAGGCCCTTTGCATCTGCAGGCTGCAGTACGTCTATCACAGGCAGCTTGTCCAGTTTCCTCATCTGGTGACTGGATTCTATTACCTTTCTCCCAGGTTCTTGCCCACCTTCTTCTTGCCCATCTCCAGGGGCAGAGGGATTGCTACCTCCTAAGGCAACCTCCAGTGCATTGTTGGATGTCTGGTTTAAAATTTTTCCTCTTACTCAAATGAAAGCACTCTCTCTGCCACTGCCATCTGTCTGATCTTATTCTATCTTTTTGGGGTACTTAGAATAAATTAGATCTTTTTGCCTATGATAGATTTTGAGCTCCGTAAAAGCAAAAATAATATGCCCCCTGACCCCATGTGAGATTGAGTGCCAATTGGTGCCAGGCGGTATGTGAGATATTATCACATAGATCCTTTCCTCCTGTGAATTAACTATGCTGTTACCCCCTTTACAGATGGACACATTGGGGCTTAGGAACATTTGGTCCCTTAGATAGTAAATGGCAGAACTGGGATTTAAACCTATGTCTTGATACAAAGCCTATGCTCTTAACAAAAATTACAGACTGCCATACGTGAATAAGATAAATGTACATAATTCATATGAGAAAGCAGATGTACTATTTGGGCAATCAATTTTTTCTTTGTTATTCCTTGTTAGAATGTTTTAAATTTAAAAAGTAACAAAAGCATGTTTTTACAAGTGCAACAGTATCTGCAACTCTTCTGAGTTCTTATCCCCCAACTTAACCAATAGTAACATTCTGGCTAATATTCTTTCACAACTGATGTATATCCAAACATCTACATCAATCAAAATGCAGCATTTGAACAGTGTGGGAACAATAGCCAACACATATTTACAAACATGGGCATCTAGCACAGTGTCTGGCTCTTAGGAGGTACTGCATAAATGATTGAAAGGTTGAACTGTCATATTTTATTTTGCCTGGTTTAATGCTTGCTGTGGACCCAGTGGGAAGTGGTGCTGTGGTCCGCATTGTTTATGGCATGAATGAGCCTTTGTGTGGGGGAGTGGGGAGGGAGGGAGAGCAGAAAGAAATGTCTGCATGGACGGACAGGTGTTACGATTTGAGTGTGTCTCCCCAAAGTTCATGTGTTGGGAACTTCATCCCCATTGCAGCAGTGTTGGGAGATGTGGCCTAATAAGAGGTGATTGGGTCATGAGGGCACACCCCTCATGGAAGGTCTACTATTGCTGTTGTAGGAACAGGTTAGTTCTTGTGTGAGTGGGTTGTTATAAGATGAATTTGGCCTGTGGGTCCTCTCTCTGTTTTACATGCGTGCTTCTGCCTTCTGCTGTGGGGTTACCCTCGCTGGATGCCTGTGCCATGCACTGGGATTTCCCAGCCTGTAGCGCTGTGAGGCAAATGCATCTCTCTTTTAATAAATTGCCCAGTCTGTATTATTAAAAGAGAATCATTTTCAGTGCTTCTGTCTTAAGACAGTGGGCTAAGACAATGGGTAAGTGAGCAGATTAATGAAAGAATGAATGAGAAAGTAAATAGATGATAGGATAAATGTATGAATGAGTGAGTTAGTGGATTAATTTGCATCAACAAATTTGATCAGCCATTCCTGGATGGTTTTTCAGATCAAGGGGAAAGAAGGTTGGATTGCAGTAGTCCTTTGCTCAGACAGAACCTTTCAAGAGGTTTTTCTTGTACCCTTCCAGCTGAATTCTCCTACCAATAAATGCTCACACTATTTAAAAGCCTGAATTTGCTAGACACTGCACAGCACGAGGGTAATGAGCAGAGCTCCCTCCCACAAGCTCCCCTTGTAGGGGACTAATCCTGGAAGCTCCTGTTCAGTTTTGGTCCTGAAGCCCCACAACAGTGGAGACAAAGCCACAGGCTCCCCTAGGGAATGAGCTGGAGAGCCCCACACTGTGATGGAGAAATATCTTTTGGTCCCTCTGTGTTGGGCACATTTGTGAGTCAATTCCCTGGGAGGAGAACATGCCACAAAGCCTCCATTCCTGGCCCCTCCCTGGTACACACCTCACCTCTGTGTGCTCTTATCCACAGAGTAGCCGGGTCCTGGTAGCATCTAGGCCATTTCTTGGAAGAAAAGAAATGCCACTGGTGATTAGTCAAAGAAAGTCTTGCCCAGGTGTGGTGGCTCATGCTTGTAGTCCCGGCACTTTGGGAGGCCGAGGCGGAAGGATCACTTGAGGTCAGGAGTTCGAGACCAGCCTGGCCAACATGGCAAAACCGTGTCTCTACTAAAAATACAAAAATTAGCTGGGTATGGTGGCGGGTGCCTGTAATCCCAGCTACTTGGGAGGCTAAGGCAAGAGAATTGCTTGAATCCAGGAGGTGGAGGTTACAGTGAGCTGAGATCACACCGTTGCACTCCAGCCTGGGTGACAGAGCCAGACTCTGTCTCAAAAAAAAAAAAGAAAAAGAAAGTCAGTCTTATGTCAATCCACATGTTTTCTATCTTCTCAGAAAATAAAAGTTTCAATTAAAAATACAAGAAAGAGCTCCCTCTTACTAAGTTAAATTTGCCATTGAACACCCAGTTGAGACACTTCAACTCATTTATTTGTTTCTGTCTGTTACACTGATACATGATACTGCTCTGTGCGCATCATTGTTCCAGGCACAGAGGAAGAGAGACTAGACACGTTAAGTTTAAGCAGCTCAGTTGAGAAGACAGACCAATATGTAGGTAATTTTTTTTTTTTGAGACGGAGTCATGCTCTGTCACCCAGGCTGGAGTGCAGTGGCACCACCTCCGCTCACTGCAAGCTCCGCCTCCCGGGTTCACGCCATTCTCCTGCCTCAGCCTCCTGAGTAGCTGGGACTATAGGTGCCCGCCACCATGCCTGGCTAATTTTTTGTATTTTTAGTAGAGACGGGGTTTCACCGTGTCAGCCAGGATGGTCTCAATCTCCTGACCTCGTGACCCGCCCGCCTCGGCCTCCCAAAGTGCTGGGATTACAGGCGTGAGCCACCACCCCTGGCCAGTAGGTAATTTTTAATATTACTTGTAGAGTGCTAAGATCCATGAGTCTGTGGGAGCCCCTAAGGAATATAGTGGAACACTCCCTGCCTGGTATATCAGCGAAGTCTTCACTGAGGAGAAGGCACATAAACCAGGTTTTGAAGGATGAATAGGAGTCTGTCTGGCAAGAAAAATAAATTCTGAGGTAACAACACAGACAATGTCAGGAGTTAGGAAAAGAAAATGCAGGTGTTTGAGGAAAGGAGAGGAGTCTTTGAGGTTGAAGAATAAGGTTCATGAGGTGAAATGTGAGGTGAGGGATCAGGTTGAGAGAGGCCTTGAGGGGCCAAGAGGAGGCTTTAAGCTGGGATAGAACATGAACGAAACTGTCTTGTCCGATAACGTGGATGTTTAGGGTGAATGAGGTCCTTTGCAAGTTCACAGAGTACAGTAAAGGGGAATTTATAATCTGGCACAGAGGGAGGGGCCTCACTCTCAGAATGGAAACTCCTCAGAGGTTGTGTGGAGTGTGTCCCCCAGGGGCAGAAATGGGAGCTTGGCTTAGGGACTGCAGGGTCTCTTAAGGTAGGAGCTCTAAACAGCCTGGTTGCCTGAGGTTTCCCGGTATGAAACAGAGCTCTAAACTGGGAAAGGGGACCTAGGGCCCAGTCTGAGCTCAGCCACTGGCCTTTCCTTCAGCTAAGACAGCCAGCATCTCGGAAGTTCCAACACTTTAGAATTCTGAGATGCACTTACCGTCTTGCAAAGTAGTGAGTTTCTGGTCCCTGGAGATATCCAAGTTTAAATGAGTGTATAAGGGGTATCTAGAGGGAATTCGAGCATGGGCTAATGGAGGGTGTTGGGGTAGATCACTCCCTCTGATAGTTTTCTGAGTGGAATTTATATGGTGGTGCAAAAAGTGTTGTGAGTGTGAAGGAAGCACTGAAAAAGATTCTTTGGTAATGACAGCTTTCTTTTATCAAGAGCTTAGAGTTTGTCATGTATCTAATCTAGCTGTCTATCCATCCATCTATCTGTTGATATGTATTTTTAATGCTGCTATGACTGGGGACTCAGCAACTGATGAAGTAGATTAGTACTCCCTTTTTACAGATGAGGCAACCGAGGCTTAGAGAGATACTAGCTGAGGCCACATGGCTGGAGAGTGGTGGAGACAGAAGCCAGGCTCAAGTCTGTGGGGCCTCATGGTCCATGGCCCTCCCGCTGTGCTGTCTCACATCTCAAAGGGGAGGCGCTGCATGTGGCTTCTCATTATTCTCTCCCAGAAAAAGGGGAGCCTGCTGGGATGGCACCTCCAAAATCAGTGTGGATGCTGGAGCACTATTTATACATATTGCTTCACCAGACCAGACGCTGCTCAAAATAAATTAAACAGAAATATCTTTCTGTGTCCTCAAGACTCTGTAATCTGAGACAATTTCTTGTGAAATGAACTGAGACAGTGTACTAAGTGGGGGACTGGTGGGGGGAGAGAAAAAAAATTGGGAAGAATTCAATACTGAAAATGAGAAAGAAATAAAAATGGGGTTATTACAGCTCTACCACGTTTGAAGAAATGAATAAAACAATAAAGAGTGGTTAAGGTTTGCTTGTACTGATGGGTGAGGCAGGCTGAGGGGAGACTGAGAAGGGCTGTCCTGTCCTCTTGTGTGCATCCTCCCATCTGTGCTGCCTCTTCAACCCTATAGACCCAGGGAGGCCGCAGGGGTTGGGCCAGCAGGGGGTGGCGGGTGGTAAGGGTGTGTGTGTGGGGTGTCTCTGGATGGCTTTTGGAAGTTGGCCGTTGGAGAGGGAAGTTGAATGGGGTAATTCTGGAAAAGCATATCTAAACTGAGTTGTCAATCAAAGATGAAAGGAGAGGAAGAGGAAACAAGATATAGAGCCCAGAAAGCAGTTTAAGAAGCAGGGACTCCCCGTGTGAGCTCTGCAATGAGGTGGCGGTGTCTGCTGGGCCCTGCTAAGAGCAACAAGTGCTTCTCTGTGGTTTTGAAGTGGAAGAACTCCAGCTCAAATTAGCTTAAGCTTAAAAAGCGGGGATAGGGAAATATTTCTCTCGTGCAACACAGTAGCTCTGGGTACCTCTGGACTTTTGACAAATCTGGGTGCAGGGGCTCCAGGGAAGCATCTTATCTTGTTCTCGGGATCCAGTGTGCATCAGGATCCCCCACACACTGGCACATGGCCGTCAGCGCCCCCCAAACTCAGCAGCTCCAGCAGACGTGCGCCTCTTTACCCAGAAACCCTAGCAGAGGGCCTGGGGATGCTTGGCTCTTGTCAAATTCCAGCATCCAGGGGGATGTGGGGCCCAAGCCAGCTCATTCTGGTCCCCTGCCACCTCCTAGCTGAAAAAGCAGGGTATTCTTCCATGTACCCCATCAACTGATAGTAGGAGAGAGGTTTTTACTGAAAGCAAAAGACTGGCTCTGCTCTCTGAAGGAGGGAGGCTTGGAAGACAAAAGCAATTGTGGGCCCAGGTAGAAAACAATCACTGGTGTCAGGAGCCAAGCAGGGCGCCAGGTGAAAGCCATCTGGGGGCCTACCTCCAGATGCTGTTTCTGTTCTGCACAACAGGTTGAGGTGCCCGCTTTTCTCTCCAACTCCACTTAAAGCCCATTAGACCTTTATGGGATGCAACATATGATTTAAAATGTATGAGCATGTTTGCTACATGTTACCCCAAGCATAAAACTCAAACCACAACATTGAAGGCCCCCCAGTCTGTCCTGAACTGTCCCTTTCCATGGTTATTTCTGTTTCCTTCAGGAAGCCGTTGGTGATCCTGGGGTTGGGTGGCCCAGAATGTGAATCCAGCCTCTTTCATTTAATAGCCACATGACCTGGAACAATGTCCTGGCTTCAGGGTTTCAGTCTGTGAAAGGGACACTGACTCAGCACATCAGGCTATGGTGGGGATCCCATGTGACTGAGTAGACACATGTCCCTGCTCCATATTTGCTGTAGGGTTGATGCTCAATAATTCATAAGTTAATTCCTGGATAAATCCGTTCATATGAGGGTGGCTACAGACCTTGAGACAATTCGCGATAGGGAGGGAGCATTTTTCTTATTCACGTGTTAGCCCCGCCAGTCTGATCCATGGGTGATTAGTGGTATTAGGGCTAAAGTAACCACCCTTGAACAACCAGGGGTGGACGACCATGAAAACGTTTCATGTTTCCATAATCCCTGAGACCAACCGCGTTTGGTGAAAGCCTCCTGTCCTGTGCCTTCACAAGCCTTGACCCCATCCCACAACTTCCTGTCCGCTCTCAGGCATAACAGAGACCAGCCCAGTCAGTTCTAGTGTGTGTGTGTGTGTGTGTGTGTGTGTGTGTGTGTGTGTGTGTGTATATATATATATATTTATAAATTTTTTTTTTTTTGAGACGGAGTCTTGCTCTGTCGCCCAGGCTGGAGTGCAATGGTGTGATCTTGGCTCACTGCAACCTCTGCCTCCCAGGTTCACGCCATTCTCTTGCCTCAACCTCCCGAGTAGCTGGGACTACAGGCGCCCACCACCACACCTGGCTAATTTTTTTTGTTTTTGTATTTTTTAGTAGAGACCGGGTTTCACCATGTTAGGCAGGATGGTCTCGATCTCCTGACCTCATGATCCGCCCACCTCGGCCTTCCAAAGTGCTGGCATTACAGGCATGAGCCATCGCGGCCCAGCCTGTCAGTTCTAGTATAAAAGTGCAGGCCTACATCACAGTGAAGTTCTCTGCCCTCCCATCAGAGCCAATGCGAAGCCGTTGTCCTGAGGGACCTGGCTGGGGCCTTTTCTCTGTTCCTCTCTCTTTTTCTGGAGGGTTGAGGTAAGGATAAAGGGAAAGGAGAGGGGCAGTGGCCTCTGCTTTGATGGTTGTGGTAGCAGCTCCTCTGGCCACCTTTGCCACGAAAGCTTCATTGTGTTTCGGGCATCCACGTGGTGCCTCTCTCATGGAGCGCCTCACCTCTCCCAACTTGGGAGGTCTCATCTGGTGGGAACTCCCCCATGCCTCTTCCTCCCCTGTGCCTGCAGCATCCTTCACAGCGTCTTACAGCTGGAGTCTCCTATTTGTGCAGTTATCTCTGCTGGGCACCAGCCCGGTAACTCAAGCCTCACCTCCTCCTGTGGTGTCCATTTGACTCATGGGGAGCTCGCTTACCATGTCTCGGGGAGCAGGGGAGTGCAGGTAGCCCCGCCTTCCCCAGCACAGCCCCTCTTCCCATTGTCTTCTCCTTCATTCACATAGGTCCAAGCAGACATGCAGTCAGGCGACACCGGAGAGGTAGGTGCAAGCCAGCCCATGAAGGTCTGCAATAAGCACTCGGACTTTATCCAAAGGCAATGAGGGGTGCAGCAGGGTTTGTCCATGAGTCTTAACGATCATATTTATGTCGTTTTGGGTCTTGTGAGGATGTGTAGGAAGTCCCAGTAAAGGCCAGGCATGGTGGCTCATGCCTGCAATCCTAGCACTTTGTGAGGCTGAGGCAGGCAGATTGCCTGAGCCCAGAAATTTGAGACCAGCCTAGGCAACATGGTGAAACCCTGTCTCTACAAAAAGTACAAAAATTAGCTGGGCATGGTGGTATGTACCTGTAGTCTCAGCTACCTGGGAGGCTGAGGTGGGAGGATCACCAGAGCCTGGGAGGTAGAGGCTGCAGTGAGCTGTGATCACACCACTGCACTCCAGCCTAGGGGATAGAGTGAGAGACTGTCTCAAAAAAAAAAAAAAACAAAAAAAAAACCTGCCAGTAATGAGTGGATCTGAGGCTGGAGGCCATGTCTGAGGCTGTTGGTGGCAGGGATTCAACAACTGCTGGAGACTTTTCACTCCTCACCCCATTCCCCTTTCCAAAATGCTCCTTCCCATTAATCAGATCTCAGTTCAAGTGTCCCCCAACTAAGAGGAGTCTTTGCTTTTTTTTTTTTTTTGAAAGCAGTGGTGCTTTTAATGAAACTTCTTTCAAATCTGTGAACATGCTAGCTGTGAAGTAAATGCTTTTATTCTTTCCACAGGAAATATTTCCAAACAATGATTACAGTGTTATAGCTAATAAGATGCTGGACAGATGAGTAGCCAAAGAATACTATAAAACAACAAAATCTCATCAATGATATATCGAGGAGTCTTTCCTTTTACAGAGTGTAAAAAATGTCCTACCCAAGTCACCTTCTATCACATGACCCTGCTTTTTTTGTGTTCAAATCAACTATTACTCTCTAAAACCATCTTCTTTATTTATTTGTTACTTTGTTTACTTTCTCCCTTCTCTCTCTAGAAAGTAAGCTGGATGGAGGCAGGAACACTGCTACACCCGGTGATTAAGACAACGCCTGGCACACAGTCTGGGACTCAGTAAATCCTTGTTGAAGTAATTGATCAATGACTCTAAAGACCACAAAGCATAGTGAAAGAGTGGGCGATGGCTTTAGAATGAAAGTGGCCATTCAAGTCACTTGGAGCCCAGGTTTAAGACATCTTCATTGTCTCAAGAATACACAGATATGGCTTGAGTTTCATTTACAGTTTCTAGCAACTGGGAGAGAAACAGAAATGGCATGCAGCCTCTTCTTAAGGAAGTGATAAAAACAAAAAATATAACTGATAATATTTTTGAATTCCATAGCATAAAGAAGGAGGTTCGGAAAACAGGTCTCACTTTTTCTGTCTCCTCCTCCAGTCATCTGAATCCTTCTGCAATTTGGCAGTGTAGGGCTGAAGCCAATTCCATTGAAATCACTGGGATGTCTGAGTGGACAGGAGGCAAAGACCGGATAGATGCTATTGCTCTTTAGAAGGACCAAACACTCCTGATGGCCAGAGCTCTTTTTTATCTCCCCACCTGCAAGGCACCTGATCAAGCACTGCCATTCTATAGAGTGACAAACCAAGCCTTCCTGGTTAAATGAAAAGAGCACAGAATCTAGGATCATAATGGCCTGGGACTAAATCCCTATTCTACCCCTTCTGGGCGGTATAGTCTTTGGCATGTTTTTTCACTGCCCAGAACATGAGGTTACTCAGCTGTAATAAATGTTTTGCTAGCCCCTTCTGAAGAAATAAAGCAATGCAGGAGAAACAGCCAGTACAGTCCTGGTTGCTATTTATATCATCTGCATCATCATACCTTCGCCATATCTGGTACCCTGCAGTCTACTGGATCAGCTGCCATTTTTATTTATTTACTCATTTAACAAATATTTATTGAGCAACAACTTTGTGCCAATGGTAAGTGTCAGGGATCATGATAGGTAAGACCACTTTTGCTCATGAAGAAGCTTATGACCCAGTGGCTCATGCTTATAATCCTAGCATTTTGGGAGGCAGAGGTGGGTGGATCACCTGAGGTCAGGGGTTTAAGACCAGCCTGGCCAACATGGTGAAACCCCGTCTCTACTAAAAATACAAAAATTAGCCGGGCATGGTGGCGCATGCCTGTAATCCCAGCTACCCAGGAGGCTGAGGCAGGAGAATCACTTGAACCCAAGGGGTGGAGGCTGCAGTGAGCCAAGATTGTCCCACTGCACTCCAGACTGGCCCATAGAGTGAGACTCCCTCTCAAAAAAAAAGAAAATTATGACCCAATAGCAAAGACGTATTAATGCACGCAAGTTCAAAATATGAAGCAGCATAATAACACGAGAATCTATTAACCAGTCAGCACTGACTGAACCCTTGAGGGTATTGTGTCTCACCATCCCTGGATTTTCTTGGCTAAACCAGATCTTCTTATTTTCTGCATCATGTCCCCCTTTAAAGGTCCCAGGATTTTCTCAACCTTTTTTATCCGTAAAGTGGCCCTGAGCGAATATACTCTCTGTATTCATGTCTGGCATGGTGAAAGGTGGCAGGGCATGGTTTGGGCACTTGTAGGACTTACATTGTGATTGGACAATACAATGGACAAAAATAAATGAAGGATAAAAACAGGGAGGGTAGAAAAAGGAGAAAGGGGAGAATAAAGAGGGGGAAGAGGAAGAAGAAGAGAGAAAGCAGCAGGAGTGGTGTTAGAATAAGGAGTAACATATGGGATTGATGTGAGCAAGTCACATTTCTAATTCATCCTTGCATCTGCAGCATGTGGCTGAAGCTGTACCTAGAGCCGGGTGAAGAAAGCAGTAAGAAAAAATAGAAATAATCTGTGACAACGTATCAGGTTTTTTTGTATTTTTGTTTTCTTAAAGATGATGCTGCTTCCTCATAGGGAATTTAGTGTAGAGGGAAACAAGAGAGCAAGGAAGGAGACCAGTTCAGATGTTGTTGCTGTGCTCCAGGCAAGAGAGAAAGGAGGCTTGGTCTCCACCAGCAGGAGTGGAGAAGGGGAGGTATTGGCAGACCTGCAGTGTGCTGGGGTGGGAGATCTGATAGGGCTACAGAACGTATGTTCTATATGGGCAGTTAGCTAGGCAATGGGAACAAAGCTTGTCTTCAGGGGCCTCAGGGTAGCTTTTACTCTTGGGGACCTATTTCGCTAAGTTAGTCTTTGCTTTCCCTTTATCCTTGAGGGATATTTTTGCTGGATAGAAGATTGTGGGTTGGATGTAGGGTATGAGAGGTGAAGTAGCAAGTGTCTGAGGAATGCTCATCCCAATCCCATAAACTATGGTAAGAGACTTATGGGCATTTAAGGCAAGATTATCAGGATGCAATCCATCCTGAGCTAGCTATTTTTTGGGGAGTGGTGGCGGAGGGTATGAAGGATGGAAATTTGTGATATATCACTTTCCTTCTTGAATATTTCATTTTCGTGTTTGCTAAGATAACCAAAGGGCTGCCAGGGTGTTTCCATTTCTGGAGAAGGCAGAAATTCACAATACTGGGATGGTGCAAGGAGCTTTGTCTTTCTGGGGATCTGTTTTATTACGTACACCCAGATGAAGCAGAGGCTGCAGTTCTGTTCTTTAACTTGATTCCTATCTGCTGTAGACTGAATGTGTCCCTCTGAAATTCATATATTGAAATCTAATTCCTAATGTAATGGCATGTGGAGGTGGGGCCTTTTGGAGGGCTTAGGTTATGAGCGCAGAGTCCTAATGGATGGGATTAGTGTTCTTATGAAAGAGGCCTGAGAGATCTCTCGCCCCATCTGCCATCTGAGGACACCATGAGAAGAGAGCCCTCTATGAATCAGAAAGCAAGCACTTGCCAGACACCCAATCTGTGGGTGCCTTGATCTTGTGCTTCCCAGCCTCCAGAACTGTGGGAAATACATTTCTGTTGTTTAAAAGCCACCCAGTCCATGGCAATTTGTTGCAGCAGCCCAAAAAAGACATGATCTCTAGTTCAGCCGTTTTTTTTTTTCTGTTGTTGTTTTTCAGAATGAAGGAGAATTTTCTTATTCAAAATCAGCTTACTCATCTGTTGAAGCTGTGAATTTGTGTGAAAGGGAAATCATTCATCAATTTCTTCACTGAGTTTTTATTAAACATATGCTCTATGGGCAGTTAGCTAGGCAATGGGAACAAAGCTTGTCTTCAGGGGCCTCAGGATGGCCTTCACTCTTAGGGACCCATTTCACTAAGTTACTTATTATTATTATTATTATTATTACTTTGAGACAGAGTCTCGCTCTGTCACTAGGCTGCAGTGCAGTGGCATGATCTTGGCTCACTGCAACCTCTGCCTCCTGGGTTTAAGCGATTCTCCTGCCTCAGCCTCCTGAGTAGCTGTGATTACAGGCATGTGCCACCACGCCCAACTAATGTTTGTATTTTTTTAAGTAGAGACGGGGTTTCACCATGTTGGCCAGGGTGGTCTCGATCTCTTGACCTTGTGAATCGCCTGCCTCAGCCTCCCAAAGTGCTGGGATTACAGGTGTGAGCCACTGTACCTGGCCTAAGCTATTATTTGTGGAAGGGTCTGGCACAGTGCAGGGAGGGTAGTAAGGTAAATAGTAAATGTCTCCTTCCTTCTCCAGGCCTGGATTCATATCTTCTCTCTGTTACACACTGGCCATGTAACCTTCAAAAATGAATGATTTAGCCTCATGAGTCTTCCATTTCCTCATCTATAAAACAGATAGATAATGGAATGATAAGGCTGCCTTACAGTGATTGGCAAGGTTATGGAATGAGGTTACCTATGTAACTCACCTGGGGGACTTAGGGGCCTGAATGGATTTTTTTTTTTGAGAAAGAGTCTCTCTCTGTCACCCAGGCTGGAGTGCAGTGGCACAATCTTGGCTCACTGTAACCTCTGCCTCCCGAGTTCAAGTGATTCTCCTGCCTCAGCCCCGCAAGTAGCTGGGATTACAGGCACTCACCACCACGTTCAGCTAATTTTTGTATTTTTAGCAGAGACGGGGTTTCGTCATGTTAGCCAGGCTGGTCTGGAACTTCTGACCTCAGGTGATCTGCCTGCCTTGGCCTCCCAAAGTGTTGGGATTACAAGCATAAGCCACCGCGTCTGGCCTTGAATGGAATTTTAAACTTTCTCGTGCACTTTGCTCTATATTGTGTGCTTCTTTTTAAGGGTTAAGTCTGCCAATGTATTATGTTTTCCTTTTATTCATTTACTTCCTCATTCCTTAGTTTCCCCTTTTGTGCCCTCTTGTGGATTACTTCAACAATTTTTACAATTCCATTTTTATTTATTTATAATGTTTTTGAAAAAATATCTTTATTGAGTATTTTTTAGTGGTTGCTTCTAGGTACTGCAATGCATATAGAGAGCATGAGTCAACTAGTATGGATGTTTTACCACTTTGAGTTTAGTGTAGAAACCTTACTTTCATTTAAGTCCCTTTACCCTTCCCCTTTTAAAATACAAATAACATATTTAGAATTTCCTCTGTACACACTGAACACCGTATCAGATGATGCTATAACTTTTGCTTAGTCATCAAATTTTTTTTTAAAAACTCATGAAAAATAGACTCTATTATATATGCCCTTATTTTTATCCATGTTAAAGTCTCCACCTCTTTCTCTCATTTCCTTTTCTGTTTAGGAAGCTTCCTTTAGCAATTCTTCAAAGGTAAGCCTGTGAGTGGCAAATACTCTTAGTTTTCCTTCTTATGAGATTATCTTTGCTTCCTCTTTATCCCTGAGTTTGCTGGATATAAGATTGTGGGTTGACAGTTCTCTTTCAGCGCTTGAAGAATGTTGTGCCATTTCCCCCTGGTTTCTTGGTTTCAAGTAAGAAATTGGCTGTCATTTGTGTTTCCACTATAGACAATGTGTCACTTCTCCTAGATTCTTTCAATATTTACTTGTCTTTATCTGGTTTTCAGAAGTTTGATTATGATGTATTTAAGCATAAATTTCTTTGGGTTTATTCTGTTTGGGGATAAATAGGATCTACAGCTTCTAGGATCTCAGCAAGTTTGAGAATTTACCATCCATTATTTCTTTTAAGTTTTTGAGCTCCGTACTCTTTCTTCTCTCCCTGGATTGCTGTGATATGAAAGTTATGTATATTGCTATTATTTATAGATTTCTGAGGCTCTGCTCACTTTTTTTTCCAGTCTGTTTTCTTGCTGTTGCTCAGATTGGGTAAATTCTATTGGTCTGTTGTTTCAGTTTGCTGATTTTTTAGTCAGTTGTCTCATTTCCAGTCTAGTTTTAGGCCTGCTCTATGTTTTCTAAATGTTGTTATTGTATTTTTTTTTAGTTCTTAAATTACTTTTTGTTTCTGTTTTACATCTCCTATTTTTTGCTGAGAGTTTCTATTTTTTCATTTGTTTCAAGAGTGTTTGTTATGGTTTATTGAAGCATTTCTATGACTTCTGCTTTAAAAATATTTGTGACAAAATTTGGGTTATTCCAGCGTTGGAATCAGTTGATTGAATTTTCTCATTCAAGCTGTAATTGCCCTGGTTCTTGGCATAATAAGTTACTTTCAGTTGTATCCTCGACACTGGCCATTATTCTGAGAAACTCTGGATTCTATTTAATTTTATTGTTTAGTAAACAGTCACCTCATTTTGGTATAGTAAGATGGCCTAGGTGAGGATAGATGTTCAGCTCCTGGCTGGGCCTTGCTGATACCACCCCAAAAAAATACAGTGTTTTTTTTTCTTTTCTTTTCTTTTTTTTTTTTTAAGAGAAAGGTTCTTGCTCTGTTGTCCAGGCTGGAGTGCAGTGGTGTGATCATAGCTCACTGCAGCTTCAATTTCCTGGGTTCAAGCAATCCTTTTGCCTCCACCTTCTGAGTAGCTGGGACTACAGGCATGTACCACTACATCAAGCTAACCAGGTTTTTCGTTTGTTTGTTTTTTAAGGTAAAAATACACCATACAATACTCTTTACCATAAAAGTCACAGGAAACTATTGGATCAGGGGAAGAAAACTGAAAATACAGAAGTACTGTAGCATGCTCACTTATATTACAAAGTGTAGTAACTGAAAGTGAAGCTGACACTAAGGTCAGAGATGGGACATATGGGGCTTCTCTCCCTCCTCTGACTCTTGCCTAAACACTGATACCACTGAAAGCTCTGTTTTCTATTCTTCTATACTTTTCCAGGAATATCTCCAGCTCCAGTTTCTTTTCTGAGCTGTAGACTCAAGTGCCCATCTGCCTTTGATCTCTCCTTCTGACTGTTTTACAGGTACCTCAAATTTACCTCAGTATTTCCAGCCTGCACTCTTCATCTGGTCCCCTCACTGATTGGCTCCCTGATGCTCAAATTGGAAATCTGGGCTTGCTTCCAGATGTTCTTCTCCCTCAATCTCCTGCTCCCTGCCAGTCACCAGTGTCATAGAATCTGCAGCTGGACCACTTTGCCCATGGCTGTGTTATGGAAGGTTGTTGGGATTTCTGTTTGAATTGTTGCACTAGAACTCCTCATTGGTCTCTCTAATCCATCCTTGTCAACAGAGTTTCCTAAATCACATTGGTATATGCCACTCACATACATGTAAACATCCACTGGCCCCAGGGGCTATCCAAGCATGTCTGAACCTTTTCTCTGGGTCACTGCACAAGTCTCTAGGCTTTCTTGTTAATGTTCTTTCCTTACACTTGAATGCCTTCCTCCCCATGAATTCCTACCTTCTGCTCCAGCCTGAATTTTCATTGTTTTCTGCATCTTTTCCTCCAAACTACTGTGCTCCTTGGCTCATTCTATGAGTAATAATAAATGGGAGGTGGGCTATTCCTGGTGAAGGCAGCCCTTGTCCTTTTGCCTACTTCCCACTCATCTTTCCAGACTCAGCTCAGGCATCACCTCCTCCAGGAAGCCTTCCCTGACCTCCCAAGCCCAGGTTAGGTGCTTGTCCACTCAGCTCCCATGACACCATGTCCACTGACCATATGGAAATATAAGCATTTATTTCCTTGTCTGTCCATTAGGCTGCAAGCTCCTTGGACAAAGTGTAATGAAAAATGCCTACCATGCATTTAGGGCATGATTGAGTTACAGACTAAAACAATGAAATACACATTACCCCTATGCAGTCAACATCAACCCAGTTCTCTGAATTGCTCAGATGAACACATCTCCCCTTGATAGCCAATTTTTACAGTAATGGAAATCTTTTACTTTATAAAAATGATCACATCCATTGTCTCATGTAATCTCTTTCACATTTTGCTGAAGTAGGGGATATCGTTCCCATTTTATAGTTGAGGAAACTAAGGATTGGAAAGTAATAAAAGTAGTGTGGCTTAAGCACCATCTGTGTCCAGGTACATTTTAGGCTTTTTATATATCGTAACTCGTTTAATTAAACCCAACAACCCTGTGAGATAAGTGTTTTAATCCCCACTTCATACATCAAAGAGTTGACATCCAGAGTGGTTAAGTGAATTCCCCTAGTTTGCACAGCTAGTAAGCAGCATAATTGGAATTTGAACACAGGGATGCTGATTGAAAAGCTTAGTCATTATGCTAGCTGCCCCAAGAGTAGTCAGACACCTGTGACAGTGTCTGGTCTGGCATGTAGAAAGTACTCAGTCTGTATTTGTTGACTGAAGAGGACTTGCTCCAAGCTCCACAGAGTTGAATTTCGAATCCAGGATGTAGGCAAGCTTGGTTGGGCTCCAAGGCAGCCCTCTTAAGACAGGAGCCACCTGGTTCTATCTTCCCCTCTCTGACCAGCAAGTGCAGTTTGCATCACAGACAGCTCAGCAGGACTGTGCCAGTCGTTCCAAGCTGGGTCTGTGATAGAAGGACGCAGTTCAGTGCTCTGGACACAGACATACTATGCTCTTATGTCCCAACCAGATTCCTGCCCAGAACATTGCCCATCACCCCAGCAACACATCAGCAGTGCCTCATTCCCCCAGCCCCCACCCGCAATGGGCAGAGGCCAGACCCTCTGACTCAGACAGAGCTCGAACTCTGCCCAGGCTGCCCTAGCAATCTGCCGAATCTCATTTTCTCTCTCTAAATTGCTTTCTGCTCAGTGTTCTTCCTCCCCCCTCCTCTGGGTCCCTGAATGGGAATGCTGGTTACTATGGCAATGGGCTGGCTTGTGGAAGGAACTCAGCTCACTAAATTAATTGCTGGACTTTTGGGAGACTAATGGCAGAGCTCTGCCTCCCAGGGACAGGGGTGTGGCCTACATCCTGCCAGCTTGGCAGCTAACCCCTGAAAACAGCTCAGGGCTGGGTGAGAGAGAGAAGATGGAATAATGGTACCCCATGCTTGCTGGGGCTGCAACCTGAGATGGGCTGGGGAGTGTGGAGGTTCCAGAAACCTCACGTTTGGTGAACACCTACTCTATGCCAGGGCCTGTGCTGCAGGATTTGCAGAAATCATTTCCTGTAACCCTTACCATACCCCCTGATAGAGTAGAGATCATCCCTTTCTAATGGTTGAGGAAACTGAGTATAAGAAATGTTCATTTGTGCCACCAAGTGGCAAAGCTAGGATTCCATACCAGGGCTTCCTCACTCAGTAAACATTTTGTTATGAACACTCCATTTATTTCTGGGTAGAAAGCCATTCTCTTTTCCACAATCTCTTCCAGAAGATAGAAGCAGAGGGAATACTTCTTAACTCATTCTATGAGACCAGCATGGCCCTAATACCAAAACCAAATGAGGACATTACAAGAAACCACAGACCAGTAACTCTCATGAACATAGATGTCAAGATCCTCAACAAAATATTAGCAAATAAATCAAGCAACATATGAAAATAATTATACGTCATAGCCAAGTGGGATATGTCCCAAGTAGGCAAGGCTGGTTCAACATCTGAAAATCAATTAATGTTATTCATCACATCAACAGGATAAAGAAAGCCATGCTCTTCCCTCCCAGGGGTTAACTGAAAGTTTCTTCTGCAGCAAATTTTCCTTCTCTTTCAATGCTCTTGTCCTCTCCTTCTTGTAAACTGGATGACGCATAGTTTGGTGTTTGACTATATCCTTTGCTTTTTTCTCTCATTGTGTCTGTACTTATGAAATAAGTGTTGCTGCAGCCAGATTGCAAACATCCTGGGAGAAGCAATGTTGCTGAGTGACTGAGTATGGACCTATGGTTAGATTGTTTGGGATTGAATCCTTCCCATGACTCCTAGATATGGGAGTCATGGGAGGATTACTTAAGCCCAAGTTCTTCAGTTTCTTACTCTGTACAATGGAGCTAATTATGCCTACTGTTCAGACTAAATGAATTATTATTTATAAAGCCCTTAAAGTGGCTACTGCACTTATGAGCATGTAATGTACGTAAATGGTTTAATGTATGTTAATGGTTTAGTGCTGGGAAGAGCAGGGGCTTTGGCGCCCTTCAGATCTGATGCCAAGACCAGCTGTCATTACTAGGGTGTGTGCTTAGGGAAGTTGTCTATCCTCCCTGAACCCAGGTTCATCACTGGTAAAGGGGGTGATTAGTACTAATTTGCAAGTCTGCTGTGATTACTCTATTTCTAGAACATTTTCATCACCTGAGACAGAAAATCTGTCAACCATTAAGCAATCAGATGAGATATCTTTCTTCTTATTTAGGTCTTTAACTTTTGTCACTAGTGTTTCGTAGTTTTCAGTGTATGTGTCATTGTTGATTACATTTATTCCTAACATTTTATCCTTTTTGATGCTACCATAAATGAATGAAATCATTTTCCTAGTTTTCTTTTTGCATTGTTCATTGCTGGTGTACAGGAACACAACAAACTTTTTTTTTTTATACGGAGTCTCACTCTGTCGCCAGGCTGGAATATGGTGGAACGATCTCAGCTCACTGCAACCTCCACCTCCTGGGTTCAAGCAATCATCCTGCCTCAGCCTCCTGAGTAGCTGGGACTACAGGCTCATGCTGCCATGCCCGGCTAGTTTTTTTTTTTTCTTTGTATTTTTGTAGAGACGAGGTTTCACCATGTTGCCCATGCTGGTCTCGAACTCCTGAGCTCAGGCAATCTGCCTGCCTTGGCCTCCCAAAGTGTTAGGATTACAGGCATGAGCCACTGTGCCCAGCCCACAACAAACTTTTGAGTGCTGGTTTTGTATCTTATACTTCGTTGAATTTGTTTATTGGTTCTACCAGTTTTGGGGGTATTATTTGGGTTTTTCCACATATACGATCATGCCATCCGTAGCTGGACATGGTGATATGTGCCTGTAGTCACAGCTACTTGGGAGGCTGAGGCAGAAGGATTGCTTAAGCCAGGAGTTCAAGGCTGCAGTAGGCTATCATTGTGCCACTGAACTCTAGCATGTGAAACAGAGTGAATCCCCATCCCTAAAAAAAAAGATAAGGCCATCTGCAAATAGAGATAATTTTACCTCTTCCTTTTCAAGTTGAATGCCTTTTATTTCTTTTTCTTGCCTAGTTGCTGTGGCTAGAACTTCCAGTAGCATGTTGAGTAGATACGGCAAAGAAGCATCCTTGTTTTGTTCTTGGAAAAACTTTCAGTCTTTCACCATTGAGGATGACGTTAGCTGTGAATTTTTCATAGATGGCCTTTATTATCCTGAGGAAGTTTTTTTATAGTCTTATTTTATTTTTTTTATCATGAAAGGGTGCTGGGTTTTGTCAAATGCTTTTTCTGCATCAGTTGGATTCACTATGTATTTTCTTCTTCCCTTCATTCTGCTTATGTGGTATGTTACATTGATTGATTTTTGTATGTTGAACCACTCCTGCATTCCTGAGATAAACCTCACTTGGTCATGGTGTCTGTTACTTTTACTATGCTGCCCGAATTTGATTTGCATTTCTTTTTGTAAATATTTTTGCATCTATGTTTATAAAGGATATTGGTCTTTAGTTCTGTCTTTTCTTGAGTATTTAGAAAGATATATGACAAAGATTTCTCTAAAAACTTGGAGATTACAACATTGATAAAGCCGGGTTTCTGCAATGAGGGAAATTATCAAATTTCTAGAGCCTGGGAAAATACTGAACAACGATGGATGATCCATTTTATTTCCCGCCCTCACTGGCCACCATCTTTCTTATTTCACAAGACAAAGGCGGCTCAGTAGTTGCAGCTAATATTTGCTTTAACTTTTAGGATACATGTGCACAATGTGCAGGTTAGTTACATATGTATACGTGCCATGCTGGTGTGCTGCACCCACTAACTCGTCATTTAGCATTAGGTATATCTCCTAATGCTATCCCTCCCCACTCCCCCCACCCCACAACAGTCCTCAGAGTGTGATGTTCCCCTTCCTGTGTCCATGTGTTCTCATTGTTCAATTCCCATCTATGAGTGAGAACATGCGGTGTTTGGTTTTTTGTCCTTGCGATAGTTTACTGAGAATGATGATTTCCAATTTCATCCATGTCCCTACAAAGGACGTGAACTCATCATTTTTTATGGCTGCATATTATTCCGTGGTGTATACGTGCCACATTTTCTTAATCCAGTCTATCATTGTTGGACATTTGGGTTGGTTCCAAGTCTTTGGTATTGTGAATAGTGCCAGTTGCAGCTAATATTTGGATTTGTTGTATCCATTGAGTTCAGGGAAAGAGTGTGGGTTTAGTGCCCAGAAGAGGCCTAGGTTTCAGCCCCAGTCCCTTCTTTCACCAACTGAGTGACGTGGGGAGAGACACATACCTTCTCTCCACCTCAGTGTCCTCCTTTACCCAGTGGAAATGATGATGCCTGCCTTGAAGAGTCACATGAGCTCATGCAATAATCAGATACTGCTTGGCATATGGTAGATAATAAGTGATAATCAGTTACTTTCATAGTTCCTTGATGATGCCTATATTCTTCTGATGAATGACTCCTGGCTACCCCAATGTAATATGATACTATAACAGCATCAGATGCTGGCCGTTCATCATTCATTCATCAATCTAATGCTTATTTAGGTGACCACTACATGCTAGGAGCTGTTCTAGGTGCTAGGCAACAGAATGGACAAGTCCGACAAGTCCTTGTCTCCATACAGCTGTGAAGCATGAGAGGGCTGGGCGATCAGCTCTGACTTGCTAAGATTCTGTGCCTCTCCCCTGGACCATCTGACTCCTGACCTTGGAACCCTGACTGCCCTTATGTGTTCCATTTTTGGACAGTGCTTTTCTTCCTGTTCCTGTAGCTGCCTCCTGCTGCTCTCTGAGTATTGTCATTCAGACTATTATACCCTGTGCTCTCACAAGTGGCCTTTAGAGCCCTGGTAAGACCTGAGTGCACTTTGCCCTGAAGGTGGTAGGAACCAGATTATACCTCTCCTGAGAGCAACCTGCATGCCTGTCATGCATAGGGAAGTTCCCTAAGTACCACACTCTGGCCCACTCTGGGGCCTGGCAGATGCCATTCCTTCTGCCTGAAATTATCACCTATTTTTTGTCTGGCTGAGTCCTGCTCAGCCTTCCAAACTCACCTTGGAAGGAAGCTGGGAAGCCTGACCTTCCCCTGAAATAGTCAGGTGATGGACATCCCCACCTCTGTGCCTTCCCCTACAACCCCCTGGGCTTCCTTCTACCAGCACTCACTTGATCCTCCCTCCCCCTGGTGTGTGTCTTACCTGTGTCACAGGGTCATTGAGAACCTGTGCAGGGTAGGCTCAGTGTCATTTATCTACCTATCCTCAGCACCTGGCACAGGAGGGCAACTCGTGAATATTTCCTAAATGAAGAAATCAATAGTGAAATGTGTATTGTTTTCCCTGTCCAGGACCTTGGCTTTAACAATGAAAAATACGTTTAGAAATGTACAGCCACATGAAAATAAAATATACAGAAGGGAAAATACACTTAGCTAATAAGCCTCATGGAACAAAGAAATGCATGGGAAACAAGCAACAATGCCTCTTCTGTTGAGTTAACCAAAGATTGAAGGAGTGATAATACTCAATGCTAACAAGTAGGTGGTGACAGGAGCACCCGCACACTCCCACACTGCTGGAGGCAGTGGACATTGGTACAATATTTTCAGAAAGCAATTTGGCAATACGAGTCAGGATTCTTGCAAAACTCTTATGACCCCCTAAGTGTTTTTCTACAAATCTACCCTCAGAAAATAATTACACATGGGTAAGACTTAGGTGCAAAGATGTCCTCTGTAGCATATTAAATAAATAAAATGACCTACTAAATGTCCCAAAGTAGAAATTGCAATTAAAACAATGACGCCAGTGCCACAGGTATAGTTCTAGGTAGCCAATAATGGTGACATTTTTAAGGAATTTTTAATAGGCCAGACATTGCTCAAGATATAATGTTAAGAGAGACTGGCCGGGTGTGGTGGCTCACGCCTGTAATCCCAGCCCTTTGGGAGGCCGAGGCGGGTGGATCACGAGGTCAGGACTTCAAGACCAGCCTGGCCAACATGGTGAAGCCCCATCTCTACTAAAAATACAAAAATTAGGTGTGGTGGCAGACACCTGTAATCCCAGCTACTTGGGAGGCTGAGGCAGAGAATTGCTTGAACCCAGGAGGCAGAGGTTGCAGTGAGCTGAGATGGCACCACTGCACTCCAGCCTGGGCAACAGAGTAAGACTCCATCTAAAAAAAAAAAAAACAATGAGAGACCACAGTCTGGGAAGGATAGTGAGGGGCTAGGGGTGGGGAGAGGTGGGGACAGTTAACAGGTAAAAGAATAGAATGAATAATATCTACTATTTGACAGCATAATAGGGTGACTATAGTCAATAATAATTGTACATTTTAAAATAAAGAGTGTAGTTGGATTGCTTGTGACTCGAAGGATAAGTGCTTGAGGGGATGGATACCCCATTCCCCATGATGTGGCTATTTCATGTTGCATGCCTCTATCAAAACATCTCATGTACCCCATAAATACATACACCCACTATGTACTCACAACAATTTTAAAAAGTAAAAAAATATATGTATATAAAAAAGAGAGAAAACATCCCCAGCATGGAAAGGGGATGGAGAACAGCCTGCGACCTGAGGTCAAATCCCAGCATGACCACTCACAGCTGAGACTTTAATCCCTTCATGGTGTACTTTTTTCATGAGATAGTGGTTCCTAGCTCATAGCATGAACGTGAGGATCCAATAAGACAATATGTGGACAAAAACTGCTTAGCCCATTTCTTGAAACAGGCTCTTAATACTCTTTTCTATTAGTAATAGGCACTTAAGTAATCTTTTACTGTTGACAAAATCAAAAAAGGAGATCAAGTTTGGGAGCTAGTAAGTCCTAGGCAGAATAGAGACAGCAGAGGTGCTTGGATGATCCTATGCTCAGAAACTGCCAATAGTCTCGATTCTCTGAGTTCAGTATTTCCCTGTGGTAGCCGAGCCATCAGCCTCCCCTTCTTTCTTTCCTTTTTTTTCTCTCTCTTCCTCCTTCCCCTCTGCTCTTCCTTTCTCTCTTCCTTCCCCTCAAATATGAACATCAACTGAGCACCAATTCTGTGCTGGGCTTTGTGCCGGCCACCAGTACTACAGAAACCAATAAGACGCAGTCACTGCTTTCAAAGACCCTCCTCACTAGGCCACGGGGGAGAGAGGCCCTGGGCAGATGATGGCAGCCTGGCTGTGCCTGGGACCCCTGCCAGATCCCATGGGAACAAATACATGTTTAACCCTCAAGTGAGAAATATGACTGGATTCATTCATCCACTCATTCATCAGGGATGTGACAAAGGATCAGAGGGGAGAAGGTGATACGGGGAATAATTTCTCCAGATGTAAGCATCCAGATATCAGCCCCAAAGCCTGCAGAGGGTACCAGGAGGTGGGGGAAAAGAGATGGGAGTCTGTGGGCAAAATTTGGAGGATAGATATAACCTAATGGGTTGTTGGAAAACCAAGGTTCCATACAGAATTTTTGAGGCATTTGATATAAGCCCAGCACAGGGCCATAAATCTGTTTGAAGAAATGCATCTACAAAGGCTGTGCTAAAAGCTGTGTGAGGCTGGGCGCAGTGGCTCATGCCTGTAATACTACTACTTTGGGAGGCAGAGGCAGGCGGATCAACTGAGGTCGGGAGTTCGAAACCAGCCTCACCAACATGGAGTAACCTCATCTCTATTAAAAAACCAAAACTAGCCGGGTGTGGTGGCGCATGCCTGTAATCCCAGCTACTCAGGAGGCTGAGGCAGGAGAATTGCTTGAACCCAGGAGGTGGAGGTTGTGGTGAGCCTTCAGTCTGGGCAACAAGAGTGAAACTCCATCAGAAAAAAACAAAAAACAAAAACAAAAAAAACTGTGTGATACGTTGGCATTTGGTGAATATAGTAGGTAGGAGGGATTTGAGGCAGGGGCGTATCTCTAGACTTAACCCTCCAGGGACTAAGGGGTTGCAGGTGCAGCAGAGACACCTAGACTTGATGTAGAATGGGGGTCTGGCTTTCCTTGGAGTAATGCGCCTGCTGGTTATGGGGTGTCCAATGCCTGCTCCACCACTTCCAGGAGTGTGACCTTGGGCAAGTTATGTGACCTGGCTGAGATCAGGTGTAACATGCAGAATTGGAATGACAACAGCCACTCCATAGGGAGTTGGAAGAACTGATTGACCATCTGGAGGTCAAGTGGAGTGGGGGCGTTCCAGGATGGAGAAGCAGCCTGGATAGAGTGCAGGGTGAGAGCATGTTTGTGTCCTTGGAGCCACAAATAATTCCTAGGACTGGAGGGTGACCCTGCAGTAGGCACAGTGGGTAGGCAGGGCTCCCGCAGCAGATGAAGCCTGGTGGCTCATGATTTCAAATGTGCATTCAGCTCGCTTCCCCTGTGTGTGTGTGCGTGTGTGTGTGTGTGTGCGTGCACACACATATGCACATGGGTGTGTTTCAGGGGGATAATCCTAGAAATTGATTTGCCTGTGCTTGTCATCAGGCACAGCCCTGTTGCTATTTTCTTCACGGTTAATCCAGGTTTTTGGAGCTTCTCTTCTGATTCCTTTTAACATTTTAGATTGTCATTGATGAAGAGTGGAAATGTCAACATAATTCAGAGAAAGATCAGAAACAGAAACATACACACAGACACCCATGAGCTCACTCCCCTGCCACATGTTTTTTATGTTTGGCTAACCCCTCCTAGCCCTGGTCCAGGGTGCTAGTGGTGGCACGTGACTCCAAGCTGCAGTGGACATGCCAGTTCGTAGGATGTCATTTCATGGTTCTCTGCAGTCTTCCCTCTGGTCATTGTAAACACCTGCATCAGATTGGTACTTTACAAAGGGTAAATGAGTTTGCTCCCGACGTACTCCCTTGCCACCATCTTAATATTTTTCTGTTTATTAGACTCTTTTAAAAAGTATTCACCAATTATTTGAAGCAGAATAACCCTTATGAGGATTGTTTGCCCAACTGCCTTTGAGATAACTTCGCTACCATTGCAAACATTGAGGTTCAGGAATCCCTTGAAGAATTCTTCGTTAGTTCTTTCCTTCATAGGTACTTACTGACTGTGTGTAAATGCCCTAATCTTCCATGCCCAGTGAAGTTGGCCTGGCCTCAGCCTCCAGGGATCAAGCAGTCCACAGGGCTGACAATGAAGCAAATGAAGAATGAGAGTCCCAGCCCCCTGCTGAGGAGCTCAGGGTTCACTTGCAGGTAGCTGAGCAGTGACCCCCTCAACCCATAGGGAAGTGAGTGGTCTGGGAAAAATTTTCCAGAAGGGGAGCATCTGAGCTCAGCATTGCCAGAGGCTCCCAGGGTGGGTGTGGGGATTTTAGGTAGAGGGAAGCCCTCCCAGGGGGGCAAAGGGAGGTGTGGTACACCTGGAACCTGTGGGAAATGGCTAGAAAGTTCATGGCTACCAAGTGCAGCATGGTGGGGGAGTGAGGCGAGGTGAGAGGCCAGGCTGGACAGGGTGGGTAGATCATGGCAGGCCCTCATGCCATATTCAGATGAGGACGGTGACACTGAACGATTTTAGGTGGTGTATTAGTCCATTTTCATGCTGCTAGAAAGAATTGCCCAAGATGGTAATTTATAAACGAAAGAGGTTTCATTGACTCATTGTTCCGCATGGCTGGGGAGGCCCCAGGGAACTTACAGTTATGGAGGAAGGGGAAGCAGGTGCTTCTTACATGGTGGCAGGAGAGCGAATATGTGAGAGAGCAGGAAGAACTACCATTATAAAAGTAGCAGATCTCCTGAGAACTCACTCAATATCATAAGAACAGCATGGGGGAAACTGCCCCCATGATCCAATCACCTCCGACCAGGTCCCTCCCTCGACACGTGGGGATTCCAGAGAGGGAGATTTGGGTGGTGACACAGAGCCAAGCCATACCAGGCGGGATGTGGTGTGGAGTCCTCAGGCACAAGGCCCTCTCCTACTCCCTTCTGCAAGCCCATCTGCTAATTGGATGGCTGGGGGGATCCAGGCGTAAATCCATGAAGGGGAGGTCACACTTGGCTCTGCTCTGGAAGGTCACACATTCGCTGCCTGGAGTTGAATCCGGGAGGGAAGATGGGTTGGAAGGCTGGGTGTAGGGAATCCCCCTGGGCAGGGCCCAGAGTTTGCCTCTCACAGACTTTCAGCTTGAGAGCCTTCTCTAAGGGTGTCTTTCTCCACACAGGCCATGCTGCTGTAGACCCTAACAGCGTCTCTTCCTGGCCAAGAGAAGCCTGTCCCCAAGAACAGGAGAGCCATGGCCGGCCTCCGAGGGAACGCTGTGGCTGGCCTCCTCTGGATGCTGCTGCTGTGGAGTGGGGGCGGCGGCTGCCAGGCTCAGCGGGCAGGTGGGGCCACCGTGGGCTGTGCCATGCTGTGCTGGGGACAGAGCAGACAGCATGTGTCCGTGAGCATGGGCTGTGGTGTGTGCATGCAAGTGAGTTCACAACTGACTGTGTGAGAGAGAGGGAGAGTCCGGAATCCAAGTGTGAGTCAGCTGCCTTCTAACCTAGGGACAAAAAATCACCAGCTCCTCAGCAAGGGCCTGTATATGTCTGACAGTATGTGTATGAGTGTGTGAGGAAGTGTGAAAGTGTGAGGGAGAGTGTGTGAGGGAGTGTGAAGGAATGTGGGGGACTGTGTGTGGGAGTTTGAAGTGTGCGAGGGAGTGAGAGGGAATGTGTGTGAGTTTGAGGAAGAGTGGGGGAGTGTGAGGGAGTGTGTGTTTGACAAAGTGTGTGGGAGTGTATGGGAGTGTGAGTTTGAGGGAGTGTGTGAGGGAGTGTGAGAGTGTGTGAGTTTGAGGAAGAGTGTGTGGGAGTGTGAGGGAGTGTGTGAGTTTGACAGTGTGTGGGAGTGTGTGGGAGTGTGAGTTTGAGGGAGCATGTGGGGGAGTGTGAGGAAGTGTAGGAGTGTGTGTTTGACGAAGTGTGTGAGGAGTTCGAGGGAGTGTGTATGAGTGTGAGGTGTAGGGGAGTGTGAGGGAGTTTGAGGAAGTGTGTGAGGGAGTGTGAGAGAATATGTGTGAGTTTGAGGTAATGTGTGAGGGAGTGTGAGAGTGTGTGAGTTTAAGGGAGTGTGTGGGGAAGTGTGTGTGAGTTTGAGGGAGTGTGAATATGTGTGGCAATGTCAGTATGCATGTGAGTGTTAATGTGAGGGGATGAGTGTGTGTTCCTGCGAGAGGAGGAGAGAGCGTGACAGAGAGAGGGAATGAGTTGCTTTAACACGTCTTGGTCAGTCACATCCTGGGTTGTGAGCCTGTCTCTACCAAGTGTGTGCAGGTTTGGAGCTCGGGGAGGAGGCAGGGGTGAGGACCTGGCTGTGTTGTCCTGTGAAGGTTTTGGGACACATTCCAGGGGAAATGGACACACTGGAGCCCACTTAGCAAAGGCATCCAGGACAGTGAGAAAAGCGTGTTTATGTAGTAGACCCGGTAGTTGGGAAAGTTGACTGGAGATGAGAAGGCCCGGGGCAGGAGGGGAGAGACATGGCAACATGGTTTTGCTAACCTGTATGAGGGCCCCTGCCCTGGGGGAAGGCACTGGTCAGTGCTTAGATGTGAAGGAGGGGTCAGGGTCCACAACCCCGGCATAGAGCCTGCACACTGGGGTCCCCGATACACAGACAGGTGGGATGTCCATATACTGCCCACTGGGCAGCCAGGGAGACCACCTGTCACTGGATTCAGGAAGCAAAACGCTGAGCCCATCTTATAGGAAGTGATCTATATACTTTTTTCTTTTTAGAGACGGAGTCTCGCTCTGTCGCCCAGGCTGGAGTGCAGCGGCGTGATCTCGGCTCACTGCAAGCTCCGCCTCCCGGGTTCACGCCATTCTCCTGCCTCAGCCTCCTGCATAGCTGGGACTACAGGCGCCTGCCACCATGCCTGGCTAATTTTTTGTATTTTTAGTAGAGACGGGGTTTCACCGTGTTAGCCAAGACGGTCTCGATCGCCTCACCTCGTGATCCGCCCGCCTCGGCCTCCCAAAGTGCTGGGATTACAGGCATGAGCCACCACACCCACCCAGAAAGTGACATTCTAAGGCTTTTCTCCCTGGACTTAAAAAAGAAAAGTTGACATTATTTCTTTATCGAATTTACAGAGTTGTCTCTTGCTTTTTTTTTTTTTTCTGAGCCTCTCAAAGCCTGGCTAGCTGGAAAGACAGTAATAACTGTAAACATCCTGTTTTATACGCAGGGAACATGAGATTTCTGTGCCCATCTAGCCAACCCCAAATGCACAGCCAATGCACAGGATTATCACATTTAAAAGCAAAAAAGCCCTAGGGTGGTCTCCTCTGTGCCCTCATTTCATAGTAGAAAATGGTGGGCCCCAAAAGAGCACTCACCTGCCAGGAGTGGCATAGCCCCTGCCTTGGCGGAATCAAGGCCAGAAGCCAGGGCACCTGCCCGGGTTCAGATCTCTTCTCTCCACATCACACTCCAGCCTCACGGGCACACAATCCCGCCTGTTCCCTGGCCTCTGGGAGAAAATGTGCCCTGAGCTCAAAAGGGCCCCTTGGGGAGGCCTCCTGAACAAATGAAACTTCTGTAGCCTTCAAACAAATTTGTTCTAGGATTACAGTCTGCAGGCCGGGTTCTGCCTGGCCCTCAGCAGCAATTATCCTGAACAGCCTGGGACGTTATTGTCCCAAAGACAAAAGAATGATCTTTTGTGTCAAGGAAAAAAACTCCCCAGGAATGATCTCCAAGTCTGCACATCTGGTCAAACACACTCCAGAGTTCTAATCCTGTTAGGGATCAGTCCTGCTAAGGCTGGGATGTAACTCAGTGCCTGACATGCAGATTGTCCCTTGGATTTTCAAAACTAGAGGGAAAGGTAGGTGTGGAACATTCAAGGGTGGCATTGGCTCGGGTCACATAGGGAAGCATTTGTGGGAGTATGTGTGTAAATTCGTATAACTTTATTGTTTTTCTGTTTTTTGAACTTTATTGCTTGCAAATATAAGAGCAAAAAATACAAAAAATAAAATTCACTCATAGCTCTGCTTGCCAGAGGTAAGCAAGTGTTTCCCACTCAGTTTCTGTCATGCATACATACATACACAATCGCGCGTGCACACACACGCACAGGTTTTCTTTCCAGAAATTCTATGTTATACATATCATTTTATAAACAGCTTTTCACACCCAATGGTATATTGGAAAAGTGTATCCATGCTGGTAAATAAGGATTCCTCTTCAGCCATCACTGTCATGGCTGCCTAGCAATGAATACATCATGATTTTTCTTTAAGTAATTTATTTAATTCCACATAGGTGATTGTGTATTATCTCCAACATTTTTTTTGCCATGTTGCTGTGAATTTCTTTATACATCTTTTTCTTTTCCATTTATCTGATTGTTTTCTTGGGATAAATCACTAAGTTTGGAATTGGTGGATAAAAAGATACCCTCCTTTATGAGACTTCAAAGCCCCTGAGAGAGGGTGTGACAAGTCCATGGCCACTTGCTGAGCAGGCAGGTGCATTCTCCTCCAACTCTCGTGCACCCAGCCACTACCAGACCATTCTACCTTTCCAATCTGGTATTTCAACAAAGTGTTTTTTTGTTTTGTTTTGTTTTGTTTTATAGCCAAATGTTTGTGCCTGGTGTTCCCAGAGGCCTGGTCCTCTGCTTCTGTTTGGATGGCCAAACCCCACCTTCTGGAAGAGTCAAACTAGGGCTTTTTCTTCCTCTTTTTCTTCTTCTTCTTTTTTTTTTTTTTTTTTTTTTTTGAGAGAGTGTCTCACTCTGTCACCCAGGCTGGAGGGCAGTGATGTGATATTGGCTCACTGCAACCTCCACCTCCCGGCTCAAAGGATTCTTGTGCCTCAGCCTCCTGAGTAGCTGGGATTACAGTCATAAGCCACCATGCCTGGCTAATTTTTGTATTTTTAGTACAGACGGGGTTTTGCCATATTGGCCAGACTGGTCTCAAACTCCTGTCCTCAAGTGATCTGCCCGCCTTGACCTCCCAAATTGCTAGAATTACAGGCGTGAACCACTGCACCTGGCCTTAAGACCAGGGCTTCTTGATAGTTCCTTGTATATTTGTGCAGCATTCTAGAGATTGGAAAACACTTCCTCTTGTATTATCTGATTTTAAAGGGCTGAGTAGTTAAATATCTAACAGGAGAGCGCTTGCTAAATCAATTATGTTCATCTGTGCAGAGGACTCTTTGCAGCCATGGAAACCAGCATGATCAAACCAGAAATGGATTTCTAGCTTATAACTAAATGCAGGGAGAACAGCGTATGTATCAGTGTGTCTGGTACAGTCCCATTCCTATCAATAATTATATGGAAATAAAAAATAATTGAGTATATATGAGTATATATACCATGCTTTAACAGTGGTTATCTCTGTGTGGGAATATGGGCATTTAAAACATCTAAACACCTGTTTTGTTTTGTTTTTGAGACAGAGTCTCGCTCTGTCGCCCAGGCTGGAGTGCAGTGGTGCAATCTCGGCTCACCACAAGCTCCGCCTCCCGGGTTCACGCCATTCTCCTGCCTCAGCCTCCCGAGTAGCTGGGACTATAGGCGCCCACCACCTCTGCTGGCTAATTTTTTGTATTTTTTAGTAGAGATGGGGTTTCACTGCGTTAGCCAGGATGGTCTCGATCTCCTGACCTCGTGATCCACCCGCCTTGGCCTCCCAAAGTGCTGGGATTACAGGCGTGAACCACCGCGCCCAGCCTAAAACATCTAAACATCTTTTGATTGCATTTTCTGACTTCTTGGAAATGGGCATACATTATTTGGGGTAGGTTGAAAAATAATGAAAAATGGAGTCACCTTTTAAACAAAATAAAAGTGAAGAGATTGAGGCATAGTGCTGTGCGGTGGGTGTTAGTCATTTTAATGTGATGCTACCTACTGTCAGTTGAGCCTCACAGTAGTCTTGGGGAAAACTCATCATTATTGCCATGTGAAGGTGTGGAAACTGAGGCTCAGGCCTTTCAGGCAGCCCAGGGCCCTTGGGTCATGAGAGACAGGGCAGGTAGGTATTTGAGCAGGTGTGTGTGACCCCAGTGACCTGTATACCCCAGGACAGTGTCCTTTCCATGCCCATTTGCCCTACGCCACCCCTTCTCTCACCCCTGCAGGTTGCAAAAGTGTCCACTACGATCTGGTCTTCCTCCTGGACACCTCCTCCAGCGTGGGCAAGGAGGACTTTGAGAAGGTCCGGCAGTGGGTGGCCAACCTGGTGGACACCTTCGAGGTGGGCCCCGACCGCACCCGTGTGGGGGTCGTGCGCTACAGCGACCGGCCCACCACGGCCTTCGAGTTGGGACTCTTTGGCTCGCAGGAGGAGGTCAAGGCGGCTGCCCGGCGTCTCGCCTACCACGGGGGCAACACCAACACGGGAGACGCGCTCCGCTACATCACGGCCCGCAGCTTCTCCCCACACGCCGGCGGCCGCCCCAGGGACCGCGCCTACAAGCAGGTGGCCATCCTGCTCACCGACGGCCGCAGCCAGGACCTGGTGCTGGACGCCGCGGCGGCAGCCCACCGCGCTGGCATCCGCATCTTTGCCGTGGGCGTGGGCGAGGCACTCAAGGAGGAGCTGGAGGAGATCGCCTCAGAGCCCAAGTCCGCCCACGTCTTCCACGTGTCCGACTTCAATGCCATCGACAAGATCCGGGGCAAGCTGCGGCGCCGTCTTTGTGAAAGTGAGTGCGCCCGGGCCCCATGCGGCCCCTCCCAAGAGTGACGCCCCCTGCTGAGCCCACGGGAGGGGTCCTCGGGCAGATAGGGATCCTACGGCCGGCTCCAGGAAGGCGGGGGAAGTAGCAGGTGCAGAGGCTGAGGGGACCCACATTCTTGGGTTTGGCCACACAGGGAACCTAGTAGCATGGGCACCCCCTGGACATTCCTGTTGTCAGAAGGATATCTTCTCCCATCCAGAGGCAGAGGTCGCGGGCAGAGGCAAGAAGGGGTTTGGGATGAAAGAGGGATGGGTTCTAACCACCCTGCCACCTGGGAGATACTTGGTGTCTCATCTTTACCTCTGATGTGGGAACATCCTCTACTTACTGCCCAGAGCTGTGAAAGCTAGAAACTGTGCATGCAAAGTCTGGCCTGAAGCATTGGGTATAGCAGGGTCTCCGAAGGGGCAGTGATGAGGGATCACGCAAGAAGCATTCAGGCTCCCTCGGCTCTTCCCAGCAGCCCAGAGTCAGTCATTTAGACACAGTCAGGAGGTGCTTATCCCAGAGGCCAAGTGCTGTTGACCTGGTGCCCTCTGAGATAACCCAAGGCCTCTAGCTTATTTGTCTGGAATCTGTTGATTGTGGCTGGGGGTGGGGGAGGGGAGGCAGAGGGCTGATGGCCCCCAGGGCTCTGACCTGGAAGCCTGACCTCCAGGATTTAGTGGGGGTCATTCTGAGGACAGCGCCCTCCCCAGGACAGGAAGGATGAAGTGGGTTTCTCATGTTCCAGACTGTCTCCAGCTTCTGCCTCTGCCTATTGCATTGGGGTGACATTTGTCCTTCTCCAGTCACAGTGGGTGCTGAGTAATCTTCTCCTCCAGGCCCGGGAGGGGTTGGGCTTTGAAGCCGGTCAGGCTGAGTGTGGAGCCTCAGCCTCTGTCTTGCTGATTACTGCAGGGGGCTGAACAACCCCTGGCTGGGAAGCCATAGGTTACACCTTGGCCAGGGGCAGGGAAAGCTTTGGGGGCTGGGGCAGCATGGAAGGTGCTCGTGATGAGAGCAGCTGGGTGTGAGTCAGAAGGGGAGGCAGGGGCCTGATCCTGGGGATGTGCCTGGCTTGCAGCCCAGTGAGAAAACAGCTAAACCATTTCTGAAACTGGGGTGGCTCTAGGCTGCTTTACCACAGTATGACCCTTTTCTCTGTGTTGGCTCTTTTAATCTCCACTTATTTATTCAACAGATACTTATCAGGGCTCTACTTTTTTGTATGGCCTTGTGCTGATTTCTGGGGCTACAGAAAAAGACAAGACACAGCAACCATTCTCAGGGTGCTCATAGTCTAGAAGGCAGGAAAGCCACATAAAAGGGAATGTGATACCGGGCAGGTAAACTTTAGCAGCGTCTCATGTGCCAGGTCCATGTGTGGTCGTGGTATGTGTGGGGATACTGAGAATGATGGAGGGCTCCCTGGAGGAGGTGGTGCTTAGGTTGTTTAGAGGATGGGCATGAACTGCATGGGATTGAGAAGGATGCGATGGAGTGGGATTAAAGGATGCCATGACATGGTCAATGAACCATGATGGGCCCGTGCAGCTGGGGAAAGGGAGGAGGTTAGGGCTGCTGGGCATTGCCAGATTGTCAGGGTCCCCATAAAGGGGGGCCTTGTGTGCTAAGGTGAGGACATGCTGGAGGGTTTATGCGGGGGTATGACATGGTCAGATCTCTGTGGGGAATGGAATGCCGCTGAACAGCAGGACAAAGGGAGGTCCTTCACAAGACTGCTGGAGAAATTCAGATAATTGTGAGAGATCCAGCACCGATGACTTGGCCTGTGTTACAGAGGTGGAAATCGATGCCCAGAAGGCTAAGTGAAGGTAATCTACCCTAGAGCATGCAAGGCATTGGCTGTGGACTTCCCATACGTGACTTCACTGACCCATATCACAACCTTATAGGATAAGGATTCTCTCTTTTTTATAGATAAGCGCACACAGAATGCTGAGATCATGGAAGGCACAGCTTCAAGGCATGTTGGGCCCTCAGTTGTAGGCCTGAGAGGGGATGGGTTAGGTGGGGAAAGAGGAGTGATAGGAGACATCCCAGGCAGGACTGGAGCTATGGGATTGATCCAGGTGCACACTGGATCAATCAGAAATCTGCACAGATAAGAACTAGGCACAGGGTCACAGCCCCAGCTAAGAAGTAGAAATTCAATGTGGTAGCTCAGGAACAATGAATTCTACCTGTCATTCCAGAATCCAGAACCCCTTGATGCAGAGTGCTGGGAAACAAGGTTACTTCCGGATCCTTCCCACTGTTTTGTTTGTTTGTTTGTTTTTGCCATCCTGACAGTCTTGGTTCAGAGTGGTTCTGGATCTCAGCAGGAGCTTCATGCCCAGGGATGGCTCTGAGAATGGCAAAGACAACCCCAGAGAGGTCAAGTCCCTGGGATGTGCCACACAGTTAATAGACACCAGGGCTGGGAACAGAACCCAGGCCTTCAGACTCCAGGCCTCTCCCCCATGCCTCCAGAACATGGGCTTCACCATGACTGGTCTTGGTAAAGCAAATGTATTAATATTATCACTTTCAATGGAAAGGCCAGAGGTCAGGCAGCTTCAAACGATGAAACCTGGACCCATTCATTCCACTCTCCATTTCCAGGTTCCTCTGTCTTGGTGTTAACTCTGTTCTTGGCTTGCCTTATGTGTCAGAATTATACTGGTTAATGGGTTTCAGTGAAGAGACTCTGATGAAGGTTTTATTTAGAGGAGGGTGAGATCAACAAGGGATACTGAGGTACGCAGGAACTAGTGATGGGAGAAGCCAGCTGAGAAGGGATGGAGTATGTCACTAGAGTCCATGAGGGCTGAGATTGGGTGGCCCTGTAGGAACCTTAGTCATGAAGGCATACAGTTCTCTTGCCAGACCACAACACACAGGCAAAGAGGAGCAAGAAAGAAGCCCCTGCCCCGTATCTGCTCTTGCATGGCTGTTCTTCCACTAGCCTGACCCCGTCTGAAACCAGCCAAGCAAGGCCAAGTGATGCAGTCACAGTGGCTGGCCTCCTGGGCTGGGAGCAGGGCAGAGGCAGAGAATGGACATGGGAGGGCAAGTTGGGGACACCACAGCAAGACACCTCTCAGTGGATCTCAGAGCCATGTCTGCCTGCAAACCGGGGAGGAGAAGAGATTATTACCCAGCAGGCCTGGCACTCGGTCTCACTGGACTACAGTAGGTCATGTGACCATCCCTACACCAATCACTAGTCTAGGAGTGGAAATAGGTTGAATATTTTGGGCCTGTCACAAGACCTTGTCTAACATTTGGGAGTAGAGTTAGTTCCCAGCCCAGCTCCCTCAAGGAAAGGGATCTGATACATGAAGGAAAACCAGGGAGCTGTTACCAAGAGAAAGGGAAACCCTACACAGGCCAGCCCAGAACACACGTCCGCCCTGATCACGTCAAGAAAAGCTCATGGATTCTGTGAAGACAGGGCTTCTCCAAAATCCTAAAATTAGATGTAAGATTTAAGTGAATGCTCAGTCATCTAAAGGGAATCAGTTTTTGTAAATACAGCTGTGAGATGAAGAGGGCCTGGTCTATTCTGGCTACAAATGAAATGAAATCCCCTTACAATTGCTTCAATTAGAAACAAAGCAAAACAAAATAAAAGAGCTAATAGTAACATATTGGAAAGCAGCTAGTGAGATTGAATCAGGCAGCATGGCAGAATTTGAACACCAGAAATCTCTTGGTACACAGAGGATGCCTGTGGGGGACTTCACAGCCTGAGGAGGAACTAGTCTCAATAGAGGCCACTTATTGATGACCTGGAAAATGGTAGACTAAAAATATCAGGGTTTTTTTTGATGTAGTAGTCATTGAGTTAGATCCAACTCACTCATTCATTCAATAACCATGCATTAAAACAGCCATTCAATTCAATGTCATTTATCCATTCCTTCATTAACAGTCATGCATTATAGTAAACATTCCCTTCATTCATTCATTCATTCATTCAACAAGCACATTTAGTCATTCCTCTGTGCTGGACACAGGCCAGGTGCCCATGACGCAGTAGTGAATCTGGCATCCTCTTTGTCCTCGAGAGGGAAACTTGTCTACTTGGGGCAGCAGGAAAATGGCAGACAATTACACAACGGAATGTGTAATTTTATATATGCATTTGTTTACCTGCCTAGTGTATGTCTTCACACACAAGGATATAAGCTTCGCAAGGGCAAAGTCTGTTCCTTGTGGTACCTCAGTGCCTAGAACAGAGCCTAGTATGTAGGATGAGCTCCTAAATATTGTTTAAAGGAAATAAGGGCAGTGGCCTGACAGTTAATTCTGTGCTTGCTGTTGTGATGTGCGCATTAGAAGTTCATGGGCAATGATCTGTTTCACTCCCCACCCCACCCCCGCCAAAGAAAAGAATATAAGAACATGAAGCAAATCTGAAATTATAGCCAACAATAATGGAAATATTTAATGCATTCACATTTTGATGGACAGAGACAAATGGTTAGAATTTGAAGGCTGGTGCAGATTTAGAAAAGGCAGGCTGGCTGTTTTATGGTTGATGGCACAGAGGCACATAGGGGCTGAGTGGCCTGTCCAGGATTGCAGGGGACAGGTGTGGAAGTCTTTCTTTTGTCGGAACCTACTGCCTAAGAGTGAGTGCTTTCAACCATCCTTCTGCAATCTTACTGCATATCTAATTATCAAACCCTACCCAGTGTCTAGAACAGATGTGGCTCATACCTGGTGGCCAGTGGCTGTTTGTTGAATGAATGACTGAAACGAACTTGGAAAAAAATCAATATCCCCATTTTACAAATGAAAAAGAGTATCAGCAGACTGAGGAGTGGAATAACAACAGTAACAGCAGTAACGCATGGCCAGTGTTATTACAGACGCATTTCAGGCATCATATCTGACCTCCCTCCCCAGTGGCTTTCCCTAAGGTCTGCCGTGATGCTGGTGGCTATGTGTTTCCTTGGCTTTGGACACATTCAGGGAAGTGCCCCTGTGTCACGACATCAACTCCTGCTTCTCCATTGCCTGACAGAGGCTCCCAGGGGAAGCAATCTCAGCCTCAGCTTCCTGCAGTGTGTGGGGCGGAGGCCGAGGACAAGGCCAGCCCCGGAGCATCAGCTATAATTAAGAGTTTTCTCCACCCCAGGCTTTGTCGTGGCCACAAAACGAGCTTTATATAGCTTATCGGGTCACTGTAAGTGAGCCTGTGGAATGCCAGCTGGCCACAGCCGAGAAGGCCTCCACCTACTTCTATTTTGAGGACACACTATGGTGGTCCTCTCTCTCCTGTCCCCACAGCCAGGGAGTCCCTTGCTGCATCCTGTCTTTTGCACTTGGACTTTTGGGCTGGGATGTTGATGATCTGGATTAGAGCAAAGAAGCAGCCTCTCCTGTGCTCCCGTGGTGTTTTCTCTCTCCGGATGTGTGGTCATCCCCTCCCCCTCTCCCACCCTGTTGTGGATGTGTTCATAGTTAGCTCTATTCTCATTTAATGAGAGTTTTGACTCCTGGGCGCTTCCACTTGCCAATACGACTGAGGGTGGGAGTAGAGGGAGGCTTCTTTTGTGTGAGGAGATTCATTTTCCCATTTTATTGTTCACCTGTGGTTCTCGCTGGGAAAATGTCAGCATTTAAACTCCAGCTCTGCATTTTGATGAGTGTGTGATTCTGTGCAATTGACTTAGCCCTCTGCGTCTCAGTTACCTGTAATGTGGGGTCAGTTCCTCCTTGCAGACGGGTTTGTGGCCATGATCAGGGAGATTAGTCTGGTAGGTGTACTGATACTTATGGAGGGGCTCTCCTTTGCCTTCTGTTGTAGTTAGCAGGCAGAACACTTAACCTTTCAAATAAATTAATTATGAGGTTCACTTGAAAGTCTGTTTTGCACATTTTTTCTTTCCGTAGTGCAAAACACTTTTAGTAAATAATACAACTTATATATATAGTTGGGAATGGACTACATAAACATTTACAGGTAATATCTCACAACAGCGGATGCTTTTACCCACTCTTTTCACATATTATTGACTTATTTTTTCAATGCATATTCATTGAGCTTCTATTATCTTTCAGGTACTGTTCTGAAGCATGAGAGTTACAGGGGTATGTGACATACATGATCCCACTTTAAGGGTGACACTTTCCAGAAGGGAAAGGAGATGGGCAGTCCATCAAGTGATGGGCTAGGTCATTTCATGTGGTGATAAGTGCTTCAAAGCTGAGAAACCCAGTGAAGTGGGTCTCTTGGAGGAGAGAAAAGTTGCCTTGATCTTGGAATGGTGTGAAACAACTGTGCAAGCCAAGATTGATAGGCTGAGTTCCAGGCCCGGGGAACAGGGACTGCAAAGGGACTGAGTGGGAGCAGGACTGTTCTCATCTGTAGGAGGCAGGACTGGGGGCTCAGCCATGTGGCTTACCTTTCCCAGTTCACACAGCTCGGAGGGGCATCCGGGGGCAGTCCTGAATCTTCCCTCAGCGGGAAGAGGGCCTACCTCAGAGCCCCTGCAATTATCTTTCCCTTTGAAGACACAGCCACACATGTCCCAGGGGACGGCAGGGAGGCTGGCTGTTGGCAAGTCTGGGTGGCGTGTCTGGCCTGGGAAATTCTAGGCACTGTCTCCCTCTAAGCAAGAGTCTTGTACAGGAATCAAAGTGGGCATGGCCCTGCTGGTGGCATCACCCCTCGTGACCATGCCTTCCAGGCCACACTCCCACCTCTGTCCCCACATCCCTCTGCCTGGCCTGAGACTCCCTGGTAAACTCAGGGTGCACACACCCCACCTACACACACCCACACACACAAACACCGTGCGTACCAGGCACATCACACACCCTAGATAGAAGCACATGCACACAGACACCCCTCACAAACCACACCCTCACATACACACCCACTCACACACACATCCGCATATGCACACACCACACACACTCTCCACACTACACATACCACACACACCATGTATACTATATGCATACACACATACACAAACACTATGCACACCACACATACTACACACATGCCACATAGATATGCACCACACACCACATGCAAATACACGTTTTGCACACGCCACATGAACACACTGTATACCACAGACACTCCATAGACATATCACACACATACATGAACACATGCACAAACACCATTTACAGTCTGCACACCACACGCACCACATACACACAGTCTATATCTAGGCACATGTGCACAAACACCACACACAGCACACTCCCCACGTGCACACACTCCACATACACACCCATTCACCTGTACACACCACACACACTGCACACTACATATAGCACACACACCCCACAGAAACAGAAACCATGCATACCCCACACACTGCACATAGGCTATACACACCACATACACACTACACACCACACATATATAACACACATTCTATATACACACACCATACACCACATACAAATGCACAGTTCACACACACCACATATACAAACAGCACCCACACAGACACCATAGACACACCCACCCACCTACATACATACAATGTACACAGCTCCACACACCATTGGCCATGTACGCAACCCTCCACACCCACACACAGGCACACCATGCACATAAGACCCTCCACACAAACACAGACACATGCTCCACACACACCACATGCACACACATCACACACACATGCATATTATATCCATGTGCCCACATAATACTCCACATATGGCCTCACGTGCCACCCTCCACATACACACCAGGCACATAACACCCCACACACATATATACACTACTCATACACACATGCAGCACATATACTACACACACTACACACACATCTGGGAACATGTATGTGACCACAAAGTGACCCACCCAGCTGTTCCCTCTGGGTGGACCCGAAGGCTGGGAGGGATGGGCAGCAGTGTGGGTTGTGGGTTTGGAGCCGCCACGTAGAGGTCTGTGGCCTGGCACTTGGGACCAAGTCAGCCCAGGCCCTGCCCTCCAGCTGCAGGTCACCAGGAGTTCCTCTTGGGAGGCTTATTAGGACTGAGGTCACCAAATAGAAATCGTAATTGAATTACTTAATTATGATTATGTGCTGTGAAATTTTATGTGAAAATTACTGAAAATGATGGAAAACTAAAACCTCTCATCATTTGTTTTAAATGTGTGTACTTCAAAGAAGAAAAACAGTTTTCCAACCCTGCCCAGCCAGACCTAAGCCTGGAGATGACCCCTGGAACCGTTGGGTCACTGACTCCTGCCTCTGCCTAAAACTGTACGACCCATGTATTAGAAGCAACGAGCTTGTGCGACACAAACACTTCACTGTCAGCGCATTTCAGACCAGGGCATGCAGCCCATCTCATTCTCAATGGTACAGGTCTCCTTTGGCTCCGGGCAGCTTGCACCATCACCTCTTCAATCATTCCCAAATTGATGGCGATTTATCTTGCTTCCAGGGTACGGTTTCTTGCAACAATGCAATATGAGACTTTCTTATACTGAGCTCCATATGCACCTGTGGATTATTCCTGCAGGTGGATTCCTAGAAGAGGTTTGCATGGTCAAAGTAGCTCCATCAGTGGTTGAAGCTGGTTAAACCACAGCCTCTGGAGCTGGGTCACCCAGCTGGGCCTCCCAGCTCTGTCTCCTTCCTCTCTGTTAACCTTAGGACAGTTATGTAACCTTTCTCTTCCTGGTCTCTTCATCTGTAAGAAGAGGATGCTGGGCTGGGTGTGTGGCTCACGCCTGTAATCCCAGCACTTTTGGAGGCTGAGGCAGGTGGATCACCTGAGGTCAGGAGTTCAAGATCAGCCTGACCAATATGGTGAAACCCCCATCTCTACTAAAAATACAAAAATTAGCCGGGTGTGGTGGCAGGTGCCTATAATCCCAGCTACTCAGGAGACTGAGGCAGGAGAATTGCTTGAACCTGGGAGGCAGAGGTTGCAGTGAGCCGAGATTGTGCCATTATACTCCAGCCTGGGTGACAGAGTGAGACTTCGTCTCCAAAAAAAAAAAAAGGAGGACAATGATGACACTCTCTACCTTGTAGAGTGTTTGAGGATCTATTGAGTCAATACCTGGGGAACTCTTGATACAGTGATGGCCCTGAGTGTGGGCTCTTACTGTATACATTTACACACATGATGTATTTACTTGTGTGTGAGTGTGTATTTATTATGTACATATACTTTCAGGAAGATGATCGAGTTGAATACCTTTCACTTGGCACAGTGTTTCTTAACTTTTAAATTATTATTATCTACCCCCAAAGGAGCCTCTGTAAATATTTGTTTCCTAACTATCCCCCTTCTCTGAAACTGCAATACCATACATGTATTATATACCCCTGTATGCTGTTGGGTAGGGTAGCACTTTGGAGGGCCTAAGGCTATTATAGTATCTAAGATTCTCTCCCACTCCTACCCAAACTGAATTTTGCCCCCTTGGAAGTGATGTTGCCCGCTTTGAGAACCCCTGACTCGGGATGTATGAGAGGATCACAGGATGAGAAGTCAGGGAAGGCCTGGGATTGGAATCTGGTCCTCTCTTCCTCGGAGGCCATGACTGCATAACATCATCTTTGGTGGGTGGACTCAGGTCTAAAAGCATCAGTGAAATCCAGGCTTTCTTGTTTATTTTGACAAGCTAGTCTTTCGAACTTTAGTTTTCCCTGTAAAATAAAGACAATAGGCCGGGTGCGGTGGCTCATGCCTGTAATCCCAGCACTTTGGGAGGCTAAGGTGGGCAGATCACGAGGTCAGGAGATCAAGACCATCCTGACCAACATGGTGAAACCCTGTCTGTACTAAAAATACAAAAGTTAGCCAGGCATGTTGGCATGTGCCTATAATCCCAGCTGCTCAGGAGGCTGAGGCACGAGACTCGCTTGAACCAGGGAGTCAGGTTGCAGTGAGCCGAGATCGTGCCACTGAACTCCAGTCTGGCGACAGAGTAGGACTTCGTCTCAAATAAATAAATAAACAAACAATAAATAAATACAATAATAATACTACCTACTCTCTAGAGCAGAGGGAACACGCACATAAAATGCTCCCACTGCAGCCTGGCACAGTCAGTGCAAATCACAGGTTAACTCTTGTTATAACATGTCATTGCTAAGACCTGTGGTCTCATGTCAGCGGGGCTAGAGTGGAATCCCAGGTCTGCCACTTGCCAGCCAGGGATCTCAGCCAGGGACTTCACCTCTCTGAGCCTCGGTTTCCTTGTCTGTAATCTGAAATGATAGTTCCCAATCTGGCAGATAGTTACCAAGTTGTGGTTTTTACTGTGGTTCTTGTTATCATACTTAATATTTTTATGGCAAATCTATATAAAAAAGAACATGCCACAAATCAAAGTGCTTGGCAGTAACGTGACTGTATCTGAGCACCACGTCACAGAGAGGGAGTTGAGCAGAGTCGAGAAGTTCATCTGTCTTGAGTTCTGCATGGGGAACTGGTCCATTCCAGCAGGGAAGACCCTCCCTGATCGAATTCAAAGGACAGCAAACTACAGCCCAAAGGCCAGATCACTGGCCAGAAACCAATTTTACAAATTGTGTTACTGGACCACAACCATGTCAACTTGTTAACGTATTGTCGATGGCTGCTCTCACACTGGGATAGCAGGTTGAGTCTTTAAGACAGAGACGCATGATCCAAAGGCTATTTACTATCGGGCCCTTTACAGGAGTTTGCCAACATCGGATAATATACTCTGAGGTGATGACTGAGAATCTGGAGTTGCTGCCACCAGCTCCCAAGGTGCCCTTGGATAGGACATTTTGTGGGGGCCTCAGTTTCCTCCCTGGAGTGCTGAGTGGTGTGGCTCCTCTTAGAGGGTCTCTCTTCTCTTCCCTTCCATGTATTGGTCAAAATGCATGACCAGCGGCCCACTCTGTGTGACATCTAATGAAAGATATTCCCCTGCCTCCCATTTTTAGAGGTTAGCCATGTATTCTTAAAAAACCATTACACCCTCCTAGGTTTTGGACATGAATCCATGTCCCAGTGGAACTAGAAGGGGTTTGAGGTTCAATATGAATCAGCGCTGCCTGGCCATGGGGCCTTGTACCAGCCACATCACTCTGTCCCTGGTGCCATCCCGAGTAAAGTGGAGACTGCAGCATATAGGTGTGATGATCTCATTGACTAGGGTCATGCCATGCACAAGGCTTCAGCTCATGGAGACTCTGCATTTCACATGGGGGTTTTTGTTTTGAGTTGAGAAAGAGATGAAATATAGAGTGGCGACAATTAAATAGATAGTTGTAAAAGGACATACACCTAAACATAGACAATCTCTATAAGATAGTTGTAAAAGGACATACACCTAAACATAGACAATCTCTATATAAATATATGTCTCTATATAAATGTGCATTTATGTAAGAAATTCATGGAGGAACTCTGCACTTCTGAGTGCCTCTCATGTCCTGTAGCTAACCTTATCCTGGCAGAACTTGTTTTACACTTGTCAGAGAATGAGTAGGGATACGGGGTTATGCGATGTCTTGGGGATTTCCCAGAAATGTGGTTGATTAATCGTGATGCTTCTGACACAACCTCGCAGTTACTGGAAGACTGAAGGAAAACAAGTGTCAAAGCTGCATGTTTTAGGTGACTTGTTTTGCTGTAAGCTATGTGTCCTGTCTTTGTCCTTTTGATTATGTTTACCCTGGTTTCTTTGAATTTACCCCCACACAAACACATGCACAAACACACACACACACAGAGTCATACAAACATACATAGACACAGGCATACAAACACACACACACATATACTCACACACAGGCATACAAACATACACAAACATACACACACATATACACTCACATGCAGGCATACAAATAGGCACACACATACACATACACAGGCATACAAACATACACACACGTACACTCACAGGCATACATATACACACACACACAGGCATACAAACATACACACACACACAGGCATACAAACATACACTCAGAGGCATACAAACATACATATACTCACACACAGGCCTACAAACACACACACACATACACTCATACACAGGCATACAAACATATACACACATACACTCACAGGCATACCTATACACACACTCACACACCAGCATACAAACATACACATACACTCACACACAGGCATACAAACATACACACACATACACTCACACACAGGCATACATACACACACATACACTCACAGGCATACAAACATAAACATGTATACTCACACACAGGCATACAAACATACACACACATACACATGCATACAAACATAAGATACACACATACACTCACACACAGGCATACAAACACACCACACACGTGCCTACAAACATACACAAACAAGACACACACATACACTCACACACAGGCATACAAACATACCCACACATAGACACACATGTGCTCACATACATACTCACTACACAGCCCCACTTATATACACATACTCAGATGCACACACATAGACAACCAAACCTAGAAAGGGATGCTCAGGACAATAAAGACTGCTTCCTTTTGCCCCTTACCCTGGAACAATCTACGTGTACTTGCCCAGAAAAAAAAAACTCTGTTAAAACTCTGTCTGCATTTTGACTGTCTGTCTACTCTTGGGAAATATCTGCTTCCATATTCTGGAAATCCAACCAGTCAATTTTGCTTGATATGTAATAGACACATGGGATGTCTATTTGTTTATAATAGGTTCTTATTTACATCAATCTAACAACAGATGTGAACATAAATGGCTGAAGGGGTGGAAGGTAATAAGAGGAGCTCATTGGCACTGCCCTGGGGTGCCACAACCCCCTGCAGGTGAGTTCTGGCTCCCCTGAGCACCCAATGCCACGTGTGTTTTCTACTGAAGACATTTTCTGTCTTGGACCCCCAAATCTGGGGAATAGAAAGACATCTTCCTGCCTGTGCTCAGGTTGGGCTGAGAGTGAAACCCCCTAGCTGAGAAGGACTGTGCTGGCTGAGATGAGGTTGGAATGTGGAGCCAAGCACCTCCATCCATTGCCTCTGCTCATCTGGGCTGAGAGTTCTGGGCCAGATCTGGCTCTGCACTCCGATCGGCCCTAACCAGAGCAGCCTAGGGCAAGACAACAAAAGGAAGCTTACGTACTTAGTGTGCTCCTATTTATATCTTGTAGATCAAATTTTAAAAGTGTCCTGGAAAATAACTTCTTTCCTTCTAACTTGACAAATATGCCTGCACAAAAACCTGGGAGGCAGGTTTGAATACAGCATCCTTGGACTCCTTAAAGTCACACGCAAAATCATGGTAGCCCAGGGAGAGTCACACCCAGGCTCCCAGCCCCAGTCCGCGGCCTGGCCTCCTTCTCTTCGTAACTCCTGCTTGGTCTTGAGCCAAGGAGGGCCTCATCTGCATGTGTGAGGACCCCCTGATATATAAGATCAAGTTCTGTCCACAAACCTGACAGACAGCTGCCCCTTAAAGCCCCCTGGGCCCAGGAGACCCCAGGAATGGTCCAGTCCACCCTCAGGAGTACAGATGGGCAATGAGGCTGTACTTTAGAAGGAGAATGGGCCAGGTTCAGACCGTTTGGGCAGGGAGGTCCAAGGTCCAGATCCTGAAGTGCGGTCTAGAAGATGAGCATGGGGTCCAAATGGGAATGGTCCCTTGGTCCCTCCTCTTCCTCTGTGGGATGAAGTAAAACTGGAGGAGGTCCAGAGGAAGGCCCTAAGCTCTTCTGTGCCCAAGAGCGGCATTGCTGTTTTTCTTTTTTTCTGGGGAGGGGGAACAAAATGGAATTGAAAGAATACAGTTTGTGAAATCTGATAGGTATGTATCTGATAAATCCGAGAGCGGAAACCCTTTTCCACTGTTTATCTGTTGTGTGGATTCGGGCAGAAATCTGGAAAACAGCAAGCAAAAATCTCCTGCATAGACACATTGCAAAGATTCAGTGAGAGAGTATTTGTAGATTATCTATTATAAGTGAATCTAGACCCCACCTCACTGCCTCCTACATTGTCCACTTCAGAGAGGGGTTAACCAGAGCCCAGAGAAGGCAGGAGAGCAGTCAAGTAAAACTGCAGGAGGCAGAGCACAGCCACGGAGCCCTGCAGGCTCCCCGCACCCACTTCCGCGTTGCGTTCTCACCCCTCCTTCCTGGCAGCCCTTGATGCACAAATGTACCCTTAAGGAGTGAAGATGACTTGCTCAGTGCTATTGCTTTGTAGATTGGGACTCAGGTAAAATGGACCCCAGAGACTATGATCCATGTACCCCTAGGCCCCCAACACCATCCCTGAGCAGAGGTGGGGCTGGGATGGTTTCCCAGGCTGGAAGTCAGCTCATCGCCCTCCTCACTGCGTCATGTACAGTTGACAGCGGAGCCCACAACCAGGGAGGGAAGAGTAGAATTGTCTCATTGGGAACTCTGACCGAGCAACAGATTATTTCAATGTCAAAAAACAACCGGCCTGTGCAACGTGCTATGCTGTCCCTAGATGGGCAACAGGGCCTGGGCTGAGGCATGTCCAAGGCTCCATGGTCCACAAGGTTTTGTTGCTTGGAAGCCACAAGTGGCCTTAGGCATCTGCAAGGAAAGAAACGGGGAGCCGGCAAGCCTGCACTGAGAAATAGTAAAAGTCTGGGCTAGCAGAGGACTTTATTTTATCTTTTAAACATCTTAACTCCTGAGACCCAGCAATTTATATCCTGGTTAAACACTTGGAAGTTTACACTGACAGACCTGGGCTTGAATTCTTGTGTTTGCCCTCTGTCCCCTCTTTACTTATGGCTGGTCCTTTGTGTGTTTAATTTCAGCATCTGTGAAATGGGTAGAACAAGCCCACCTATGACTGTGAAGATTCAATGCATTAATACAGGAAAAGTGCACCAGGGGACGCTGGGCACAAGTCTCCTCCTCTCTGATTGATGCCCTTGTGTCCTTGAGGACATTACAAGTGCTCTCTGACTCAAGTTTCTTCACCTGAAAACATGAAAAAAAAAAAAAAAAACCTTGTATCTTTGCTGCAAACATTTTGTTCATTGATTCAGGAAATACTGATTAAAGGCTTACTGTGAACTGGAAACAGTATCTGCATTTCAGGGTAGTATAATAGTTAATATGAGGGAAAAAAACAAGAGGAAAGATAGCCCTTAAAATTATAGCTGACTATTATAGCTGGAAGTTATAATAAGTGCTCTGTAGGACATAAACACAGTGGGAGGGTAAGAAAAAAGGAAGAAGGGTTCTGCTCAGGTCAGGGAATTAAGGGACCCTTCTGAGGACACAGCCAGGCAAAGGGCACTCCGGGTGGAGGAAACTATAAAGGGACAGCAGTGGCCTCAGCTCCAGCCTCCAGAAGCCAGTGCCCCGCAGCTTCTGGAGTAAACACAAAAGCGGTAGAGGACTGGAGTGGGGCACGGACAGAGGCCGACTTCCCTAGGGTGTTGTGGCCACGGGAAGAATTTGGAGTTTTATTGTTAGTTGAGTGGCAACCCATTGAAGACTTTGTTTTGTTTTACTTTAAACTTTATTTATGTATTTCTTCATTTTGAGACAGAGTCTCGCTCTGTCTCCCAGGCTGGAGTGTGGTGGTGCTATCTCGGCTCACTGCAACCTTCACCTCCTGGGTTCAAGCAATTCTCCTGCCTCAGCCTCCCGAGTGGCTGGGACTACAGGCGTGTGCCACCACACCCAACTAATTTTCTTTTTTTCTTTTTTTCTTTTTTTTTTTTTTTTTTTTTAGTAGAGACAGGGTTTCACCATGTTGGCCAGGCTGGTCTTGAACTCCTGACCTCAAGTGATCTGCCCGCCTCGGCCTTCCAAAGTGCTGGGATTCCAGGCGTGAACCACTGCGCCCCGCCTACTTTAAGCTTTACAGTGAAGGATAGAAAACATCCAGATAGCTGAACACATCTTAACTGTACGGCTTGATGAATTTTTTGCAAACTGTACATCCCCTTCCACCCATTGGAGCAGTTTGACCAAGAGAGGAGTACTGCTTTACTGTGCTTTAAGTTCACTTTGCTTTGGGTGGAAAAGCAGGTTGCGGTCAGGAGACACAGAGGCAAGGGGAGAAGCTGGGAAGAGTCTTAGGCCAAGTGAGAGGTGCCTGTGGCAGGGTTTCTGTTCTGCTGTTTATTGTGAGGTCCAACCCCAAAGCAGCAAGAGAGAGGGGAAGGAGGCGAGACCCAGGAACATGTACAGAGAGGGTGTTACAGAGATGGCAGCAGCTGCCCCAGAAGGCGGCGCTGCGCGTTGAGTCCTGCAGGATGTCAGCATTGCAGAGAGGCCAGCCTGCAATCAGTGCCCTTGGAATAGTCTATCTAGATAGGGGAGGGGGTGGATAACTGGTGGATAACTGACTTGCCAGCTCTTTTGTGTTTCTGACTGGTTAAATTCCAGCCTGAGGAGTGTTAAGCCCTCTGTAAGTTCAAGGCTGTGTACCTGGTCCCTCTGTGTAGCTATGGGGAAAGCCAGATCCCATGAGCTTCATGTGAGCCCGGAAGCGGTGAGTGGAGATCTAACCTCCTTGCTCCAGTTGGTCTGCTCAAGACCCAGGACCCCTGAGGCCCCTGTCCCAGCAGGAGTGATGGATGCCCTGTGGAACTGCAGCCTCCTGGGTCAGGGCTGAGGATGTTGGTAGTGTGAGGAGTTGGCAAACCAGCAGAAGTGGTTGGGGTCTCTGCTGAACAGCTGAGGACCTGGGGGTGGAGTGGGGTGATGGCAGCAGGAGCTGAGCAAATCTGGGGAGGTGCATGAGAGATGACAGGGCAGAGCCAAAGGGGAGGCAGTGGAGATGGAGGGAAGTTCCCAGAAGGAGTGGTATCTGGAGAAAGAACATACGGATGGAAAACAAACTCCTGGGTGCAGAGCCACCCTCATGGCACTTAAAGTTTGGGGGCAATAGAGGGAGAGAGGTACAGTGGTGCGGGAGAAAGTGAGTTGTCTTTTTGTTTTTTGGAGACAGGGTCTTGCTCTGTTGCCCAGGCTGGAGTGTAGTGGTGCCATCATAGCTTACTGCAGCTTTGACCTCCTGGGCTCAGGTAATCCTCCCACCTCAGCCTCCCGAATAGCTGGGACTACAGGTGTGAACCACCATGCCATGCTAATGTGTGCATTTTTGGTAGAGATGGGGTTTCACTATATTGCCCAGGCTGGTCTTGAACTTCTGGGCTCAAGCAATTTGCTCGCCTTGGCCTCCCAAAGTGCTGGGACTACATGAGTCACCACATCCGGAAAGTTGTTGTCTTGAACTCATTGTATTGTTGGTGGCTTTGAGGTCACACATATAGAAAATTTAAATAAAGCTTGAGATCCAGAGAAGCAGAGCAAGATGAGAGGACAAGATGCACAATTTGAGGAGGTGCTGGCTCGCTCAGTCTGGGTGCAATGTCAGGGTGACCACCTGGAGTGAGGTCTCTATGCTGTGCCTCTGGACCCTCCCTGGCTTAGCCCAGTCCTGACTCTGCCACAGAGGGGATACACATGTGGACACCTCTTACACAGAACTGAATGAGAAATCGATTAGATCAAGGTTAAAGAAGTGAAAAGAGAGCTAGGGTGAGCTCAGAGGTCTTGTGATGTGTAGAAGTCTGACGGAGGAATGTGAGCCAGCAGGAAGCTGGCAGAAACCTAGAGGGACAGGGTGGAGAAGAGAGGGGAAGGGAAAGGGGTTTTAAGGTCAGAGGTGGGGTGGGTGAAGGGGTTGGCTGGTTAGTTAGGAAATGTGAGCAGATAACTGATCAGACAGCCCAGCACATAGTAATGGTCTGATGAGGAAATGGAGGATGGAAAGACTGAGCAGCTTGTTCTCAGCTGTCCAGGAGGAAATGGAAGGGATGCTGCTTGGAGGAGCTGAAGGTGAAAGCCTACAGCCACCGTTGCTTTACTCTCAAGGTGCGGGGATGGGCATGGCAGGTGTAGCAGAGCCCAGGATGCAGCGGCGGCTCACAGCCATGCAGGGATGCAAAGGTGGGAGGCCACACCGATGCCCATCCCTTAGCATGCCCCTTTGCCTGCAGATCCTCAGAGGTGACCTCAGTCTACAATGGGAGGTGCAGCACCTCAGTGGGTGCCCTGGAAGGAGGAGAGTAAGTGTGTGGGGGGGTGGCGCCACCCCTAGATTGTGTGCTACACCCCCTCACTTGCCCTCTCTAGGTCTCAGCCCTGTGCCCAGTGACAGCTCTGTTTTGTGGCTGGTTTTGTCCTTGGGAAGGCCGCACCAGATGCCAGATGTTCCTCACAGACATCTGGCTGTCATTCCCCACAGCCTCACCAAAGCTGCCTCAGGGATGCACCAGTGCCCATTCCAGGAGCCCACCTCCACCAGCCTTCCGGGGAGGGCCATGGGCAGCCATATCCCGTTCTGTCCGCTGACCTGAGGCCCAGTGAAGGGGTCCTGGCCTTGCCATCTGCCCCGACATGGTGTTCAGGGGGGCCTGACAAGGTGGAGGGCTGAGCCCAGCTCCTTGCCCTTTCCTGGGGGCTCCATGCTCCTGTTCCTGTGGCCTGCCTTTGTCACCGGCACTGATTTTGGGGTCACGACTGTGTGAGTTTGGACACAGACCACATGCCCAGGCTGTGTGCTAATGGGAGAACGTGGCTGGCAGTGGCACAAATAAATCACACCTTGTCTTGTTTGCATGTCTTCTCTGAGAACCACAGACTAAAAGAGGCAGGATATGTGGATGAGGAGGCATTCTGGGCTCATTCAGCTGGTCCTTTGCTTTCTGGGGACCGAGAAGGGAGATGGTTTATCCGCAGACATGGAGTGACTTAGGGTCAACGCTGGGACGAGGCCTGGCCTCCTGGGGCTTCGTCATACCATGTTTCTGACCTTCTGTCCTCCAACCTCTCCTAGGGAAGGCCTATCTCCTCTCCAGGGGCTGCATGAAATATCTCTTCAGCCCGCCTCTGGATTCATGTGATACACTTGCGATGTGCCACTCCTTTGATTTTATGCAGCTCCTTCTACTCACAATCCATGTAGGGAAGCAGAGAGGTGTTTTGCTTTGTTTTTGTTTGGTTTTTCCTGCCTGCCTGCCTGCTCAGCAACCCTCTCACCCGGGGTCGAGCACTGAGCGATAAAGACCCTGGGGATCTTCAGCTCCTCCTCTCTGAGCCTGTAGAAGCTCAGGGTTTGGAGGGTAATGGACTGACTAGGTTTGGGGAAATGTTTTGCTTGGCACCCTCAGGTTCCATGGTCAGAATCTCCAGGGGAAAGCTGGATGTGGTGGGCATGTGCCTGTAGTTCCAGCTACTCAGGAAGCTGGGGTGGGGGGATCACTTGAGCCCAGGAGTTGGAGGCTGCAGTGAGCTGTGATTGCACCACTGCACTCCAGCCTGGGTGATAAAGCAAGACCCAGCCTCTAAACAAAACAAATCAAAACAAAACAAAACAAAACAAAGAAAAAGAAAAAAAGAAAAAAAATTCCAGTAGGACCGTGCTCTGTGTGACTTGGAAGTCCTCCATATTGAACTTGGTGCTCTGTGCACTTTCTCTCGCCCACTTCCCATTAGAACCCTGAAGAGCAGATACTGAGAGTTTCCTTTGGTTCCAGAATTGAGCAGAGTGAGCCTTGGAGGGTGTGAAAAGGCTGGAGGTGCCACACACGTAAAGCACAAGGCTTTTTCTCTGTTAAGGAACAAACAGAACAGAGGCAGCAAGGACGAAGCCTAAAGAGATGTTAGTTCACACTGAACTGATGACGTCACCACCCAGGGCCATGACCTTGGGTCAAAGGTTTGATCAAAGACAGAGGGCAAAGCCATGTGCTGTCATTCCAGGGCCAGTTTTCCTGTAAAAGCCAATTATAACCGGAGGAGCAGTTCACAAAGCTATACCCTTCAGCAGGCGACCTCTATGGGTTTGGGTTTATGGGAAGGAGGCACTGGGCCAAGTGCCCGGGGAGGAGGCCCAGTCCTGGCGCGGTCTGGTGGGAGTTGCACCTTAAGGCAGCTCCTCTTTATTGACATCTGATTCCTTATCTGTAAAACAAGGGGGTTGGACCACAGGGTCACTCAGACCTTCTCCTGATGCTGAAGCTGAGTCCGTGTTATCAGAACATTGATTCCAGAGGGAACCGCTGTTCCCAGTTGACCCATTGCAGCTCAGCTCAGCTTTTGCCCTTTTCTTGGTTGTTCCTCTCCAGCCCCTCCTAAGATTTTCGGGATGGGGTGGCAGATTCGAGGAGCAGGAGGGGCCTGGACATGGTGGGCAGAGTCAGGAGCAGCTCCATGCCCCAGGGTCAGCCGATTCCCTCCGAGCCTCAGGTGCCTTGCTGTGAAATAGGGAGACCATAGGTGCCTGGGCATGGATCGGCCTCGGGGGCCAGGTCAGCCGTGAATGTCCAGGCGAAGCTGTGTTTGGCCAGGGCATGGAAGGGTGTGGTCATGTGAGGGGCCACACTGCAGTCCTGCTTGGCACTGACCCATCCTCATGTCCATCTTCTGAAGCTTCTCCCCAGATGTAGGGCCTGTGGGGGCAGAGCTGTGGTGAGGGTGGGCTCTGAGTGTGAGCAGTGGTAGTGGACCTGGGCCCAATGTCTCCGGGGCAGGAGGTACGCAGGACAGGAGTGGGGAGGTGGCAAGCTGGAGGTGGGCATGGGGTCAGCAGATAGAGGTAGGGGCAGGCGTGGGCAGAGGCAGGAGTGCAGGCGGATCCAGCCTGGAGGAGAGGGGAGGAAATGGGGATGCGGACAGCAAGGCCAGGAGGGGACAGGCAGGGAGAATCAGAGGGGCAAAGGCGGCCTTTCCCCAAAGAAAGAGGGGCAGGCACAGGGTGGGGGAGAGTGGGATGGGGACATGCAGGAAAGGTGGACACCCATTTGTCCCAGGCACACCAAAAGGGCAGGGGAGCAGCCAGAGAGGTCACTGGGAGCCCAGGGCAGGCCTATCCATGCCTGCCAGGCTGGGGCCCTCTTCCTTGTCAGGAATGTGTCACTGGCAGTATGCCCTAGAAGGCGCTGGCAGGAAGGGACCCACTGGGCCATCCTGGGAGTGTGTCCCACAGGCCGCCCACACAAAAGCTCCTCTCTCTGTCTCTCTCACTGCCTCTGTCTCTCTCTCTATCCCTCTCTCTTGCTGTCTCTCCTGTCTCTCTCTCTTGCTGTGTCTCTGTCTCTGTTTCTTTCTCTTGCTTTCTCTGCTCCTCTCTCTCTCTCTCTCTCTCTCTCTCACTGCCTCTGTCTCTCTCTCTGTCCCTCTCTCTTGCTGTCTCTCTGTCTCTGTCTCTCTTTCTCTTGCTTTCTCTGCTTCTCTCTCTCTCTGTCTCTCTCGCTCTCTCTGTCTCCCTCTTTCTCTTTCTCTTGCTGTCACTGCTTCTCCCTCTCTGTCTCTCTTTCTCTCTCTTTCTCTTGCTGTCACTGCTTCTCTCTCTCTCTCTGTTCCTCCAAGGCCAGCACCCCCACTGCAGAAACGCCCAAATGCATTCACACACAAATGCACACAGGGGCACATGTACCTAATGGTTTCATACAGTGAACAGTGCAGCCCTGCACACACATGCAGAGACATGCAGTCTGTTGGGAGTGCTCACACAGGTGCAGCAATGCGGCCACGCCTTGACTGCTCTAGGGGAGCCTCGGGGTGAGAGGCACAGCTGGCGGGTGCAGAATTGCCATGCCCTCCTCATTTCTTTGCCATTTGTAGTAATTTCTGGAGCTGCTAATGAGCAGGCCCCCCTCCGAAGCTCTAGGCACGGCCCCTTTTTCTGCAAGTCCCCCACCCCAGCCCCACTGTCCAGCTCTGAGCTCCTTCCATCCTGCCCCTGCTTTGTTTAAAGTCTCCCTCTAAGAAGAATCAAAGTCAGCCTGAGCTGTGCATGGCTCCAAAGGCCTCCTCTTCCACAGCAGGGAAGGCCAGGGCAGATTGAAGGACCCACTGTCCTACACCGTTGACAGTGGGTGGCTTGGGAACAGATCAGAAGCTACGTCGGTGGGGACAGGTGAAGTTGCTGAAGCAGCTCTGCCTGGGTGTGGGGTGGAGGCTCCTCCAGAAAAGGAATTGGTGTTGCTCATGGAGCCCTAATCTAATGAGTAAAGCTGGGCTGATTCATAAAATCCTTTCCGGGCACAATCGTTGCTCAGAGAGCTCAAGGGCATGGCCTCCTCAGAAGGTGGGAAGCTCCTTGTTCCTGGGGGGATTCAAAAAGAGCTACTGCACAGGGGTTGTGAGTAGAAGGAAGGATTGCTTTGGACAGGGAGTTTCCCGGCTGGCTTTGAAAGCTGTGGTGCTCCTGCTCCGATGCACAAGAGGCCCCACTGCACTCAAACGGGGAGGAGATGTTCAAATGAGGAGCCGAGCCTGCTCTCCCCCGGCCTAGCAGGCAGCAGCAAGGAGCATGCAGGGCCCCTGGAGCCACACTGCTGCCACTTGGGATCAAATGCTGGCTCTGTCACCTACCCGTCCTGTGACTTTGGATGAGGGGCTTTACCTCTCTGTGCCTTATTTCCCTCATTTATTCCAAACAAACAATAGCCATGAGAATTGCCACTCTATGGGGTTGTTAGAAGGATTCAGTTAATTGATATGTATGCAAAGTGAATTGAAAGATGGTTGTCACATAATAAGCACCATGTGGGCATCAGCTTCTGTGTGCCAGGCACTGTACTGGACATTTTTTATTTTCTTTTATCCCATCCTTATCAAAATTCTGAGAGGTAGTTCATTATTTTATAATTGAGGAAGCTGAGACTCAGAAGGATGCTGGAGGCCATGCAAGGTCACACAGCAAGTGGATAGGAGAGCCAGTCTCTTGACTGCTGGCTATCTGAGTAGACCCATCCTCCCCTCCCACCATCACCATCACCTCCTCCATCATCACCATCATCACCACTGCCATCACCATCAGCATCACCATCACCACCACCATCACCACCATTGCTACCACTGTCGCCATCAGCACCACCTCATCCACATCACCATCATCACCATCATCGTCACCATCATCACCATCATCATCACCATCACCACCATCACAATCACCACCACCTCTATCAAGCTGTCTCTATGAGAAGACAAAGACATTAGAATCTGATGGGGTCTCGGAGGCCAAGGCTGGGGCAGAAGGCCTCTTATTGTAACGGGAATAGAAATAGGCAAGTGTGAGAGCCAAAGGGATTGTTGTTCCTCTCGGGGCTCTAAAGGTGACATTTCTCATTGGTGATCATCAGTCACAGCAGCGAGCAGAGGCCCATACAGTGTGCTGAGCAGGCCAAAGGGGAGGGCAGTGGGAAGGGCTCCATCACCTTAGTCAGACCTGGCCTTGAGCCCTGCCTCTGCTACCTCCCAGGAGAGTAACCAGGAGCAGGTCACTCACCCTCTTTGAGCCTCAGTGTGTTTGTGTCACTGGGAATGTCAAAATCCTTCAGGAAGGCTGTTGAGAGAATTAAATGGAATCCACTGAAATTCTGGGCTTCAGGAGGGCAGAGGCTCTTGTCCTCTTGTCCTTTCTGTTCCCTGTGGCCTACTTAGGATCCAGGTGTAGTGGTCATGTCCCAGCAGATGGTGGACACCCAGGATGTGTTCATGCCCTCACTCCTCTGCTCTTTAGTGAGGCCATCAGCCTAATGATCATAACCTCCCAACAGAACACAAGCATCCCACAGTCACGATGGCATATTCCCTCTGTCCTGGCACACACTGTCCTGTGGCCAGACACCCTTGCACCATCATCCCTGTCCCTCATCTGCCATGTGACAGTCACAGCCACCATCTCTACCAAGCTACCACATCCTGCTCATTTAAGGGGTTCTAAAGGGTCTCCACACCCTTGCTCAACAGATGGATCATTCTACCCCACACTGGTCTTGTAGTTTACCCTTTCCCTTGACCATCTCTGCAGGGCACACTGTTGTGCAAAGATGGGAGACTGGGTGTCAGCCAAACTTGGGCTGGAATTCTGGGTATTAATGAGTTCTGTTACTTTGGAGCAGTCTCTTACTCTTGTAAGTGTTCGTCTTCCCTTCTGAGAAAATCAGAAGGGCTGCTGGAGGTCATGGTGTGTGAATGTGCTTGCCAAATCTAGGGATTCGGTAACTGACATGTCTTTCCTTTTTCTTTTCTTTCTTACACTAGCACCGCCTTAATCCCAAATGTTTGGAGGTATTTTTCAACACTGTTGAGCTCCTTGGAATAATGAGCTTGTTGGTTTTGAGGTGAACCAGGTAACAATCAGTCCACATGCTCTCTCATGGCACCCCAACTTTGAAGTAGAGTAATTAGCATCTTGCTAATTTTCTTGGTGAAAGTAATTTGTAAATCATTAAAGAGGGAGTCTCTTCTTAAAAGTTTTTAAAAAGAGAGAGACCTGTTGTGGAGGCATTGGGAGTATGTGTGTTTTCCTGAAACTTCCCAAGACAGCTCCCTCATGAGTCATTATTAGAGGATAGTATTAGAGGTTCAGACCATCTCTGAAACAAGGAGTTAGGGGAAGAAGAGTATGGGTTTGACATAGTTGCTGTCCCTGTTGTCTCCATTTGCTGCTCAGCCATTCTCCCTGAACCTGCTCCAATGGGGCCCTCGCCCCATCATTCAGGGCACCAATGACCTGTAGGATGCCAAACCTCACTATAAATGCTGCCCCTTCTTTTTTGAGACCAGGTCTTTCTCTGTCACCCAGGCTGGAGTGCAGTGGTGTGATCTCTGCTCACTGTAGCCTCTCCCTTCTGGGTTCAAGTGATTCTCTGCCTCAGGCTCCCGGGTAGTTGGGACTACAGGCACACATCACCACGTGCTGCTAATTTTTGTATGTGCATGTATATATATATATATACTTTTTTTTTTTGTAGTAGATATGGGGTTTCACCATGTTGGCCAGGCTGATCTCAAACTCCTGGCCTCAAGTGATCCACCCACCTTGGCTTCCCAAAATGCTGGGATTATAGGACTGAGCCACTGGGCATAGCCTGTTTCCCTTCTCATTTGACATTTAAGAATTGGTGCCTTGGACTGCTCCCTGCTGCGTGAAACACTCCCTCCACATACACTGCGGACCTCCCTCTCCCTGGTTCTCCTCCCACCTCACTGGCCACCCCTTCTCAGTCTCCTTTGCCGGCCACTCCTCATCCCCCGCATTTCAAGATTGGAGGCTGTGAGGGCCTAATTTGCAGACATCTCTCCTCTCTCTCATTCATCACTGAATGATCTCACTCACTCCCGATGCTTTAAACACTATCCCTGCTCCAGCAACTTCCAAATGGAAAGCCCCAACTGGGCCCCAAGCCTTGAAATCTGAAAGCTGAGCTTACAGATCCAGATGCTTGCTGAGCACCCATAGGACATCTCAGATGGAAAATGTCCACCATTGGACTCATGTTCTGTGGCTCCAACATTACAGCTGCACAGGGCAGAGCATTCACTTTCTAGACACTCCACATCTAATCTACCTTCAGATCCTGCCCAGTCTTTCAGGATAGATCCAGGGACTGGCTACCTCTCCTCTACCCCCACCACAAGGAACAAGTCACCATCATCCCTTCCCCCCGACCACTGTGGTGGCCTCCTGGCTGGCCTTTGCCTCCACCCTTTCCCTGTCACAGCCGGGCCCTCCCCCTGCTGCAGGGTGACACATCTTACCAGGGTCCATCAGCCCCAACCTGGGCCACTTCTACCTCATCTCACCATTGCTCTTCCCTTTGCTGAACTGTTCCAGCCATGTGTCCCCACTCTTCCTCACCTCCAGGTCCTTTCCCAGACCTCCCATGCATCACTCCCCCAATTCCTGCCTTCCTGTAGTTGCCTCCAATCCCCCCTTCCCCAAGTAGAGACATCCAACACCTCCAACCACCTGCTATGCTGTCCTCTCTTCCATCCCTGCCTTAGAGCTTCCCTACTACTGCCCCCACCTGCTGTCATCACACACATTTTGGAGACCCCAGTGCCTTATTTGATCAATTTCCATCTTTCTCACTGGATGGCAGATCCCTGAGGACAGCGAGCTTGTCACTTTGCCATTATTTTATGCCCAGGATCACTTCAGTGCCAGGTGCATACTGGGTGTTCATTAAACATGGGATGAAGGAAGGTTTGGTCTCAGAAGGTCTGCTGGCTGTCACACAAAAAGGCTGCAAGGGCTCTGCTGCCCCTGAGCTCCCCTTGCGCCTCCATCTCCTCCCCATCCTCTCCTAGAGAAAGCTCCACACAGTCTCTGGTGACACCTACTGGTGCTTGGTTCTTGAGCCATTCCCTGGGAGGGAAAGGAGGTCTGAGGAACCCTTGGGCCATTTGAAGTCATGGGTGATGGCTGGCACCCAAAGTCCTTGTTGGACAGGTAGCACTCATACATAGTAACAACCATGAGCAGCGCCTGCTGCTACCTGGCAGAGTGAGCTCTCCATTGCTCTGAATTCCAAACTCGGCCTTGGGCCACGAGGCTCTCCATGGCATGCATGGCATTTTCCCATTCCTCTCCTGTCCCTCTCGTCCTGCCACTCTAGCTGTGGGGCTTGGACCCTCCTCACCCTCATGATAAGCGAAGCCTCTCCAGGCTTAGGCTTTTCCCTGCTCTTCCCATGGGTGGACTGGTCTCCTTCTTAGCTCTCAGCTCAGATGTCACTCACCTTAGAGCTCTTCCCAGACCAGCTTATCCAGCATCTGTCCAGTGTCCCCGCTCCCAAAGCCCCATCACGTTGCAGGCATATTTCCTCCATGGCACAGCCTGCACACCATGGCTGACTTGCCTCTCTCTGTTGGCTTCTGTGCTGTTCTGTGTTGCTCTCTGCCTCCTCCACTAGCACGGGAGCACCAAGAGGGCAGGAGCCACTCACCTGTGTGTTCATGTGTTTGCACTTGTTCCTTGCACTGAGACGTGTGCCAGGCACTTGGCAAATATGTGTTGGGTAAATGAAGGGATAAATAAATGAGCACTTACTAGATGCCAGGTTTCATGCTGAGAACTTCCCATCCACTGTCCATCCTATTTAACCTTTAGGACAACTGTGGATGGAAAGGGGAGGGACTTTCGCCTCTGTTTTTGAGTTTGGAAACAGACACACAGGGGGCAACTGACATGGAAGAGGTGAGGTCTGTCTGACCCCAGAGCTTCCTCCCATCAACCTTGGAGCTCGAGGTTCTTTCCCCTGGTCTTGTCCTTTTTTGGCTTCTCTGTACTCTGGTGCACAGCTCACACTTGGCTGGGAGAGGACAGATGGCCCTGGCAGGCCCTTACCTTGTTACTGTTTCTTGTGCCTCATCAGTCTCCAAACAAAGACAACTGCATCCCCGGCTCCCATCAGGAAGGGCCCAGCTGTGCCGGAGCCCCACCCCTCATTCTTCGTGCCGCATCTTTCTGAGTTAGGGACAAGGAAGGGAAGGAGGGAGGTGGCCCTGATCTCCTGGGCCAGTGTTCGCAGCTGTCAGCAGGTCCAGGGGGATTTTCCTTTCTGGCGATATTTTGTCTACTGCATATGTCACACAGACTTCCTGTGAAACACTTGCATAAACATTTTCACAAAACACCTGGCACTCTGACCATGCCCTCTCTCCTGCCTAAAGGATCTGGGAGATGTGGATTGAACAGCCAGAGGATCTGGGCCTTCTGGGGAGGCAGCTGGTGCTGATACACTCTGGCCTAGAGGAGAAATGCAAGCCAGGAATCTCCAGAAAGTTCTGGAACAGGTGGTGGAGGTGGAACTGGGCATAAGAACCCAATGTCTGAACCCTGAGTTGTCTTCATCTTCTCACAGGGTGCACACCATGGCCCTGAGATGTGGTTAATAACAATTTCCTCCCGCTTTCAATTACTAGGAAAGTTACTTGTTCACCTGTAAAATATGGATAATAGTATCTGCCCTGCAAACCATGAGGAGGATTAAAAGAGAGCCTGTGTGTAATGCTGACATTACACACAGCGATTGGCTGGTTATTATTCTATCACAACCAACGTGGCTTCCAGTGCAGAGATTGTGGATAGTGGTTAAGAGCTCAGATGCCTACATCTGACTCCCTGGGCTCAGTTCTGTGCCACTTGTCAGCTGTGTGATGTTGGGTAAATTACTTAACCTCTCTGAGCCTTGGCTTCCCGTTGCATAAGCCAATGAATCCTATAGGTACAGGGTGAGGAAGACCCTTCTACAAGTCAAGACTCTTAAAAGGCAAAATGGGCTGCTGTAGAAAGTAGCAAACTGACCATCTGCTGGTCCAGGCTTTGGAGACACACAGACCTGAATCCCTATTGGCTGGGTGACCTGAGGCAGTTGACCTGGCCCTTGGAGAGGCTGCATCATGCAGTGGCCAAGAACTGGGTGCTGAAGCCATCATGCTGACGTTGCCACCTGCAAGCTGTGTGGCCTTGGGCAGTTGACTAACTTCTTTATGCCTTTCTTTCTACAGGAAGAAGTTAGTCCCCCTTTCTTTCTTTCTCTAAATAATAGCACCTACCTCGTAAAGCCATGGTAAGGATTCAATTAAATGTGTTAATGTATTCAACATGCTTGGAACAGCGTCTGGTGCACAGCAAGCCACCTACATGTGTCTGCTGCTTATGGAGATAACTACATCCTTCCAGCAGAGCAGCCAAGAGGCTCAGAAACAATCCACATGGCATTCCCAGTGCAGGACCTAGCCACGCGGGCGCTCAGTCCCTGGGAGCCATGACAGTGTAATCCTTATGAACATGATCCTTGGGCCCTTGTGTCTGCCATGTGTCTGTCGCCTGTCTGAAATGGAGATGCGTGGAAAATTCCTTGGCTGGCCTCGGAGCAGCGGAGGAACTGGACCTTGTGTCTGCTGGGCTTCTGCTTCAGCTCTTCCCTCCTCCGCCTCTTCCACTTGGATGTCATACATCTTGTCTGTGGTTAGCTGCACTCAGCAGCGGCCGCTGCGAGGTGATGGATGAGCCGTGATTGCTTCCTGTCTGGTATCCGGCAGGGCTGCCCTGGCATCCTTCCCTTGTTTCTACTGCTCCTGCTGATCTAACATGGGGCCACCGTATCTCTTCCTAGATGCTAGATTTAGGGAGGCATTTATTCAAATACAGAGACATTTCTCCTGTCTGATGAGTTTCTCATCTTGGACTCAGTTTTTATATCTGTGTAATGGGAAGAAAATCTACCTTGTAGGATGGTTGTTGTGAGTTAAATCCAAAGCCAGATGATTGACACACACACTGGGTACTCAATAATTGCATGTACCCTCCGTTCCCAACTGGAAAAACTCTTGGCCGAGAGCCAGGGGATGACAAGGCTGTGTGTTCTGCAGACAGAACCATGGTTGCGTCAACATAGAGCACGAGGACATCAGACGCCATATTGTGCAAGCCCTTTTCCTCCCCTAATGGACAAACAGGTGCCCCCCTTTTGCCATTTGGTAAACTGAGGCCAAAAAAATGGACGTGTTTTTCCAGGAAGACCACAGTAAATTCGTGGTGTTTTCCCTTAGAGCAGCAGCTCTGATCAATCAATAGGCTTCCGGTGAGAAGGAACGCATGCTGTGTGAAGAGATACCTTTTTTCTCTTCAGAAGTCTAGAATGTTCCACTTACCTAGAGAGTGAAGGAAAATGATTGTCAGGGGGTAGACAATAAATGGACTTTAAGGAAGCAGTGTCTTTGTCATTAGATGTTTTCGTTTTTGTGTTCTCATGTTTTCAAAAAGGAAAATCAACCAGTGAACCAGCCAAGAACAAATTCAATCCACATTTTTAACTCCTATGAATTTATCCTTGCCCTTAATTTAGAACTACTTCTTATGCTGCTCCTGAAGGATTACCTGAGAATTCCATATTTATTGGGATAGAGAAGGTAACTCAGTCTGTATTTCCTTTACCAAGGAAGTAATGCACCACTTCTCACCACCCTCATTAATTGTCCTTAGACATCCAGAAAGAGAATCTGACCTTCCAGCTGGTTACACTGGCATATCAGTGAGGCCCATAGGAAGGAAATGCATGCAAATTTGGAATGCACTCAACTGCAAGTGAAGAAAACCCATATATGGTGGCTTAAACAAATAGAAGTTTTTTTTTTTTTTTTAATCTTATGCCTCCCACCTAGGATTGGAATTGCTTGTTTGATATTTCCTCCATTCTCCTAGACAGTCCCCCAAACATTATGTTTCATATGCAAAGGAAGAAGAAAGGAAAGTAAACTCACCACCCCATCCACTTATCTATCCCTTACATCAAGGAAACCAAAAGCTTTTTAAGCAATCCTTTCCTTTATCCACAGCAAGCTTTGGTTATTTGTTTCCTTGGACAGCCCTGAATCACACATCCATCCCTAGCTGCAAGTGAGACTGGAAAGGTGGGGAATAGAATAATCATAATTGACTTAGACCAAACAGCTACAGTGTTTCTCCATGGGCTGAAAACTCTGTCTTTCTGAACTAAGGTGGCATTATTTAGCAACAAAGAAGTGGGAAATGGATATGGGGCTGATAACAAATGATGCCTGCTACACCTCCAGGGCAGGAGCTCAAGGGCCCATGAAATACTCTCAGTGGCTCATCAAAATCATAACGAACCCCATGCCTGGGAGGCTCCCCATTCCACCAGTCAGTGTTTACTTCTCAGCTCAGTTGTCAGAAGTCATTTCTGCTCAACAGCTGAAGGCCTGTTATGGGTTTGGAGCTAGAAAGACAGTGGCCATACAGAGGTGAGCTGAGGTCCAACCAGGTCTGAAGACTCCCACTCCCTGGGGAGACAGACATGCCCATTAGTGACTTCAGTATGGTGCCCTCAGCTCTTGGACACTGGGACCTGACGAAGGGCTCCCTACCCAGGCTGGGATAAATGGAAACAAGCCCCTGGGGTTGTTCAAGGCTGAGCAGTCTCTAAGATCCAGGAGGAGGAGCCCTGGGAAGCATGGAGACAAAATGACTCCCAGTAGCACTGATCCTTTCTTTCACTCACGTGTTTGGAGTCTGTTCCTGTTAGTCAGCCCTGCAATGCCCTGAAGGCAGGGAATAGGATGTCTCTCTCATCCACTTCTCTGACCCTAGAGGTAGCTCAATGCTTGGAACATATCTGGAGCTCAGTAAAGAATTGAGTTTGAATAGATGAGTGAATACAGAAATAAACAGATCATTCTCCAAGATGTGGGGATATCTTGGCCAAAAAGAAATGCAGAATGGCTTCCAATTATAGGCTAAGAGGAGCCATGGATGCTAACCCTACCTCCTTGCCAAGCAGGTGGACCCTGAGGACCCCACCATCCCCAGGAAGGCTGGCTGGAGGGCTATTTTGGAAGCTATTTGTTCTGACTTAACCAACTCAACTATAAACTGCCCCTCGAGCCTGGTGAATGTGTGAGGCTTAGTGATGGCCCCAGAGGGAATTTGCAGGTTGTTTTGAGAAAGATTTCTTAAAGCAATTTGAGCAAGTTCTATCTTTGAGTAGAATCTCCATCATTTCTGTGTGCGTGGTCCTCCCCTTGGGAAATTTGCAGAGATGTGACTCAATGGAGCAGCCTACTCTGAGGTCCAGCCGCCAGCCTCCAGAGATTTGCTCATCATCAAAGATAGATAGAACCTTCTGAGTCAACTCGTCTTAAATTTTAAACTCATTAAAATGACACGCAATTCCCAGCCTGTCTCTCTGGCAGGCTGCCAAACTTAAAGCAATTGATCGTCACCCCACAGCTGCTGCTGTCCTGGGTAGAGCTGTCTAAATATTGTGCTGTGCCTGTACCCATTCCTGTATGTAGTGCTAGACAGACAGCTTGGTACTGTTTCCAAAATAACCCCTTCCATGATGCTTGTCAGACCTGGTGGTGCCTTTGAGGATAAACATTAAAAATACCTCCTTCCAAATCAGGAAAGATCTCATTTGTTCCCTGCACTGAGACACTTATACCCTCAAATATGAGAAGAGGCCATTGTATATGGAACTAATGGGGTGGTGGAGCTGCCTAATAATGTGTGATTATAATAATAATGTGTGATAACCAAATTGCTTCATGGGCAGGGCTGGGTCTTCAGGGAGATAAGTGAGGTGCTTTGGGTGCTAAATTTATGAGAATACAGAACCTCCTTACAGCCTTTCAGTGCTGTTGTGGGCATAATCTTGCCCAATCCTCAAAGCAGCCCTGTGACAAATGTGTGCATATTAATATCTCCCATGCCACAGGTGCCCACGCTAAGACACACAGATTAAGAGACTTCTCTAAGCCACAGAGGGTAGGCGGGAGTGTAGTCAGCATGGACTCAGCACATTAAAATTCAAAGTTAATGCTCTTTCTGAAATTGTTAGAGGGACTGAAAGAGTTCATTTTTCTTCCAACTTTTTATTATTTATTTATTTATTTATTTATTTATTTTTGAGGTGGAGTCTCATTCTGTCACCCAGGCTGTCATGCAGTGGCGTGATCTCAGCTCACTGCAGCCTCCGCCTCCGCCTCCCAGGTTCAAGCGATTCTCCTGCCTCAGCCTCCTGAGTAGCTGGGGTTACCAGTGTGCACCACCATGCCCGACTCATTTTTGTATTATTAGTAGAGCCGGGGTTTCACCATGTTGGCCAGGCTGGTCTCGAACTCCTGACCTCAGGTGATCCCCCCCCGTCTTGGCCTCCCAAAGTACAGGCATGAGCCACCACACCTGCCCTTCTTCCAACTTTTTAGAAGTGAGGATCCATGAAGACTTTAACATATTTATGTAATATTGTATAATAATTTTTTATTGTATGACTTACTCAATTGCTTTTGTATAACTGAGTTTTACTTGTTTGGAATTTGCCTGTTTATGTAATTGTACCTGAAGCTCCATCAGATGACTTATGGAACATCTTTCTGGTCCGTCCCTGCACACAATTTCCATTTCATTGACATCCTACTGACTTGGAGGTTTCATGTATATGTGCATGCTTTCCTTTTTTTTTTTTTTTTTTTGAGATGGAGTCTTGCCCTGTCACCCTGGCTGGAGTGCAGCCACGTGATCTCAGCTCACTGCAAGCTCCGCCTCCCGGATTCACACCATTCTCCTGCCTCAGCCTCCCGAGTAGCTGGGACTACAGGCGCCTGCCACCACGCCCGGCTAATTTTTTGTATCTTTAGTAGAGACGGGGTTTCACCGTGTTAGCCAGGATGATCTCGATCTCCTGACCTCGTGATCCGCCCGCCTCGGCCTCCCAAAGTGCTGGGATTACAGGCGTGAGCCACCGCGCCCGGACATGTGCATGCTTTCCTAAATGAGGTTCCCTCTGCCTGTATCACCTTTTGGTCTTTTGTCTATCAGGCTAAATCTTACAGTTCTTTCAAAAAGAATCTTTCCAGGAAAGCTTCTCTGTCCTCCTGCGTTAGATTAGTTATTGTATCTGTGTCCTGAACCCCCCAGCAGCAGGCACATGTATCTACAACTTATTCCGCTATGTTGTTAATATTGATGTCCGTGTCTGGCTCCCTCGGACAAGGCTGTGAATTCCTCATAGACAGGAAGAAAGCCTTGTTCATATTTCACCCCAGTACAGAACACAGTATTTGCAGAGTTGATGCTTAACAAATACACAGGAAAATGAAAACATGAGTGAGTGCGGAGATGCCAGCTGCCTCTGCATCTTCTCCAGGCATTGAACACCTCACATGCTGCAAGGCAGGGTGGGGTCTTGTGTGCTGTCATATTTCACAGGGTGACGATGGGTCACATTTTCTCATCAGTCTCTGTTTCCTCTTGCTTTCCTCAGATGTGCTCTGTCCTAGCGTTCGTGTAGAAGGAGATCGCTTTAAGCACACCAATGGAGGAACCAAGGAAATCACAGGTAAGGGAAAAACAATAACCACGTGTGCTTGCTTTGGTGTATGATTTGCTGAGCCTGAGCATGACCCTAGTCAATTCAGGGGTGGCCTCACTGACCCTGTTCTTGTTCCCATATTTCACCAGAGTCCTGATAAAGTGGTTTGAATCGTGCAGGTGGCAGCTCTCATCAAAGAACCATCCAACAGGAAAGAACATACATTCACATTTTCCATTTGGCAGGCTGTGGATATTCTATAGGAGTCACTCAATAATGCATGAGAATGAATGAGTTTGTAAAGAAGCTGGTGAATGAGTAAGCAAATGATTGGCAAAGTGAGCAAACGACTGAATAAATAAATGTGTTTTGGAGTGAAAGCGAGAGTGAATCAGAGTTATAAATATATGAGTGAATCAATGGGTGAGAGAACAAAGAGACACGTGACTGCAGACCCAGCAGCAGAAAGAAATACCGCAGAGTCTCACCAAAGGCTGTCAGGCATATGACAGAATAGAAGGCTGCGAGGGTGCGGGGTATGGCCGAGGTGGTTCCCCACCATCCCAATTACCCGAACATGGATCCAGTCCTCCCTGTGGCCGGGCACCCTGCTCAGCACTTTAAATACATATGGCAAAGAAGTTTTCTTCTCTCCCAACTCCCAACCAGGAAGCCACTGCAGAACAGCAGCCCTGCTCTTCTTGCCAATGCCCCTGGGTTTGGTGTCTCTCCTCTCCCTCCTGCATCATCTTGGGTCCAATTCTAAGCACTTATGTGTCCCCATCCTAGCAGGGAGCCATGTGAGGTCAGGACGAAGTGTTTGGAAGGTACTGCTGGGACCCTGCTTGCATCCCAGGGACCTTGCCATGTCACCGTGCTCTGCTGTCTTAAAGATGCCAGCATCTGCATCTTGTGCCTGGGGGATTTTTCTGGAATGGTGGAAGGCTGCTCTGCCTATGTGCACAGTGGGAGAAAGGTGCCAGGGAGTGAGCACCCCCCAGGAGCAGCTCCTAACCAGTGACCCTTGGTATAGAAGCACCCGGCTCTACTGCTCCTTAGGTGGGATTATTCTGAAGTCCACATTTGACCCCGTTTCCCAGAGTTTCCTAGGGGCAGTCATCCACCAGGGTAACTGGCCTCATGCCATACTCTATCAGCTGCTTTCTTTCCCTGAATCCTGCCTCTACTCCCTGCTCAAGCACCTCTCCAATAAACTACTGGCACTTTCAGAGGAAACCAAACAAAGTGATATTCTCGAGGTGGGGCACCTGCTGCGTAGCTGGTGCCCAGTGGGGTGCTATCACTGTCAGGGTTTATTTGTCTAATACATGAGATAAAGGTGACTTTCATCTTCTTCACTTTGTTAACCTAATTTCCTTGAAATAAGTGTATTTATATCTGAGCTATTGGGCTGCTGCAAAAATAATTGTGCAAAACTTTAATGGCAAAACCATAATTACTTTTGCACCAATGCAATACTTTGCCAAGGTGTAAACCTTCTGGTCAGTTTCACTTCAACATTCCCACTTTTTGCCTTGGTAATCCCCAGCGAGGCTCTGGCTCTCGGATAATCTATTTTCTATCCACTGGAGTGTGAATGTGTCTGCGCAACTTTTCCCTGAGACCCCTCCCATTGATATTCGTCTTCAAAGCAAATTCTTACCTTACTGCATTATATACCTGTGGCTTTGGGAGCCGTGAGTCCTTCATAGCAGTATCACCCAAGTAATTCATTATCTAACACACATATCCATAGAAAGGAATCATTATGACAATAGTGTGGTTAATAAAATCATAGTAATAATGAATGCCTCCTGAGCATTTACTGTGTGCCAAAGGGTTTGCACGCATTTCCTCATTTACCCTCACAGCACATGAGATGCACTCCTCTATATGTTATATGGGACACACTGTTGTACATTTTACAGTTGGAAAAACTGAGGCACAGAGAGATTGAGCCACTTGCCTGAGTTTGTGGCGGAATGAGGATTTGCACTCAGACCACCATTCAGCAAAGCCCACATTTGCCACTGTTTTGCCACATCAAGTGGCCAGTCTTGGAGCTTGGACTGTACAATGTGTATTTCTAGGTAACTGATTCAACAGAGTGAAGAACTGAAAGCCGTATTTGTCTTAAAAATCAGGCAAACTTACCCAAACCATCAAAAGTTACTCTCTTTTCCTGCCATAGGAAGGGAAAAATAGGCTGCGTTGCAATATTCAGAGCTCTTCCCCATGGACTGGCCACTCCCAGACATAGCACTTTTGCTGTCATTGCATCTACTTGGTGGCTGGAAGAGTTGAAAGAAAATTGCACTTCCTTTGCTGCCCCCAGGCCCATCCAGACCACTGTTGTCTTTCCTTTGGAGTTTTGTAGCATCTCTAATCAGCATGTCAACCTCCAGCACTGCCCTCTTCCCTCCTCTTCGTCAAGGGCTGTCTTTCTAAAACCTGGATTCCTTGGCTCCTAGAATCTAGTCCATGCTTCCTACTCTGCAGAAGAGGTTCTGACTCTTCTGTCCTAGCTTACTCATGAATCTATTGGAATGCTTGCTAGCCCCCAAAGATGCAGTACTCCCCTTAGCTGATGGTATTACCTCTGTGTGGTGTGTCCATCCCCAACTTATTCTCACAGTGAGCTCCTATTCATCCCCCAAAGCCCAACTCAACAGTCACCTCCAGGAAACTGCTTGAAGCCCCACAGGGCAATTAGTTGCTCTTTTAACATTTTATTCTATTCTGAGAACTCCAATCTGAAGGCATTATAATGATTTGCGTCCCTGTCTACCTCCCCAGCAAGCATATGAGCTGTTTGAGAGCAGGACTTGTTTATACTTGGGCTTTATTCTTTGTGTCTTAAGAGTAGAGGACCGTACCTGACACTTAGAAGGAATGTGACAAATGTTTGTGAAATGAATGGATGGATATATGAATGAATTAGTGAAAATAAGAAACATTAATCAAAGGATGAAAACATGAATGGTTGGATGGGAGGCTGGATGGAGGGATGGACAAAATGATGGATGGAAGAAGGAAGAAAGGAAAGGAGGGAGAAAGAAGAATGGAAGGAAGGAAGGCAGACAGACAAATGAACAAACAAACCTGCCTGCATCATCTGTAACTCAGCATGAATTTAAAGCTTTTCTTGTCATTCTGTAGGCTGAAGAATAGCAATTATTTTCTACTTAAGAATAATTCTGGCTGGGTGCAGTGGCTCACGCCTGTGATACTAGAGCTTTGGGAAGCCAAGGCAGGTGAATTGCTTAAGCTCAGGAGTTCAAGACCAGCCTGGGCAACATAGTGAAACCCCATCTCTACAAAAAATACACACAAAAAAATCAGCCAACTATGGTGGTGCGTGCCCCATCTCTACCAAAAAATACCCATGAAAAGATTAGCCAAAGCTGAGGTGGGTGGTTCGCTTAAGCCCAGGAGGAAGAGGTTGCAGTGAGCTGAGATCACGCCACTGCACTCCAGCCTGGGTGACAGAGCAAGACCTTTTCTTAATAATAATAATAATAACTGATTCTTGCTGGGAAGATTCAGGAGCGCGTGTGTGTGTGTGTGTGTGTGTGTACTCACACATGAAAATGCAGGACTTTGAACAGATTTCTTAGTCTACGACATATGTGGAGGATCCTTTCAAAGAGTCTGTTTGGTGACCGGGACCCTCTATTATGGGCCCTCCTGTGTCAGTCCACAGCCAGAGGAGTCCTGAAGCCTCCCCTCCCTCTTTGGAGTCTCCCTGGAAAAGAAATCACAATGTCAGCTGGGCATCCTTCAGTCTGAAGAGCAAATACTGTTTGTGCAGTTCTGAATGCACAGAGAACCTGCTTTATCTACCGTCTCCTCTAATTATAACCAGCCCCGAAAAACCGCTCCAGCCATGTTCAGGCTGAAGAGGGAGTTGTGGAGAGATGGAGCCTCAAATTTGCCAATTTAAATGCCATTGGGTAATAGGGACAGCTTCTGTATTCTGGAAAAAATGCAGTCCCCAAAAGCCTCACCTCCAGGCTTTCCCATAAATGACTCTGGCTATTTTTAGGGCATATCTGGGCTGGGTCTGGGAGCACGAGGATGAGAATAGACGCAGGAGATTGGAGGCATAGGTCTTAGATGGCCCTGCTGCTCACCAGCCAGCCAACCTTGGGTCAATCTTTTGACTTCTCTGAGCCTCAGTTTCCTCACCTATATAACAGTGGATCCTACAGAATGTCTTCAAGAGTCCCTCTCAGCTCTAAAAACCAAATGTTCTACAAATTCTAGCCAATAAAAGCGTTAGGCAACTTTTCTAGAAGTTTAGCTACTTAATGCTTAAAGCATATGTTAGGCATGTGCAGGTCTCAAATTTGGCCACAGACATCCTGGATGTCTCTCTCTTCCCACTTGGGCCCCCCATCCAGATAATCACCAAGTCCTGCCCATGATACCTTCTAAACCGCCCTCCAATTCAACTGCTTCTTCCATCCCTCCCTCCTCACCTGCCCTCATCTCACTCACCTCATCTCTGCCCTCCAGTTCCCAGCTGGAACTCTGTGTGGGAGCAGAGTGCCTTGGGCTGCGTTAAACATTGCAAATGCCCAGTGTGCATTGTACCTTTACCTACTCCTGGCTGGTCTTGCCCCTCCATGCCCTGCTGCCAGAATGACCTTGGAAAATAGAAACCAGATGGTATTTCTCCCTCACTTTAAAGCCCTCTGTGGCTCCTCATTGCCTGAAGAAAGAAACCCAAACTCGCCGATGGAGCCGACAAAAGCCCAGCCTGACCGGCACCAGCCCACCCTATTCCCAGCCAGTGTACCCTCGCCGTGGGTCCTGACATCCCACAGTAGCCCAGATGCTTGTTCATGATGGCAACCTGAGCAGCCCACGCAGCATCTAACACATAGGAGGCCCTTTATAGTGGGTCATGAATTCCTTCATTCTCTTCTTCTCTCCTTCCACAAATGACCCTCAAATGCTTGAATAGGAACAGCAAAAGCAGCAGGCATTTTAAGGATGGAGAAACAGATCAAATCATCCCTTTCCTGAAAGAGCTCTCCATCTACTGGAGGAGGCAGCCCCATAAACATAAGCTGCCTGCATCTTACCCAGACCCATGGAAACTCCAAGAGGAACTAAGGCAGCTAAGGGGGTGGGGGAGGGCAGCAGCAAAGTTCCATCCAGGTCGACCTTTGCTGGATGAGGTGAGGAGCACACAGTAGGTACCTGGCACAGCAGGTGCAGCCAGTGACCTGGGCCATCACTAAGGTCTTCTGACACCACGTGGTCCAGCGGCTTCCCTGGCTTCAGCGAGGTGCTCCCTCTATTTTTTGCATAAAACAATTGCTTTTTTTTTATCTCACAGTGCCTTGCATCACAGCCTGCTTTCCTCGGGAACATTTTTTATTCTCCTTCCCAGCCCTTATTTATTTTGGGCAATTTATCTTTTTTTTTTTTTGGTGCCCTTTGCTGCCACCTAGTTAATTCCTTGTTGTTCCAAGTTTTGTTGTATTCAACTCTTTGTTTTTGTTCACTGAAACCAATAAAAGTGGAACCAGAAAGTAGAGCATAGGCTTGCTTTTTGAAAACAAGTCTATTTCATATATTCTCTCCAATATGACTGCTGAAGGGAAAAGCAGATGAAGGTGTCCATTTTTAGTGGTGTTTGATGGTGCTGTGAAGTAGAGGATCGGCCCACTTTGCAGTTCCCGGCCCTGACTTTTCCCAGGGTAGGCACGTGTCCGCCCAGATTCTGGACCAGCTCTTAGGCTCTCCTCACTCCCCCTCATCCCTCAGTGAGTGTGTGAGGGGCTGCTGAGGCCACCTGTGAGCCTCCTCTGAGTAAGAGCCCTCACTCCCCATGAGCCTCCAGGGACCCCACCTCTGTGAGATTCCTCAGGTGGCCCTGAGAAGTGGCTGCCTATCCCCTTTGCACAGATGACAAATGGGGGCTTAAGGGGCTGAGAAATTGCCCCAAAGCCGTGGAACTGCTGAGTCTGAGAACAGGGACAGGAACCCAGGTGTGGCCGGCTGCGGTGCTCTCTTTCCCTCCACGCCACTGCTTCTGCTGCCTCAATTACACTGGCTGCTGCTTTTCTTCAGCAGCGACCCCCTCCCCCAGCTCCCACCTCAAGAACTCCCAGGTGCTGTCTGTGCCCCTCCTCAAGGTGACAACCCTGCAAGGCACGTCCTCACCCCTACATCACTGAGGAGGAGGCCACCAGGACACGTCCCACCTCTGGCCAGGGCTGGGCCAGGTTTTGAACCTAGAATGGGCTGGTCTCAAAACCTGTTCTCACCTATTCTGCCTTTCTCTGGGACAACATCTAATCCTAAGCAGACTGTACACTTTAGGCACCAGTTTCATGGAACCCTGGAACCGCAGGGCCCTCCAGGTCTTCATGGCCAAGCTCCCCCATTCAGAGGCACCAGCCCCTCCCACTGCTGGGGCTCCTCAGGCCCCAGGACACTTCCAGACACAGAGGCCCCAATACAGGGGCAGCCCGGTGGGTTGTCAAAGGCCCCTTGTTGTATGGGGCCCAGTCAGTTCCAACAGCTGCTCCTCACTGGGCCTGCCTGGGAGCCCAGAGCTGTGGGGACTCTCCATGCTTCTGTCCCCAGGCGATGCTGAGACTGCAGCCTCTGGGGCATTGAGGTCCTGTTCAGGTGGGCTGGGGGCTTTGTCAACAGCAGTGCAGGGGAGAGATGAGGGACAGGGAGTGCTCCCAGCATGCATTTGGTGAATGTCTCCCAATGTCTGGGTGACTGGCCTCGTCCAACTTGGGATCTCTCGGGGACTCCCCAGGACTCCCTCTCCGGTAGGTGTGGCGGCTGCTCCCAGTCATGCACTCTGGAGGCCTGGTCCTTATAACCAGAGTGAAAGAGGTGGGGCTCTGGGGTGGTGGCAGAGCTATTGCCAGGGGACCAAGCTTCACTTGGGTCAACAGGTTCCCACTGTGGTCCCCAGGCAGGGACAGTGGGGTTGACCGAGTAACTCCTGGGTGCTGGCTTCCCCCCAGGTATTTAATCCCATCATCACACTTAGGTCTCATGACACCCCTGCAATAAATCATTCTCTCCATTTTTCCAGTTACGGAAACAGGCTCAACAAAACCGGATAACTTCCTCACTGTCCCAGCTGGAACTCTGTGTGGGAGCAGAGTGCCTTGGGCTGCGTTAAACATAATAGATGCCCAGTGTGCATCGTACCTTTACCTGGGATTAACCCCATGGCTTTGAGTAGGAACAGCGGCTGTTCTGTTAACTCCCATCTCCCAGCATACTGAACGGAGGGATTCTTCACTGCGTACAATTGCACATTCAAATTAACTGTTATGTAAAAAATGCAGTTTGACTGGGACTCTTCCCAGCCATGGCAAGAATTGGGGGAAATATGATCAACAGTTTTTGGTGCTAAAAACACAAAAGATGATCAAATTGTACCCATTATCCCAGTTTACAGATGAGACTGATAGAAAGAAAATGACTCAGCCAGGATCACAGGATATTGGTGTCAGGGAGACCCACCCACCTGTCCATGCCGCATGTTTATCTAGAGTTTGTGAGGGTTTAGAGGAGTGATCATGTTCTCATTCAAGGTGAGGGACCCATTAGAGCATCCAGCATTTAGTGAGCAACTGTTGTGTTTCAGGCATGTTCCTACATTTTCTCATTTAAAACTCAAAGTGATTTTCCAAGACGTGAATGTCTAATAGTAGAGTCAGAATGTATTGCCACTGGCAGACAGGCAGACACTGTGCAGGGCCATTGTCCTGTCCAGGCCTGATGACTGGTCTTTTCCTTTTCCTTTTCCTTTTCCCTTTCCCTTTCCTTTCCTTTTCTTTTCTTCTTTTTCTTTGCAACAGAGTCTCTCTCTGTCGCCCAGGCTGGAGTGCTGTGGTGCGATCTAGGCTCACTGCAACCTCTGCCTTCTGAGTCCAAGCAATTCTCCTGCCTCAGCCTCCCAAGTAGCTGAGATTATAGGAACCCACTACCACCCCTGGCTAATTTTTATATTTTTAGTAAAGACAGGGTCTCACCATGTTGGCCAGGCTGGTCTTGACCTCCTGACCTCAAGTGATCCACCTACCTTGGCCTTCCAAAGTGCTGGGATTACAGGCGTGAGCCATTGTGCTTGGCTGACTGGTTATTCTTAATGTCCCATTTGGTGGATGAAGACATGAGGTCCAGAGAGGTTGAGTAAATTACCTGAGAGCTGGCAGGGAGAGAAAGTGTGGGAACAGGGATTTGCATGTAAATTGTTATCATAGCCCTTACTTGTCTACTACACTGTTATTATTATCCCAATTTTACAAAACTGCAGAAGAAATAAGCCCAGAGAGGTTGAGGCTCGTACTCAAGGCCACACAGCTCATTTGTAGGACTTCAGTCAGGAGTATCTGGGTATCTGGTCCACGTGCTGGGTGTTCTCTCCCCCACACAGTCTCTACCAGGGACCAAGGCTGCGTTACAGCTCAGAGTGAGGCCCTATGTTCAGTTTGACAAATCTGCACTGTGGGCCAGCCCTGCAGGTCCTGAGGGGGATAGGGTGGCGAACTCAGCAAGCTGGGCCCTGTCTTCAAGCAGCTGGCGGGTCAGGAAAGCTGGCCTCACTCAGCCTGTGCCTAGTGGCAGCCTCTCAGCTGGATCAACCCATGCACCACAGGGGACCTCAGTTGTGGGACTGTGGGTGCCTGTTCCCTCCCACAAACCAACCGTCTCCAGAGATGCTGAATCACTCACACTAGTGTGTGTAAACAAGCACGGTTTGGAGGGGTGCTTTTTCCATCTATAATGAAGCTTCTGAATACTGTTCGCATCTTTAGGACCCAATATCATTTAACAATTATATCATGAATTCCATTAAATAGCCTGTGTGTGAAATGCTATTTAAAAATGACATAATGGCAGCTCTTAGTCATTTTCCAAGAACTTGACAACCTCAGGATGGCAAAGGGCAGGGAACGGTCCAATCCAAAAAGTGCAGGGTTTCAATCCCAGAGCAACCTTGCCCTGCTCAGAACCCCCTTCCCAGACCATCGCAGGCCAGAGCAGGCCTCTACCTGGTAGCTTCCTCCCGGAGCGCCTTCCCTGTCGCCCCAGCTCTGTTCCTCTCCAGTGCCGCCCCTGCTCACTGACTCTTCATGCCTGGAATTGTATTGCACACTTGCACTGTGCATTTTCTTATTTCTGGGGTCCCCACAAGTTCCAGTTCTCCTGGAGCCAGGATTTTGTGTTGGTGCCTGCTCCAACCCTGGAGCTCACAGGGCTTGGCATATTGGAAGCTCTCAAAAACATCTACTGAATAAATACATGACATCTATGGACAGAATTTAGCATTAGAGGATGCTGTAATTGTGATGAGAAAACAGTAAATATAAAAAGTGCTTTGTTGGTGATCTACTGTATGTCAGGTACTGTATGAAGAACTTTGTATCATTTAAGTCTCACAGCAATGACGTACATTCGAAAATAATCCCCTTTTTACAGATGAAATAAAGCCAGTGCTCAGAGATGTCAGGCAACCTGCCTAAGGTCACCCAGCAAAGATATAGTGATTAGGATCACCACCCAGATCTGTCCGGTTCTAATACTCAAACTTTATGTCAGGACTACCTGCTTCCCTCCCTGACATTTCTTACACAATGCTTGGCGTGGCCCTGGCTCTCAAAAGCATGAATGAATAAATAATCTCTTTGGGCAGAATTTAGTGGTAAAAGAGGCTAAGAGGCTTTAATCATTATGTTAGTCCTACAAGTCCATTTCCTGTTTTTTTTTTTTTCTTTTTCTCTTTTTTCAGTAGTGCCTTAGAGTATTGGAAACAATGAGGAACTCTTCCTAAAATCTCATGGGTTAGGTGTGAATACCGAGAAGTATATTATCCCTGGGGGGGCACAGGTGAGTTCAGCCTGGTGCCTGCCTTCAGCCGGCTTCCCTGTAACCTGCTGAGAGCTTTCCCCAGTGTCTGAGAGAGACAGTTTCAGGCGGGTGTTGAGTCACACTGTTAGCCTCCAGAACGAGTGTTGTCCTCAGGCCCCTCTGAGAACCTGGTCTGCAGAAAGCATCCCATTGTGGGGGAATGTGGACAGCGTGTGCTGGTGGTTGTGGGGAATAACTTGTAAAAAGAAACCCACTCTGTGAATTTCTCACCATATGCCGAGTGACACATATTTAGGGTCTTACACAATTATCACAGAGCTCTACCCAGTAGGCATCATTGCTGTCCTTCCACAGTGAAGTACCCAAGACTCCTGTGGGTCATGTAGCTTGCCCAGTGTCACATACACATGGCCGCTCAGGATCAAACCCCCGTCCTTACCCTTGACCCTCACCCAAGTCCAAAGCCCCTGATTTTTCTGTTACTTTACATTGACAATGCGTATAAGGTCCTCTCTTAGAGGGAAATTAAACTGAACTAAGGAAAAACAAAGCAAAACAAAACAAAATCATTTCAAATAATGCAGTACCATGAAGACAGTTTATTCCTCTCTGATGTTTCTCTCTTTAAAAATCAGGAAAATTAAAAGCTGCCAAACTGTTACCCACGTAAAGTCCAGATGCAAGGCAAACATACGGCTGCAGGAAGGAAAGCCGTGAGTGGCCGTTCGCCTGCAGAGCCAGCCTGCAAGAGCGAAGAGCACACATCTGGGTTTCGTGAACACCAAGACCCTGCGGCCCTCACACAACCAGGACACCCTCCATTTGTCTCACGCTTAACCACATGCACACACATTTTCTTGAGAAAGCCAGTTGTCTGTGTTCTCCTGCACCTTTTTCCTGGAGTTGAAGCCAAGGCTATACGTCCCATTACTCGGGTGCTTGTGTTTTCTCCCTGAATATGTATTTGAACAACTCCCTCCCGATCTGTTCTCCTGGGGCAGGATGGGCAGGCTGCCTTTGCAGACAGCGGATGTGATTTTCCTTTGTCTCTTATACTCTTCCTTCTCCAAACTCACTCCCAGCTCTTCTCTTTGTACAGGTTTTGACCTGATGGATTTGTTCAGTGTGAAGGAAATCTTGGGGAAGAGAGAGAATGGAGCTCAGAGTTCCTATGTACGGATGGGATCCTTCCCTGTGGTGCAAAGTACTGAGTGAGTGGCCACTTCTCTTTCCAGACCTGCCCAGGGTGTCATGGGAAAGGGCAAGAAAGGGGCCCAGCAGCCTGTTTCATACTTGGCACCGAGCCGGGCTTTAACCTTCTCAGTGCCTTGTAAGGTTGCCCTGCGATGAAGCAGCTGAACCACTGGACCAGGGAATTCGACCTGTGTTTTAGCCAATCTATTATCATTGACTTCATTGGTTCTCTGATCCTTCTACACCTATCTCTCCATACACATTTGGCATTAATCATTCATTCATACATGTGTTTTTCTGTCCATTCATGAAATAACAAACGGGTATGGTTTAGTAGTGCATAGCACCTACTAAGGACCTGACACTGCATTCATGGCAGGCGTGGCTTCACCAGAATCTCGGAGTGGCTTTGGTCAGTTGAGACTGAGTATCACTGTTGACTGGGTACTTGGCTTTACAGATTACTGAATGCCCTTGTGCCTCGAGTTTCTCATGTTTTCAATCCAAAGTGAACGTTCCTGCCTTGCTACATTATTGATAGGATATGATGTAAAGATTTGTCCAGTTCCTGACACTTATTGGGCCTCCAGTCAGGGGCTAAAGATGATACCAAAATGAATGCTCTATTCTTCTTATTACAGGCAGACAAATCTTTTGAAAACAAAAATGACATTGTTACCCAATCCTGACCCCAAGAGAGGGTTCTTGGATCTCGTGCAAGAAAGCATTCAGGGCGAGTCCACGGTGCAAAGTGAAAGCAAGTTTATTAAGAAAGTAAAAAAATGAAAGAATGGCCACTCCAGAGACAGAGCAGCCCCAAGGGCTGCTGACTGCCCATTTTTATGGTTATTTTTTGATGATATGCTAAACAAAGGGTGGATTATTCATGCCTCCCCTTTTTGGACTATATAGGGTAACTTCCTGACGTTGCCATGGCATTTATAAACTGTCATGGCGCTGATGGGAGTGTAGCAGTGAGAACGACCAGAGATCACTCTCATGGCCATTTTGGTTTTGGTGGGTTTTGGCCGGCTCCTTTACTGCAAGCTGTTTTATCAGCAAGGTCTTTATGACCTGTATTTTGTGCTGACCTCCTACCTCATCTTGTGACTTAGAATGCCTTAACCATCTGGGAATGCAGCCCAGTAAGTTTCAGCCTCATTTTACCCAGCTCCTGTTTAAGATGGAGTTGCTCTGGTTCACACGCCTCTGACAATATTGTGTTATGCGACCTCTCTTCCATCTTTAAACTATTAATATTTAATTCCTCCAGTGTTCTTAGTAAACTAAAAGGCCAGGAAGAGGAAGGTCCCTGTGTGACCCAGCCCTGTCCTGCCTTTGTGGCCTCCTGGCTCATCCTCCAGGCCTCCCTGTCTACCTCCTGTCTCTGTTCTAGGTCCTCCCAGGCATCCTCCTCCCACTGGGAGGCCTTAGTTCATGTTCTTCCTCTACCTGGGACACGTGCCCTGCTCATCCTGCAAAGCATGCTCACCCATTATGCTCTCTAGATGCCTTCCTTGAATCCCCAAAGTCAGGCCTTCCCCTTACCTACCCTCCTCCCAATTTGTACTTCTGTACAGAATGTGTTAAATTTGAAGTTAGCTGATCAATTGTGCAATAGTCTTATCTCCCCTGCTCAATGAGAAGTCCTAGAAAGGAACTGAGTCTTGGTTTCTGCTACAGTCTCGGCACCCAACTAAGCCCTGCCCAGAGTAGGGAATGAGGAAATATTTGCTGAATGAATGAGTCAACAGCCCGTAAGGAGTGAAAATGTTCTTTCAGATGCTAGTCTGGCAAAGACTGGCTTTGAACGCCAGCTCATAGAGTAGGGGTTTCTGCATGTGTGTGATCCTTTTTGTTTTTTTAATTCAATGAACATTCTCTGAGTGCCAGCCACACACCAGGCACTGTGTCAGACCCTAATGTCATTTCATCCGTGGCTCACAGTGTCTGCATTCCAAGAGCGATTCTACAGAAGAAGAAATGAGACAAGTCACTTCCTCTCTGAGTCTCGTTTTCATGAAACAAAGACAATAATCGCTGTCAGCCAACTCTTGAGAGAGTCATTTTCCCAGACAATGAGGTTGTTCTCTCTCCACACACAGCCAGGTGCTGGAGGATGTTATTATGAATCACCTGGCCCCATGCTCATGTGGGGGGTGCACAGGGATGAGCAGAGTCTACACCCTGTTTCCTCCTTCACTCCCCCTCACTTCTTTGCCTAATATGTCCAATTCACCACCTATTCCACTTGTAAGCAGAAAAAAATCACATGGAACTTTAAGAAAAAAATGCAAAAGAGAAGGAACAAAATAAAGAAAGCAAAAGTTACACAAATCTAGTGGAAGGGTCTAACCAAGGACCACTCTGCTAACCTTCTAAGGAAGCACTTGCATCAAAGAGCAAAGCGGCCGAATTCAGGCAATGCTCTGTGGAACACAGCATGGGACCCCGATTCCGGTCACGGATTTGGCTCCTTCCTGTTCTCTGAGAGTTGCTCTGAGGAGGAATTTCCACATTTTTTTTAATGGCAAAGCACCCAAAACAAAATCAAATTGGCAAAGCTCTTTCATTTCAAGAAAGGATATTATACTTTTAATTTCTAAAGCTTTGAAGTTTAAACACATATACATAAAACTTTAGTTTGCAAGTTAATTTTGTTCATAAAGAAAAGTTGTCACTTTTAATATTTACATTTTTTCTCACCTTTTTAATATGTAAAGGGCATTGACGCACCTTATCTAATTTATTTCTCATGACAATAACAGAAACGAGCAAGGCAGGTATTACACTTTTCACTTAGCTGGTACAACATTTGAGACTCAAAATGGGACAGTGATTTGTTCAACACCTCACAGGTCAGAAGAAGCAGAGGCTGGCCTCAAACTCAGGTCCTCTAATTACACACCATTTACCCTTCCACTGCCATCTCATATCTGCTATATTATTTGTGGAAAAGATTGGATTCAGCTATTTCCTTTCTTTAGATGTTTTCTGTTAATGATCTTTTTTCTCCCTGATTAAAATGACTGATACACATATGTATGTATATATAGGTACATATGGGTACATATATAAACACACGTGTAGGTATATACATATATATATACACACACATGCACATATACCCACATATGTGTGTGTATAACCTAAGCAAAAGTTATTATAATCAGGGGAATAAAAAGTCATTAACAGATAAATCTGTACTTTTTCTTATGATACACTTGTCTGTGTGTATTTCAAAGGTATAAGAAGAAAGTGTGTTCAGGGAAAAAAAATAGCATAATTGGATTCATTAAGAAAATAAGGAGAAAATGGCCAGGTGCTGTGGCTCATGTCTGTAATCCTAGCACTTTGGGAGGCCAAGGCAGGCAGATTACTTGAGGTCCAGGGTTCGAGACCAGCCTGGCCAATGTGGTGAAACCATGTCTCTACTAAAAATACAAAAAATTAGCTGAAACCCTGTCTACTAAAAACAGAAAACATTAGCCAGGTGTGGTGGCGGGCACCTGTAATCCCAGCTACCTGGGAGGCTGAGGCAGGAGAATTGGTTGAGCCCGGGAGGCAGTTGCAGTGAGCTGAGATCATGCCATTGCACTCTAGCCTGGAAGACAAAGCGAGACTCTGTCTCAAAAAAAAAAAAAAAAAAAAACAGGAAAGGAAGGAAATAAAGAAAAGAAGGAGAAAATGAAAAACAAAGCAGCATACTGATCTGTAGCTACAAAGCGTGTGTCTGTGGATGCAGGTGGGGAGGCCCCATCTTCCTCCTGCATGGGCAGTGACTGAGGGTGTCTCTGAATGCTGAGGGAGGCCCAGGTGCTATGAGTGATGGGCCCTGTTCCTACTACCTGGATGTGATCCTGGGTGAAATCCCAACTCAGAGAATGACTTTGAACAACTGGGCTGTCATCTCCCAGCCTGGAGATGTAAACTGAGAATCAGAATCTTGCTCGCAGGTCCTACAGCCAAACAAAGTCCCTGCGGATCTGCAAGTCTGAGAACCAGGAACTCAGACGCCTCCCCACTTCCCTTCCTGTCTGTCTGGCCAGGCAGGGTCCACCTCCTCCAGCAGGGAAGTCAATATCATGTACATTCCTGAGGCAGCCCCCAGCCCCCAGGGCAGGATTGGGCTCCCCCACGGCTGGCTCTGCAGTTAAGGTGCAGTCAGCTGGTGATTAAGAGAAGAGCCCAGGAGAGCAGGTCCCAGGTGTGTCTCCCTCTGCCACTTAGTAGCCAGATGGCATGGAGTTAACCCCTCAGAGCCTGGGTTATAGCACGAGGATCAAAATACCTTTTTTTTTTTTTTGAGATGGAGTCTCGCTCTGTCGCCTAGGCTGGAGTGCAGTGGCATGATCTTGGCTCACTGCAAGCTCTGCCTCCCGGGTTCACGCCTTTAATACCTTCTTTATAGATTCTCGTGAGGAAGAAATTAGGCAATATGTGAAAAGAGTTGTGGTGAGCTTGTGTTAAGCTCTCAAAAGATATGTATTTTTATTAAATCTTAGACTCTTATGTCAAATGAGATCCTAAGTGTAAGTGCTTTATTGAATCTGAGAAACACTATGAAAAAGTAAGCTAAACTTTATTTTGATAGGATGTAAGTCTAGGATAGATCAGTGGTTCTCAACTAAGAGAAATTTCACCCCCACCCCCCAGCGAACCTTGGGTAGTATCTGGAGGCAATTTTGTTGTCACAACTGAGTGAGGGGTTGCTACTGCCATCAAGTGGGTGGGGGCCAGGGAGGCTGCTCAGATTCCTACAAGGCTTGGGACAGCTCCCACATATGTGTTGTCTAGGATGCGTCCTCCAGGAAAATCAACCAGGTCCTGTACTAGCACTGGCGAAAGAGAGGTTTCTCCATGGAAACGGCTGTTGACAGTTTTCAAAGTTCTGCATTCCTTCAACTTTTATGAAGTGCCTGCCGTGCTACTTGGGTGCTGAGGGACAGGGATTTGTCAGTGTTTCCTCACCAGGGACCTCACGAGGAAAACATGGGGAGGATGGAGAGCTGGAAGACAGGTGGCTATGAGTCAAGCAGATGGGGAGAGATGAGGAAGGGGAGGGGGTGATGTCAATGATGTTTCCCAGAACCCTGTTGTGGAGGGAAGGAGAGGAAGAAAGAGGGGAAGTGGGAGATGGCTCAGGTCCCGGCTGGGGATGTGCAATCAGGAGAGGCTGCATGTTGGTGGGGGTGGCGGGGTTCTGTGCTGATATGCAAGAGGCAGGAGGGAGCTCAGGTGCCCTGTACATGATACAGAGGAAGATGGAAGAGCAGCTGGCCTGAGAGTGCTCCGAGGACAGAGGGACTGAGGGATGGCATCTTGGTTCTCGGTGGGGGGGATTGAGCCTCCATAGAAGGGAATTAACAATTTTCATTTCTGAATTTGGAAGAGGAAAAGCAGCCCGAGGACTTGGTGGGGGTGGAGCAACAGGGAGCTGAGGCCTCCCTGAGGTGAGAGGCTGGCTCCACAGGCCAGGCAGGAACCTGGGCCTTGTGGGAGAGAAGAGGATGTGCTACATCCCAGTCTATTCTGGCCGCCATGACAAAGCACCGTAAGCTAAGCTGGGTGGCTTATACACAGTGTTTACTCCTCACAGTTCTGCAGGCTGGGAAGTCTAAGGTCAGGGTCCTCATAGACACCATCCTTCCCTGTACTCTCACATGGTGGGAGGGGTAAACAAGCTCTCTGGGGTCTCTCTTATAAGGGCACAAATCCCATTCGTGAGCTTTCTGCCCTCAAGACCTAATCACCCGCCACCAAAACCCCATCTGCTGTTACCATCACCTTGGTGTGAAGATTTCAACATATGGATTTAGGAAGACAGCAACATTCAGACCATGGCATCCTGGCATCTGGGACAGGGCACCAAGCAGGATAAGGTATATCCATTTGTCCTGGCTGAGGAGGATGCAGCAGGGAGCAGCGAAGCTGGGTGTCTCTCCATATTTGATCCCGGGGGCGTGACCATTTAGCGTTTACTGTGGATGTCATCAGAGTCATGGTGGTGGTGGAGAGATGGAAGCAGACGCACCATAGGGATGGATTTGAAGGTGCTGATGTTGGAGCCTCGGGGGTCATGACGATGGTCTAGGCCACATTGAGGCCCTGACCTAAGGAGAAGGCAGTGAAGGCAGGCCAAGAAGGTGGATGGTGGAAATATTTAGGAAGTCAAATTGGCAGGGCTTGATCACTGCTGGGTTGTGTGGGCTCACTTTGCTGGCTCCCTGCTCTCATCGCCAAGCCTGGTGTCTTTGTCTCCATTTTTCTCCAGGGATGTGTTCCCCCAAGGTTTACCTGATGAGTACGCCTTTGTCACAACCTTCCGGTTCAGGAAAACCTCTCGGAAGGAAGACTGGTATATCTGGCAGGTCATCGACCAGTACAGCATCCCACAGGTAAGGGCAGCAGATGCCTTATCTCAGTGGTCCTGAGCTTTCTGTTCCCCTCTCACAGTGGATGGCACCACCCACCATGTTTTCTCCAGGGCTCTTATCCCTGGGCCTAGAGAGATAGAGAGCCTGGCGTATGGAGGCTCAGAGGACCTGCAGGGGGGATGTCATGAGACCCAAGAGGTCTAGCTTCTTGTCCTAATGATAATGTAGTACCAGGCCTTCTGATGGGGGTAAAGAAGACTGAGTTCCTGTCCTCCAAGACACTTGGTCTAGCCAAGGACATGGACACCAACTCTGCTGTCCTGTGACACCTATATTGGCAGCATGAGTGACCCAGCTTCGTGATGCAGTGGAGGGCACTGGCTCAGGGTCACATAGACCTGGGTTCAGGTCTCGTGTCTACTCCTTCATTCGTGTGGGTCCTGGGATGGGTTACTTTATCTTTCTGAGTCTTGGTTTTCTTAGCTGTAAAATGGAAAATAGAGTACCTACCATGAACCGTTGGTGGGAGAATCAGATGGAATAATGGTCTGTAAAGCATCTAGAACAGTGTCTGATACGTAATAAAATCTCATCATGAGAAGTTCCCTTCAGTGTTCTTCTGAATGAAGCTCTGGGTCCTGTCTTTACTCACCTCTGATGTGTTTCAGCTTTCAGTTCCCATGAAGGTAGGACAGCTCTCCACCAGCACACAGTCCGGTGAGGAAAGAGAAATCTGAAATTCAAAGCCATCAACACCATCTGTTGGTTTGAGATAAAAGCAACACTACTATTTGTTCTCTGCCAAATCCAAATCCCCTTGTTCTCAAGTCATAGACAAACCGTTTCTTTCTCCTCTCCTAGTAAAATGAACTGGATGAAGATATTACTCACTTTTCAGCTGGGAGATACTGACTAAACTTTCACTGGGGGCTAAAATAAAATAAAAGCATGCTCAAGCAATTGGACTCCAGCAGTCACACTCATGGCCTGCCATCTGAGAGGGCAAGATACTCTTAAACAGTGAGCTCACCCTCCCAGGTTGAGGCTGGGCCCTGACTTCAGATGCGTTTGCTTATCAACATGTACATACTCTTAGTAGGAGCTGGGGATTGTTTGGAGGGCTTTACAAATACTAATTCATTTAGTCTTCATAATAACTCTGTGAATATTTTCTACTGTTAGCATCACAGTTATGAGGAAACTGAGCCACAGAGAGGCTAAGAAATTTGCTTACCTTTTGACAGGTAATAAGAGCAGGGGTTGAGATTTGAACCCAGTCATTCAGGTTCCCACATCTGTGCTTTTAACCATATGCTCAGCTGGCTTCTGTTCCAAGCCTGTCCTGATCAATTAGTCCTGCTGAATGATTTTTCCATAACATCCCTGGTCATACTGAGATGCAGAGACATTGAGACATTTTCAAACTAACTGCTGAGAGGCTTGATTTTGTAAGTGTGGAAGGCTGAATGGAGGAGTTGGGATTCTTCTCCAGAGGCCACTTTTCTGGAGAAGTCCATTGCATTCCCATCCAACTCCATCTCCAATTGCACAGGTCTTGCTTCTCCATTTTCTCAGGGTCTGGTGCAGTGGGACTGGGCACCTGACATTACATTCTTGTGGGTGAGCCTGCACCGCCCCCTCAGTCTGGGATCTCTTCCTTCATGGCATTTGCAGAGCTGTCTGTGTCCTGTCTGCCATGTGTGCATCTTCCCCTCCTTCTGTCAAAATGAGTAATGGGATGAAATACCACAGAACCATGGAGAGATGAAGTCTGTCTTGAGATTTGAGATTCCTGTCTGAAGAGGCACACAGAAATTTACCCTTGTTAATCAAGGCTTGGTTGAGTGCCCGTCACCAGAAGTGCCAATGATGCGCACTTCCACGCCCTGGGGAAATACTGGCTAGACACAGGAAAGTTGGATAAAGACCTATAAAGAAGATGAACTGTGAGCAGAGTGGTGTTGGTTGCATGCCCATGCACTCTGTCAGTCATGGCAGATCTACAGATAGAGAAGTTCATCTACAGATATATATGTGCATGCTTTCATTTGCCATTTACAACCACCCTTAAAAGCTGACATTTTCCCCATTTGTCATTTGGGTAAACTGAGGCTGGGTTTCAATAAGTCTTGTAGGCCAGTCTAGGGACTTTTTGTTTGAGAAGAGACTCTGTGGAGTTGCACAGGCCCAGAAATAGGAGGACAAATTAGGAGAACATAGTAGTGATCCAGGCAAGTGTGGATGCCGGCAGTAATAGAGAGATTAGAAGAAACAATCAGGTTATAGATTAATTTTGAAAATAGAACCAGTAGGATTTGCTGATGGAGCTGACATAGAAAGTGCCTTCCCCAGGGCCACCCAGCTAGTATTGGTAAACACAAGACATCGGACTGCTGGATGCCCTCCCTTGCTCTATATCATGCTAGAGGCAGAAACATGGGAAAGTCATGTCCCCAGGAAGCTCTGAAGGTTCAGGGACACAGTGCTCGAACATATGAAATAGAAGACCATGTTTAATCATGCAATTATTAGCTTTATATGTATTAGAAGTATTAGATCATTTGACAGGGTTTCATAGTTTTCTATTTTATGCCCTACTCATAGCATAAAATAGGTGATGGAATTAAAATAAATCCCAGTCTTCCTTGGTTGTACTGAAGCCATGTGGAGCACAGAAAAAGAGACCAGAAGACCCAGGTTGTGTTGAATACGTAGCTGATCCCCCTGCACTACGTGAGCACCTTCCTTTAACTACAGAGACTCTTATTCATTTGTTCATTCCTTCATGCATTCAGTACCTTGTTATTGAGTGCCACTGTGTACCATGTGTTTTCCTAGCCACTGGGATTACAGAGATGAAGAGAGAAAATGCCTGTTTAAAAGCATGGATGGGAAAGACAAAAAAGGTGAACAAAAGATACGCATAAGATAATTTCATATACTGATGCTGTGCTATGAAAAAAGTCAATAAATGGTTGGGCACAGTGGCTCATGCCTGTAATCCCAGCACTGTGAGAGGCCAAGGCAGGCAAATCACCTGAGGTCAGGAGTTCAAGACCAGCCTGGCCAACATGGTGAAACCCCATCTCTACTAAAAATACAAAGATTAGCTGGGCATGGTGGTGCGCACCTGTAGTCCCAGCTACTCGGGAGGCTGAAGCAGGAGAATTGCTTGAACCTGGGAGGTTGAGGTTGCAGTGAGCTGAATCACTCCTCTGCACTCCAGCTGGGATGACAGAAAGAAAAAGAAAAAAGAAAAAAGCCAATAAATCACATCTTGGGATGTGAGAACAGATGGCCAGGTTAAAATCCAAGAATACATGTTTATCAGAGAAGGTTTCACTGCTGTGATGCCTGTGAACTTGCTTAATTCATTATTGCAAATATTTAGAACAGTGCCTGGCAAATAATAAATACTATATAAATGTTTTATATATATTATACTTCTCATAATCCTCGTGACAATTCATTAATTAAATTATCGTGGATCAATTTATATGATCCTCTTCACAAATAGGCACTACTATTGGTCCCATTTTACAAATGAGGAAGCTGTAGAAAGGTTAAATAACTTACCCAAGGTCACACAGCTAAAAAGTGATTCATTGGTTTAGATGTAGGCTAGCAAGAGACAGCCCCCACTGGGCCCACATTTTTGACGAGTGCTGTAGCAAAGTAACTGGGGTTAAGGGAGCTGATGCGGTTAAGGGATAAGGGTTAAGGAAACCAACAAGAAATGCCAAGGCATGCCAGGATCAGCCACAGGAGGAAGCTACCACCTGGGCCTGGATAGGCAGGGGAACGGGGAGGAGATGGTGAGTTCTAGAGTCACAGAGGAGGATATATGTCCAAAGAACTGGGGCACATGGAGGGACAAAGCCACTCAGGAGCCACAGGGAAGCCAGGAGGGGTGGGAGGAATAAATACTCCAACTCTCTCTCTTCCTGCTCACTGGTCTCCATTCCAATGGACTTCCCATGGGCCAAGCTCAACTAGAAGCCAAAGGGTCCAGGAGCCGAGAAGAAGTCCTAAAAGGTCAGATCCTGGGAGCAGGGAGCCCCAGGGAAGGGCAACACGTGAATATTAGAGCAGATGAAGACTAACCTTGCAGAGATGGAACAAGGAAATACTATTTCATTCACTCAATGGATACTCATGTTCTGTGCCTTCTATTCTGTTCATACTTTTGTGCACTGATTGTGTTGTGTTCCTGACACCTGGCATGTTGCCTGCTGGGCACACAGGATGTTTGGTGACTATTCTGGAGGGATGACAAAATAAGTACATGGATGAGAACATAATCATTTATTCATTATTAAAAAGCAATCAGGCTGAGCACGGTGGCTCACATCAGTAATCCCAGCACTTTGAGAGGGCAAGGTGGGCAGATCATTTGAGGTCAGGAGTTTGAGACCAGCCTGGCCAAAATGGTGAAACCTTGTCTCTACTAAAATCACAAAAATTAGGTGAGTGTGGTGGTGCACACCTGTAATCCCAGCTACTCGGGAGACTAAGGCGGGAGAAGAGAATTGCTTAAATCTGGGAGGCAGAGGCTGCAGTGAGCTGAGATCACACAACTGCACTCCAGCCTGGGCAACAGAGTGAGACTCCATCTCAAAACAAAACAAAACAAAACAAAACAAAAAATCGGAAGTAAAACAGTAAAATCTTCTCCAGAATTTGCCCATTCCAAAATGCCTGTGCATTTTCCGAAGGCTACCCCAATGACCCAGACAGGTCAGACCTCTGCTATCAAGAAACATTTTATGGGAGCCCCAGCTTTATCCTCAAATAAAAGACAGTGTAGGGTAATAGATCAGGCCTGAAGATATTTTTGGTTTAACCAGCCCACGATTTTAAAAGACACTGAAACTAGTTGGGATTTCTGGCTGGTCTCACAACTCAAGCCCCTCTGTGCATGAATTGTCTTGGAGTCTCACCAAAGCTCTCTTACCCGCATAGCCCTTCCAGACAGTTGAGGCTGTGACCCCTGAGTTAATGTATGAGTGCAATTATTCCTTTTAATACTGGGTTTAGAACAGCCTGCAAGGTAGACATCATTAACACCATTGTGCGAGGAGGAACCCGAGGCTCTCAGAGGTGTGACGGAATTTGTCCAAGCTCAGGTGGCAGGTGACCAGCTGGTAAGAGTCACAGCCAGGATTGACTCAGGATTGCCAGGTCTGACTCTGAACTCCCGTTTCCCATTCTCTCCTTTTCCCTTGGCCCCAAGAAGCTCAAGGAGTCTCTGGTCCTTTCCTCCCCAGGTCTCCATCCGGCTGGATGGTGAAAACAAGGCAGTCGAGTACAACGCTGTGGGTGCCATGAAAGATGCTGTCAGGGTGGTCTTCCGAGGTTCTCGGGTCAATGACCTCTTTGACCGGGACTGGCACAAGATGGCCCTGAGCATCCAGGCCCAGAACGTCTCCCTGCACATTGACTGTGCGCTGGTGCAGACACTACCCATCGAGGAACGGGAGAACATTGACATCCAGGGCAAGACTGTGATTGGCAAGCGCCTCTACGACAGTGTGCCCATTGACGTGAGTACCAGGGGGCCTTCTGCAGCCCAGGTTCCAGGCCACCGGGGAGAAGCCTTGGGAGCTAAGTGCCCTCAGTGTTCTCCACACCTGCATGAACCAGGTACCAAATCATCACCTTGGACCGTCTTAGAAGGAAAGACCCTGACTCAGAAAACTGCCATATTTGAACCCCAATTCACCATCACCCATGTATTAACTCATTCGGTTATTCAACCATTCCATCAATCATTCATCACATATACATTGAGCACCTACTATGTGCCAGGCACTGTGCTCTGCACTGGGGACACCGGTACCCGCAAAAGAGAGCAAGACTGACATGGATCTGGCCGCATAAACAATTTTAGAGAAAGGTAGCTCCTAGGTCTGCAAAGTCACACACACACATACATACATATATAGATACATATGTATATGAATATATATATGCAGGTAGGTGGATAGGTATATAATAGTTTCTGATAAATTTAAATACAGATTTTTTCCTTCTTCCTTGATTGTAAAAAAAATTGGAAAATATGTGGAAAATAAACAATAATCATCCTCATTGCACCAACTAGGGATAACAACTGGCAATAACTGAACATCCTGAATCAATGTTCTTTCCTTCTTTTATTTTTCCTCTTCCCTCCTTACTTCATTTCTCTTCTGTTTTTTTCATTTCTTTAATTTTTCTTTCTTCCCTCTGGAAATACATACCCACATCTGTAGCCACAGAGATGCATACACCGTAAGTATGTACATAATACAATACACACAGACACCTTGCACAGTGATCCACATGTTCCATCTTCAAGCTGAAGTCAACGTTAGCTCCCATGCCCAAGAGCATCCCCCACTGCCTGAGAAATAACAGGAAACATGATGTGGGGAAAGCTCTTTCCAAAACCATTTTATGTATCTATGTATACATAAGCATAAGCAAATATAGTACCATTACGCATAGGATAGATTCTTGGAAGTTTATGTAAATAATGGACTACATCTGGCTTTTTTTGTTTTCTTTACTCAAAATCATGTGTCTAAGCTTTTATTTTTTTTTAGCTAAAGCATAATGCTTTGTTATATATTCATTCATACGTCATTCATTCTCCTGTTAGTGGTATTTAGATAGTTTCTAATGTATCACTACATAATTAGGAAGCCTTGGACTTTGAAAAGGGGGGTACATCTCCATGCACTTTACTTATGAGGAAAATGTAAGCAACAGCTGTCCTTTAAGCTTGAGATATAGATTAATTGAGAGCATTTCTTGGAGGTATGTACCCTCAAGTTTAATGATTGGGCTGTGGGATACACAATTTTTAACTTTCCCATGTATTTCAAATTGCTCTAGAAAGTGACCTTTATATGTGTGTATGTATGTGTGTGTGTGAATATATATATATGTTGTGTGTAAATATATAAATTATATATAATATATAAACATTATATAAACATATACATACATTATAGACATAAATTATATAGATAATGTTTATTTAATTTATATCTATATAATTATATATACCATTATATATAATATATAAATATATAAACATGTGAACATTATATATAGATACATATAATTTATATCTATATAATGGTACATTATATAGATATAAAATATATGTGTATAATGTTTTGTTGTTTTGCCAGTCTGCTGGGCATAGAGGGTAATATTGCGGTTTTCATCTGCATTTGCCTGATTACCATTGAGACTGGAAATCCTTCCCTATGTTTACTGATGGTTCCCACGTCCCCCTTTGGTGATGCTAGGCCATATCCTTTGCCTGTTTTACTACTATGCTAGTTTTATTTACTGAATGATTTCTAGATAACCTTTACATATTTTGTATACTAATTGCTTATTTGTTATACATGCTGCAAAATTGTTTCCTGGTCTGTCAAACATAAACCATAAGGAAAAATGAGTAAGTTGGGAAACATAAAATTTTAGGAAGTGGCATTCTGGCAAAAGACATCATAAACAGGTTTATAGACTTTGTCATAACTTGCTTTGTTAACAGAATGATAAATCATCAAAAACCCTGTGCATACCAATTTTTAAAAATTAAGCTGAGAGTGAGTTGGTCAGGGGTAGTGGGGAGAGGAGAGATTGGGGCTTGCAGAGGTGGGAGGACAGACACGTGCAAACTGCAGCTCACATGCCAGCCACTGCCAGCCAGCTGTAACACCATCGCCCACGTCACACACTGTTCATGTTTTCCAGGCTTTGTTTATCTGTTAGATTGTTTAATCTCTGAAATGGGAATCACACCCTGTTTGTTTTTATATGCAGTTGCTGAGGGGATGAAATAATAGATGTGGAACCAAGTTAAGCAAAAAATAGTAAAATAAAAGTAAAGCTATAAAATCATTATTCAGCCTGCTGCTAATTCTAGCTACTTGTGCAGAGGCTCTGTGCCACGCATTGCACTAAAGTGCTCCTTTACCCCATTTCTGACCAAAATCTTTACAACTTCAGAAAGTAGATAGAGTGGACATCCTCATTTCACAGATGGAGAGAGATGCTCCTGGAGAATTGGAGGACTCTTCTGAGATCACAGAGCCAACAAATGGCAGTTGGGGTTTCCACTCACGCAGCCCGTCTTCCAGGTCCATTTGCAAACCTCTCCCTGCCTAAGATAACAGACATCAAAGGGCTGGACAAGATGGAGCTATGGGGTATTTATGACACAATAAGGATCACTGTTATCTCCCTCAGAGTGTGCATCACGGTCACAAACACAACCCTTCTTAATCCTAAATTCAGGCCAGGTGGGTGGATGCTGCTCACATTTTATAGGTGGGGAGATTCCAACTGAAAAGTATCAGGTGACTTGTTTAAGTTCCCTGTCTTGGGCAGCCAGGCTAGGACTCTGGCTCTGTGAGCTCCATGGTTCTACTGTCAGCCCCTGAATAACAGTCCCTGAAGCAGATACCCTCTGAGCTGTAAGGAACCCAGAGAGCATCTTATCCAGCCCCTCATTTACTCTACAGACAAGGATACGGAGGCTCAGAGGGAATAACGAACATGTCCAAAGATATAGAGCAAGATTAGATCCTTCTAACCCTGGTTCCAAACATCCAACAATGAGATTTCCACTATATTTCTATTTGAGGTAGTGGGAGACTATATTTGAGTTAAAAGTCTCCTAAAATAAGTGCCAACTTTAGCAAATAGCCCCACATCCCTAAAAATGCCTGTCTTAGCCTTTGAGTTAAACAAAATTGTTCTGGAGTCCAAGCTCCCCTATAGCCTCTCTGGTGCTGTTTCCTCAGCTGTAACAAGAGAAAAATGAGCCCTCCCTCCACAGGGTTGTTGTGTGATTAAATGCTGTATCATATGTGAAGTGCTTATAAAACTTCCTGGAATACCGCCAGCTTTCAATAAATGCGTCATCATGAACATCATCACCACCATCTTCACATTATCATGGTGGTGGTGTCAGGTTTTGAAAACAGGAAGAGGATTAGCTTCTGGTACTCTCCAAGGTACCCATTTGTATTATATGGTCGACCCCTAAACAGGGGATTGGAAATCAGACCTGAGTTTCCTTCTGGACACATCCCCACCACATACAACACCCTAGTATAGTAGAAGTAGTTGGTTCCCCACCTATATCCCCCTGGGTCCTCATCATTTCAGTGCATACCAGCTGTGCTGCCAACTGCCTGCACCTGTCTTGCCTGAGGGCTTTCCGTCTCTACCAGAGACAGTGCTATCCATTATCAAGCAGGCATCAACACCCACAGGAGCAGCCCTCCGCCAAGGACTGGTGGCAGTTGCAGTATCAATACCCCAGCTCCCTCACCACTTGACATCCTAACTCTGAGTCACATATTCTTGACGGGCTCCAGAGTTCCCCAACACGTGTAAACTGCAGATGCTCACAGTGGTAACACCCTTGATAACAGCCCTTTACAGGCTAGCTTCCTTTCCCTAACTCACTTTCCAGCTCTGCTACCAGTGCTCCCAAATTAAATAAAGATGCTACTTCTTGAATAGACGTTTCTAGGTCTACTAAACTAGACTAAAACACCCAGGCCAGTGGCCTCACCTGTCTGCACCTTCACTTCCTCATCTATAGAAAGGAGACAGTGGAAACTCACACCTGTCAGAGCTATTGTGAGGATTAAGTGAGATCACCAGTATGTAAACACAGCACCTAACAGTGCCTGGCACATGGGGAGTTCTCAGCTGGGTTAGAGGCAATAGAGAATAATGAAGAGTGTCCATGGGGGTATTACACCCATTGACTGTTCCATGTTGCATTTTTATGTTAAAACCAAGTATCAAGAAAATATATAGGAGAATCAATACATCTCTACCTCTTAGTAAATCTTCCAGAAGCATCAGCTGTGGTACTTGTAGCCACATGGTTTGGGGCATCCTACACATTCTACACTGAAGCTTCATCTGTGGCTGACACTGTGCTGTCATGGACTCTGTTTTCCTTGGTTCCCACCACAGCCCTGTGAGTCCATCTCACAGAAAGAAAAACTGAGGTTCAGTTTTCCTAACTTGACCAGCTGATATGACAGAAAAGTAGAGCTGAGGCTCAGACTGGGCCGTGCTGAATGCAGCCTTCCAGCTGTCTGTGCTCCCTAATTGGTTTCCACACTGCAGCCAGCAAAGGGTCTCTAAGCTGCTGATGGGTGGGATACGGAGGGAAGCTGGGATCCAGGGAGCCAAGCAGACCCATGCAGCAGTTCAACCCATAATTGCTGAGGGCAGAAACCGGAGCAGGACTTCCAGACAGGAGTGGGGCAGCACAGTGATGTCAGGAGGTGAAATCCCAGGGTGTGGGGCAGGGAGGAAAGGAAGAGAAGGATTGAGTGGCTGGGGCAATGCTGGCATTTCAGGCAATCGGAAAGGGGCCCCTCTTGGCTCAGAGGACCTCTCACCCCACCTGAGAACGCCTCTGTCCAGATCCCCAATCCAGTGTGCTCTGTCCCTGGCCTGCCTCCTGTCTCCTTCTTCTCCTTCCCTGTCCCTGCGGCCTTGCCAGGCAGTCCCAGCTGCTGCGAGTATGTTTGATAATGAAGAAAGCAGGGCTGTCTCTGAAAGTAGGCTTTGTTCAAAACCACAATTTTTCATTTTGTCATTTTCTCCTGTTTCTGGGCTGGTTCTCTACAGGAAATAAAACAGACAGATGAATGGTATTGTTATTGTTTCTGCTGAACAAAGTCAGTGGGGTGAGGGGCTACACTTCAAGGGGCACTTCAGTGTGCAGAGGGACTCCCGAGTCCAACATGGGCCTGAGAAGGGAGCAGGGGAGTGGTCAGTCCAGGGCACTTTGCATCAGTGTTCAATGCAATAAGCGTTCCCCCCTCCACTGACTGAGCTCAAGCTCCATTTGATAAATGCCCATCCATTCATCCACTCGTCCACCCAGCCATCGATTGTACGGCACTTTTATGAGTCGGACTGCTCCAGCGAAGGACAGGAGACAGGAGACCTTGCCCTCGTGGTCTATGTTCTATTAGGGATGTTTAAAAAACTGAGCTAAGAAACAGACAGAATCATTCATTGTGAGAAGTGCTGTTAGGACCACATTCAGGATGTTGTGCTAGAGTGACAGGGAGGGCCTGTGTGTGGACAGGCGGCTGAGGAGCCAGCGCAGGAGCAGGAGGGGTGGCAGGAGGAAACCAATGTGGCTGAAGGAAAGGGAGCAATGAGCATGGCAGACTAGGGGTGAGCTTGAACCATGTCCTGCAGGGCCTGGGGAGAGCGAGAGATTGTCGACAGCTCTGATACATTAGCAAGAGTTCGGCTTTCGTGCTTGAGAAGGCAGCACTGCCTGGGATTCGGTCCTTGCTCTCGGAAGTCCTGGAGCCTGGAAGGAAGATGGACATACAGACGTCTAATTATCCTTCAGTCTGCTGTGTCTGATGTTAGCTGTCTGTGCAATGTATTAGTCTGTTCTTATGCTGCTAATAAAGACATACCCAAGACTGGGTAATTTAGAAAGGCAAGAGGTTTAATTGACTCAGTTCCAAATGGCTGGGGAGGCTTCACAATCATGGTGGAAGGTGAATGAGGAGCAAAGTCACATCTTACATGGCAACAGGCAAGAGAAAGCGTGTGCAAGGGAGCTCCCGTTTATAGAACCATCAGATCTCATGACACTTATTCACTATCACAAGAACAGTATGGGGATTCAATTATCTCCACCTGGCCCCACCCTTGACACATGGGGATTATTACAATTCAAGGTGAGATTTGGGTGGGGACACAGCCAAACCATATCATGCAAGATGCACATGTGGCAGAGAAGAGGGCCTGATGAATTCTTGGCTGTAGAGGGAGGTGTATCAGTTACACCTGTGGCTGTGTAACAAGTTATCCCATCTCCCCCAGCAAAAGCAGATTAAAACAACAAACATGTACTGTCTCATAGATTCCATGGATGAGGAATCTGAGAGTGGCTTAGCTGAGTGGTTCACTCAGGGTCTTTCACTGGGCTGCCCTCAAGCTGCTGGCCAATGCTACAGTCATCTCAAAGCTCAAATAAGGCTGAAAAGCCACCTCCAATCTCACTAGGAGCTGTTGGAATCTTCTTGTGAGCTGTGGAATGGAGGACCTCAGTTCCTTGCTAGTGTTTGCAGCCACCCTAATTCCTTTCCACCTGTGCCTGTCCACTGAGTAGCTGACAACATGCTACCTTCTGTGCCCCATGGTGAGTGATGAGAGAGAGAGGGACACACAGAGAGACAGAGAGAGAAGAACACACTGAAGACAGCAGCCAGTCTTCTTATGACCTGATCTCAGAAGTGACATGCCATCACTTCACACCAGGGGAGGGGAATTAAGTTCCCAATCTGTGGATGTATTTGAAAAACAGCCCCTAAAGGGGATACCTGGATATGGCTCTGGGTGGTGACTGGGAGATTGCTCGTTGCTCAAGGGCTTTCCTAGAAGAGGTACCACGTGCTAAAGCGTGAATGTGCAGGTGTGGTTTGCCATGTGGTTAGATGCTGCAGAGTGCAAGTGCAGGTGAAGAGAGGGACACCTGGGGAGCCAGGCAGGGCCAGGCCCTGGCAGGTGGGGTGTCCCACGAAAGGGCCTGGGCTTTGTCTGTAGACTGTGTGTGTGTGAATGTGTTCATGCATGTGGATGTTTTAGCACCACAACCCCTTTAAATTTTAGGTTTTTTACGTGTTACGTCTTGTTTAAGGGGCTGTCATATTAAAGGAGGTGATAGAAGTAAGTTTTTATTTTAAAAGTTCACTGAAACAACTGTGGAAATGCCTGGAGAGGTTGAAAATAGGGATATGTGGAACTTGGAGGCCTTTGCAATAGCATCATTAAGGATCTTGTTCAATGCAGTGCTGGTGACCTGGAGAGAGGATGGTGGTGTGCCTCTGTGTGCGGAGCGGAGGGCAGAGGCCTTAGCACCTTCAGTGTAGAACAAAACGCTGGACTTTAACGTGTCCTGAAGCCCCTTCAGTGTAGAACGAAACGCTGGACTTTAACGTGTCCTGAAGCCCCTTCAGTGTAGAACGAAACGCTGGACTTTAACGTGTCCTGAAGCCCCTTGCACGGGGGCTCTCCCTTATGGAAGGAAGGGGTTGTATTAGTCTGTTCTCACACTGCTAATAACGACATACTCAAGACTGAGTAATTTATAAAGGAAAGAGATTTAATTGACTCACGGTTCCATATGGCTGGGGAGGCCTCACAGTCATGGCAGAAGAACAAGAGACATCTTACTTGGTGGCAGTCAAGAGAGAATGAGAGCCAAGAAAAAGGGGAAACCCCTTATAAAACCATCAGATCTCGTGACACTTATTCACTACCATGAGAACAGTATGGGGGAAACCCTCTCCATGATTCAGTTATCTCCCACCGGGTCCCTCCCGAAACACATGGGAATTATGGGAGCTACAATTCAAGATGAGATTTGGGTGGGGACACAGCCAAGCCAGATCAGGGGTGTGAGCAGATGATGCTTAGCTCCTTGTGAAAATCCAGAGTGGAGCCCAGGATAGGGGTATCCTGGGGTGGACTCAGGAAGACCCCAAAGAGGAAGTGGAACCAGATACCAGGACGGGGCCTGTGTGAAACCACGGAGGTTTCTGGGTTCCAAAGTCCCTAAAACTTATCCTCTCTCCTTGCTTTCCTTTCCAGTTTGACCTACAGCGGATTGTGATCTATTGTGACTCGAGACACGCAGAATTGGAGACTTGTTGTGATATCCCCTCGGGTCCGGTGAGCAGACTCTCGCACAGAGAGGATGGGAGGAAATGGGTGTGTGGCCTCCAGAGGGAAGGGGAATCCAGAGCTTAGGGTTGGGTGGTTGGTGGTCAGGGAGACATCCACCATCAGAATATGGCCTGAGAGGGAGCTTAGGGTATGGGCTGGGGGAGCCAAGCCATGCAGGTTCCTCCAGGGCTACTGTGGTCTGTACCTTAGTCAGTGTAACCCCAGTGCTGCTAGCTGAGTGATGAAGCCTTGCTCTAGGGGATGTAGGAGGCAGGGGCTGGGAGGGTGTTTCTAATGAGGGGATGACTGTCCGTGCCACCAGCGCCCAGAGGAGGGAGAGGCCGCAGTGCCCTGGGCTGGTCAGCAAGACAGGGAGGTCAGGACATGGATGGCCCAAGACACCAGGGTTTGCCCCTTCAATCCCTCTGTGCAGGCTCTGCTCTGTTCTCGGACCTCAGCCTCTGCCCCGTTTCAGGCCTCTCCCTTTCCAACCCTCTTTGCCAAGTCCTGGTCACAAGGCTTGCTTGAAAGACTCAAATAATAATGGAGCCTGCTTCCCGGGCTGCAGGGTGAGATCCACGCAATGCCTGGTTAGCCTCATCCCCAGGACCCAGTTCCAACTCAGCCAGCGCACCCGGCTCAGGGCTTCTGTGGCATGCAGATAGACAGCAGGTGCTGGGAATGTGCAGCCAGATGGACCTGGTTGTGGAGTCAGAGGGTGAGGGAAGAACAGAATGGGATGAAGAAGGAAAAGGAGGAGGTGAGAATAGGGACAGCGGGAACTGTTGAGCACTTGCGAGGTGTGAGACTGTGGGCGGTTCACCCAGATTGCTGAGCCAGCCAGTGAAATGGCTGAGCCTGGGCCGGCCAGGCTTTCTGCCCCAAGGCCTCAGGAGAGACATCCTCAGCGTTTTCTCAACCTTTGGCTGCCTGGTTCTGAGGAAGCACCCGACACTGTGCTTCTGCCAGGGAGTGCCTGCTGAGTGAAGAGCCAGGTTCTGACCTCCTGGGCTTTCCTTCCAGTGCCAGGTGACCGTGGTGACAGAGCCTCCACCTCCACCCCCACCCCAGCGGCCTCCCACCCCAGGCAGTGAACAGATTGGGTTTTTGAAGACCATCAACTGCTCCTGCCCAGCTGGAGAGAAGGTATTGTCTGCAGTCCACCTTCAGCCCCAGCAGAACCCTGGGTGGTGCAGTGGGAGTTTCCCATCATGCATGTGGCCTTTCAGGTCAGGGGGGCACCAGGAGGCCCATGGCTGTCAGCTGACAGCACCCTGTGTTGTGCCTTGGACCTCTTGCTTCTTGTGCACACTGGAAGGGGATTGCTGCATACCAGGTCCTGATGAAAGCTTTCTAGGAGCAGAATGTGCGTTCCCCAGGCTTCCCAGGTTACTCCTTTGTGATCTCCACTCAGGGGTGACTGAGTCAAATGAGATGCTGTTTGAGAATAAGACTCAGAAGAAGACAGTGAGTGAGGATTTCTATGTGCTTTGCAAGAACACACCCTCATTCCTTTCTTCTCAATGTTTTCTTTGATTAACCATTCACTATCATTCATATATATATACACGTGTATATATATATATGTGTGTATATATGTGTATGTACGTGTGTGTATATATGTGTGTGTATGTATGTGTATATATATATGTGTGTGTGTGTGTGTGTGTGTATATATATATATGTAGAGTTTTGTCTATGTGTTTCTATTTTTAAAAAGTGGTGCATTTCTGTGAACACCACCACGACCGTCCTAGAATGGACTGAGACTAGAATAAATATCTCACTGTGTGCCCAGGGCTGTGATTTGTTTTCTTTTTCTATAGACAGTGACCCTTGATAAGGGGTAAAAAAGTTCTTCTCCATTTGAGTAGAAGGAACAGAAAGATTTACAAAAGGCAGACGCCAAGTAGAACTGTGCTGGGGAAAGTGTCTGCGAAGTTCTGCTGAGCCAATGGCCCCGGGGCCCTTCATCTCCTGTACCGGGCTGTATTGTCCCTCTCTATCTGTTCCTCTCAGCTCAGTCCCTGCATGTGAGAGGTGCTTGGTGACTCTGCTGGGGACAATGGATGCATAGACAAACAGACGAGATGACGGTGGGAGTTAACTGGAGTGGGCCTGCTCTGGGTATTGTAGCAGCAGTCTTCTTTTCAGAAGCCTATCCTGGTAGACAGACTGGCTTCCTTCCCCTCTCTCCTCTCCTCTGTTCTCCTTCACACTCTGCCTTCCTTCTTTTTGTGCTACCCAGAAAGCCAGACCGTGAGGTACAGGGAACCCTTGGGGAGTTCTCAGTTAATTCGGACATCGAACTCTGGCCTCCCTTGCTGGAGGCCCAAGCTGGAAGCCTGCTGTGAGCTTAGGCTATTTCTGGTTAGTGGGTGACCTTAAGAGCCCTTCAGCCTGGGGCCTGTGTAAGGGATGAGATGGGGCGGAGGCAGGAGCCAGGGCTGGTGCACACAGTGCCAAGCAGCAGCTCCTCCACCCACCCCCGGCAGGCTAAGGTCCACCGCAGTCAGGCTGAGGATATGGTTTTTACATGTCAATGAAATAACAGAAGCAGCTGTTGAAACCCAAATCCGCTGGAATCCTTGTTTAAAGCAATGAGCAGGATGAGTGATGGCATGGTAAGGTTTTGGTCACAAGCCAGTGTGCACACAGATGGACTGTGCCAGGAGCGATGCCAGACCCAATGCCTGCTCTTCTTCCAAGACATCCCAAGGAATTCTTTTCTGCACACATTATTATCTGTGTCATTTCCCTCTTCCCTCCTTCGTGTCCTCTCCTTCCTTCCTCCTTCCCTCCCTCTCTTTCCTCCTCCTTTCCTTATTCTCCATCCATCCATTCAATAGTTATTCATTTAGCACCTGCTATTTCCATGACAGCATATTCCTTTTTCTCCCTGTACTTCTATTTGTTATAACAATTATCACATTAGATTGAAAATGTCTCCTTATCGTTACTTCCATAAAATCATAAGTTCTGGATAGCAGAGATTGGATCTTTCCATGTCTGTATTTTCAGCTACTAATACATAGCCTGGCACAGAGAAAGCCAATAAATAAGAGCTGAGTTGATATATAAGTCAATCAGGGTATGAAGACATGGATGGACAGATACGTGGATGGATAGATGAGAGGGAGGGATAAAGAAATACACCCTCTCACTTTGGGAGGCCGAGGCAGGCAGATCACGAGATCAGGAGTTTGAGACCAGCCTGGCCAACATGGTGAAACCCTGTCTCTACTAAAATACAAAAATTAGCCAGGCGTGGTGGTGTGTGCCTATAATCCCAGCTACTCAGGAGGCTGAGGCAGGAGAATCTCTTGAACCCGGGAGGCGGAGGTTGCAGTGAGCCGAGATCGTGCTATTGCACTCCAGCCTGGGCAATAGAGTGAGACTCTGTCTCAAAAAAAAAAGAAAAAGAAAAAAAGAGAAGAAGAAAAAGAAATACACCCTCTCCTCCTTTAGGCAGGACAAGGTCTGGCTGTTCCAGCCCCATGCCTAGGATGGCATGATTCAATAATGACTTAATCACTCCTTCATTCCTTCTTCTAAAGTCTAACCATAGACATTAAGCATCTGCTATGTGCTGTGTACTATGCTGTACACTGAGGTTTTAAGACAAATAGAATTTGGCCCTCAAAAATTCTGTAGTCTACACTCTGGTTAGGAAACCAGGAGCTCTGAGGCCTGGCTGAGCCCCAAGGATCTCACAGCAGGCCTGCTAGAGAACTTCCCAAGCACAGGGGGGTGAGAAGGGAGCCTGCTGCTTCCCTCCCCACAAAATAGCCCCGTGGAGCGGAAGAACTTCACAATGACCTCATTAAGCAGGTATCATTTCTGTCTCTTTCATCTTCGTTTCAATAAAAAAAAAAAAATACAACACAGGGGGCCTAGGAAGTCTGAATGTTTTCTCCTAGGAGGCAGAGCTCTGGCCACAGACAGACATTGTTTCCAGTGGTTTAAAACTTCAATTGAGTTTGCAAAACATTTTCATTATTCAGCTAGGTCAACATGATGCCTGGTGTTGCATCTCTATAAGCAAACATCATGGGGAGAGTGAACTGTGTACCAGGCACTCTTGTGGGCGCTAGGTGAGGAGAAACACACAAAAAATTATTTATCTTCGTTTGCCTGAGCAAATGACATCTGTGAATGCATTTAAAAATGTGTGTTCCGGAGCTGGCCAAGTGTGCAACTGTGACCAGAGTGTAGATTGCTGTTAGCACTAAGTGAACACATAAATGGATGTACTGCTGCCTTTTTTAATGTGGTGATATTTATATCTATAAAATTATATTAATCGTGTTGCATTTGTTTTCAGCTTGGCGACATTTACATGTATCGAACACGTACAGATTACATTTGTAAATCCAGTAACCTGATCTTTACACATTGTTAAATTGAAACAAAGTTTACATTTAGAAATAGCTTACATATATGTCCTCTTTTGTATTTTAGTGAACAATAACTACATGAACCGCTAGCAGTCAACATAATTTTCTTTTTAATTGAAGTGATGATATATTCAGGTAAAAATAGCTAGTGAATACCCCTTTGGGTTTTTTAATTTATTTACATATTTAGTTTGGGTATTGACAAACTATATAATTGCATATATTTATGGGGTACAAAGTGATGTCATAATACATGTATACAATGTGGAATGATTGAACTCAGCTAATTGTCATATCCATCCTCTCAAATACTTACCATTCATTATTCCTCCTGTCTGAGGCATGTAGTCTTTGACAACGTGTGTGTATTCCTCCCGCTCCATAGCCTCTGGTAGCCACCACTCTGCCTTCTGCTTCTTGGTGTTTCATGCTTTTACTTACACAAGTAAGCAGAAATGTGGTATTTGTCTTTCTGTGCCTCAGTTTGCTTGTTTCTATCTTGTGTCCACCGGTAGCTGCACCTGGAGGCTGTGCCAAAGCTTCCCGTATAGGTTTGCAGTTCAAGAGCAGAGACTTTCAGCACAGTCAACCAATTTCCTTGCCCAACTCATTGGTCGGCGCTGGGCTTACTAAGCCATTGGCTTCTAAGCATGTGGGGGTGGATTACCATCCAGTGTTGAGAGAAAGGGAAAATTAAAATAGAAACTTACTTTTTTGTTGTCTTTCTTCTTTTAGGGTGAAATGGGAGTTGCTGGCCCCATGGGGCTCCCTGGTCCAAAGGTCAGTACAGGCATGGCAGAGGTGTAGTTTAGAACCTCACTTGTCCTCTCCTTTGCTGTCTATATAAGACAAAAGATGGTGTGTGGGGATGCTGCCTTGCTAATATTTTGCCTCAGAGCTTGTTAAATTAGATGGATAAGAGCAAATGTCATAAAGTCTGAAATCCTGGGAGCCTCTTAACTGCCCAGAACCTCCAGTTCTCAGTCTGCAAATATGAGCAAGAAAGGGTTAGATTCCCAGAGCCCTGGCTCAGGTCTCATTTGCTCCAACACGCTCAACTCTCCATGGTCAATTAACTTTGCAGCAATTGGTTGAAGCTGCTGTATTCCAGAAACTTTTAGGGGTTGGGCTTTTAAGATTCATTAAACTGCATGACCCTTTAAACACATGATTTCCAAATTCACTAATTGCACCAAGCCAGGTAGGGCCCCTCTGTCCTCAGTCACAGAGTGGTCTCATTCCTCTCTGTCACTTCCCAGGGTTATACTGTTTATCAAGGCACAGTGGAGAGTTCACCATCATCCCGTGTTTGAAAGAGGAACTGAGTGTGTGGGTGAAAATCACTGGAGACAGCTGGGCCTCTCCCTCCCCTCCCTTTCTTTCCCTTCTCTCCCTAGCCTTTGCCTCTCTTTATGTGTCACTGTCTCTCTCTGTCTTTATCTCTCACTCTCTGTATCTCTTTTCATCTCTCTCTTTCCTTCCACTCTGTTCTCCCCCCTATTTCTCCTCCTGCATTTCTTAGTTTGAATAATGTATTCAGTGCATCATTAGTGAAACCTGCTGAGGGCCAGGCCCTGAGGTCAATGCTGGGGTTAGAGGATGGTTTAGACAGGACCTGACCGTCACATGCCTGAGTCTCGTGGTGCAGACAGACCAGGGAGTACATGGAATCTCTTTCTTTTTGCCCACTTCTTTCCCATCTTCCATCCTGTTCCACTGAATTGCAGTGACAATGACTGCATCTGCTGTGTGTCAGGCTTGAGTGGGAGCCTACCTGTGCCTCAGACAGCAGGCGCTGTGGGGTAAGGATTACCGTTCCAGTGCCCGCTGCTGTGAGCTCAGGGCTCTGCACGTTGCAGGTGGTCCCTTCTTGTTGAATGAGTGATAGCAAACCCTAAATCAACCCTGCGTGACAAGCAGCATTGGTCCCATTCTCCAGATGAGAAATCAAAAGCCGAAATGGTGAAATGACTCGCCTGAGCGATGCTTTCTTCCTGTCCACCTTTGCTGGGCATTCTTCCCTTCCTATGCGTCCCTCCTTGCTTCCTCTCTTGCCTTGTCTGTTTCTCCTCTCCTCTGCCTTTTCTCTTTCTCTTTTCTCTCTCTCCTGACTGTAGATATTTCCTTGGCATCCCTCCCTCCCTCATCTCACACCCTTCCCTGCTTTGCCCCCACTGTGCTAGGATGTGACACTACGGACACACACACAAACCATCACACACACACACACACCCCATAATACAACATCACACACACACCATCAAACACACCATCTCACACACACCATCACACATATATACACACGTACCATCACACACATACCCCATCACACATACACATGCCATCACACACACACCATCACACACCATTACTTACACCATCACACACACACACCATCACACACACACCACCACACACCATTACCTACACCATCACACACAAACACACCATCACACACCATTACACACACCATCACACACACCACCACACACCATTACCTACACCATCACACACACAACCACACACCATTACCTACACCGTCACACACACACACCATCACACACAATCACACACACTATCACACATACACACCATAATATACCATCACACACACAGTCACACACCGTCACCTACACCATCACACCTACACCATAATACACCATCACACACAAACACACCATCTCACACACACCATCACACATACACACACACCATCAAAAACACACACACCATCACACATACAGACACACACCATCACGCACCATCACCTACACTATCACATACCATTACACACACACACACCATCACATATACACACACCATCACTACACCATCACACACCATCCCACACCATCACAAACACATACCATCACACACAGACACACACCATAACACACCATCACACATACCATCACACACACACACCCTCACACACCGTCCCACACCATCACAAACACATACCATCACACATAGACACACACCATAACACACCATCACACATACCATCACACACATGCCATCACACATATACACACACACCATCACACACACACACCATCACATGCCATCCCATATCATTACACACACACCATCACACACACCACACACCATCCCACACCACCATACACAACCTTTACACACTATCACACATACCATCACATGCCCACACCATCACACACCCATGCACACCATCACACATCCACACCATCACACAGCCACACCATCACACACACACCAAACACCATCCCACACCACCACACACACCATCACACACACACACATGCATGCTCACATCATCAGACACCATCACACACCATCTCACACACATGCACACACACCCCATCACACACCCAATCACACACACACACCACACACACACACCCTCATGCACATACCCATATGCACACACACCCCATCACACATACATACACCATCACACACACACCACCATACACCATTACCTACACTAACACACACACACACCATCACACACCATTACACACACCATCACACACACTATCACACACACACCACCACACACCATTGCCTACACCATCACACACACACCACCACATACCATTACCTACACCATCACACACATGCACCATCACACACACGCCATCACACACACCCCATCACACACCCACCACACACAGCCACCACACACATCACATATACACACACACCATCACATATACATACGTATGCACACACACACCCCATATCACACACACATCCCATCACACACACACACACCACACGCACCTCATCACACACACACCCATCACACACACACCCCTCATCACATACACACCCCTCATCACACACACCATCACACTCTCACACACACCCGCTGCCCCCTCAGCTCCTCTCCCCTGGTGAGTCTTCTCTTTGTGCTGATGGAGAGCGGCTCAGCCCAGGTGCCAGCTGGTCGCTGTGAGGAGGATGGCAGGGGTTTCTGCATCACCGAGCTCCTCTGAGAAGTCACCTCGATTCTCGGCTGTGACGGGAGGAAAGCGCAAACTACCTGGGGTTTCATAGGCCTCTCAGTAGAAGACATTTGTGTGAAGCAAGGGCTGTTTAGTAATGGCTGCCTCTGCTGTGCTTGAGCAGAGCAGGCCCTGGGCCCCACAAGGAGAGCAGAAATGGTGGGAGGAGAAGAGCACTGAAAAGGGCAACTGATGCAGCCACCTGGAGACCTGCCCGGCTCCTGCAGAGCTCACTTGCAATCGTGGTCCTATAGTGTCATCCGTCACATTGTCCCAAACCATGGTTAGGACCCTGAGTCAAAGGCTGGGGTTCCTGGTGGCTCCGTGTCCCTACACAGAGCTCGGGCTCTGTCCACATGCATAGGCTGAGTCTGCCAGGTGCAAGGCCCAGTTGTGATGTGGGAATATAAAAGTGACTGACTGAGAGCCTGGTCCCCAGGACTCATAGGCCAGGGGGAAGGGAGCAGGAAAGAGAGGATTGGGATAGTATGAAGAGAGTCAGGATAGAGGGGCCCAGGAGCTGAGGGGCTGAGAGGGGAGGCCCCATTGCTACCTGGTAGGACCTCAGGACACCTTTCTGCTGACAGCCCTGACCAGCTGGGTCCAGTAGAATAGACAGGAACTGCTCAGGACAAAGGAGGCAGGGAAGGGCATCATAGCCAAAGGGAATAGCATAAGCAAAGTAGCCATGTGTTCTTAGAATATAAAAGATGAGCTGGGAACAAGAGAGATAAAGTTTCAGATCAAGAACAAAGACAAAAGAATAGAATTGAAGGCTCTGTTTCCTGTGCCTACACCTATCTTGGATTGGCTCATGAGATGGCAGGAGATTTAGGTTCCAGTTCAACACTTGGCTTGTGATGAGTTTTTCCTCCCTTGCAGACACAGTTTTTTCCTCTACCTGCTCTCTTTCTCCTCCTGGACAGTTATGAGGGCCCCAGGTACACAGGGATGGACTTGTTATACAAATTGAATGCCCAGGGGACTCTGGTTGACACTTGGAAGTTTTGTTTTATTTTATTTTATTTTATTTTTTTATTATACTTTAAGTTTTAGGGTACATGTGCACATTGTGCAGGTTAGTTACATATGTATACATGTGCCATGCCCGATCTCGTCTGATCTCGGAAGCTAAGCAGGGTCGGGCCTGGTTAGTACTTGGATGGGACACTTGGAAGTTTTCAAAGCACCTTTATGCTCTTAATCTTATGTGCCTGCGTGATGACGTGCCTGTTTATGGAAGAGAAGCCTGAGGCCCAAAGACAGTAATGGTGTGCTCCTGGGAAGTGGCAGAGCTGCTGTTCAAACCTGGAACTTCCACTTCCCCTTCCGAGGCCCTGGTGGTGGGATCAGTGGCAGGCCATTCCCAAGGATGAATGTGCAATGCTTTCATGCACTTGCTTTCCTCAAGAAGTCCGTGGTTCCTGGAATTGTGATGTTGGGAGATGACTTAGATGCTTCCTCCTCTCCAGGGGTGGGACATGTGGCCTCGTTGCAGAAATGGCAAAGATGAAGTCAGCTGCTTCTAGGGAATTGGAGCAAGGTTGGCCGTGAGGGTCCTGTGTGTGCAAGAGCCCTGTCGGGAAACCTAATCTGATGCTTGTCTCTGGTCTCAACCCCTCAGGGAGACATAGGAGCCATTGGGCCGGTTGGCGCTCCTGGACCTAAGGGAGAGAAAGGTGATGTGGTGAGTAGATGGCTGCTCCTCTACATGGCTGAACCTCAGGGCGGGCGTGGGGGACCCAGGGCCCTCCGATCATGCAAATCAGCAAGTGTGGGCTGAATACCTGGCAGGGGCCAGGCACTACTCCCACACCACCCTCAAGATGAAGCCCTAGCTCCTCTCCATGGGCATGGAGGCCTGCTGAATATGGTCTTGGCGGACTCTCTAGCCTTGTCTCTTGCCACCCCATAACCAGAATTCTGTGCTTTGAATCATCACAGTTACTAACCCTCTAATTTGTCATTTTGTTGTGCCCTTCCTGACTCTGGCCATTACACAGGCTCTTTCCTCTGCCAAGAATAATGCTTCCTTCTCCCCACCCCTGTTTTCTCTTCCCCATGCCTTCCTGCTTGGCTCATGAGTTCTCATCATTCCTACTCAACTGTGTCTAATTCTCCAAGACATCACTCCAAAACCCAGCTCTGTGTTCCCACAGCACCTCCTCCATCCCAGCATCAGAGGACTCCCAGGTGTCCTGATCTGTGATTTATAGTCACAGAGTTTCCAGCACCTGGCCTAGCATGAATTGTATTCATGAATCTTTCAGCTGATGAGTGAATGCAATTAATGATGGGTCAGGAAAGAATTGCAGAGATGAAGTCACAGTTCAGGGTGGCCCTCAGGAGCTGAATGGCTGAGAAGTGAATTCCGGCTTCACCAAGATACTTAACCTTTCTATCCTTAGTTTTCTCATCTGTAAAATGGGGATAATAAAATAACGTATTCAGTAGCATTATGAAGATTAAATAAATTGATGCATGTAAATGGTTTAGAACAGTAGTGAGTGCAGTCAGTCCCTGTCCTGGTGGAAGCACTAACCTCTGCCCTCCTGCATAGAATCATGTAGCATCAACAGCACAAGTTTGGTGTCAAATGGGCCTCAGTTATTGTCCTTGGCTGCAGCCTTTATTAGCCGTGTGACCTTGGGCAGGTTTCTTTCTTTCCTTTTTTTTTTGAGATAAAGTCTTGCTCTTGTCACCCAGGCTGGAGTACAGTGGCATGATCTTTGCTCACTGCAACCTCCGCCTCCCAAGTTCAAGCGCTTCTCCTGCCTCAGTCTCCCGAATAGCTGGGATTACTGTGTGTGTGCCACCATGCCCAGCTAATTTTTGTATTTTTATTAGAGATGGAGTTTCACCACGTTGGCCAGGCTGGTCTCAAACTCCTGACCTCAGGTACGCCTCGGCCTCCCTAATTGCTGGGGTAAAGCCTCATTTACACATTAGCAAAATGAGGAGTATAACAACTACTTGGTTTACAAAATGCCTGGCCCATAGTGGGTGATCAGTGAATGACCATTGTCTTTTTTGATGTGTGTGATTATAATTAGTTCCTTCTGTGTTCTCAGTGCTCAGGAGGAAACCCAGGAAACAAGCCTCTTCCCTAGAAGAATTAGCATGGCAAATGCAATTCCCTCAGCACCCCACATTGTTGCCCCCTCATGCGTAGTGATGCCATCTACTCTTGGCACGTGCATCCTATGGAGTCTAACCTTTGCTCCATGGAACAACTTTTGACATAGTCTCATCACGTCTCTAATGGGAATGACACTGGTTTCTCAGGCTCGAATGACTTGCCCTCAGTCATAGAGGCTGGATGTGGCAGAGACAGAATTTACACCTGCATCTGTTTTAATCTGGGTCTTGTGCTCACTTGGCTGTGCTTCACCTTCACCTACACATGCATATCTACCTCCTTTGTGTAGGTAGGAAGCACCTGTTGTGTGCAGAAAGACATGGAAATAAGGAGAGCTGGTCACATTTACCAGCACTCACTGCACTGCTGGCTCTGCATTACATGCTTCACAGACTTGGGGCTCACTTAACTCTCACATCAGCTCGGTGACGTGAGGCCTAGTGAAAGGCCCACCTTACAGATGAGCAAACTGAAGCTCAGAGAAGAGTGGTAACTCATACACATGTGGTTTTTTAGGAACTCACTTGTCAGGCAGTAGGTGTAGGAAATGCCAGGTCCATTCCTCTCCTCCATGTCTGGGACAAGACCCACTTTAGGACACGTGCTGTCACTTGTAGCTGGGTTCAAAGGAAGGGAGATTGGGAGGACATTCTGAATTCAGAGAAACCACCAGAATCAGCCAGAGAACAAACATGGTTGTACTCTGGAGCTCTGAACTCTGGGAAGCGGTCCATCGCATAATTATGATCATTATTGCCTGCCTGATATCATCAGCAGCTCTATTGAGGCCAAATAGCACTGTGATTGAGGAAGCAGCACTAGCATCAGGCAGCCTACATTCAAATTTTGGTTCCACAACCTACTAGCTTCATGAACTGAAGAAGTCGCTAGAACTTTCTGAGCTTCACTTTTCACATTTGTGAGACAGATATAAAAATAATATCTGTAGTGGTTCTACTTCTGAAATGGCAACATGAGGAACTCTGTGAATCTACTCCCCCCAAAAAGATAATACCTGGTGAAATTCCAACATTTTTCACCTCCTGCGTCTGGAGTTCCAGAGCCTAAATTCTTGGCAGATGCAGCCAAGGGATAGGGCTCGCTTCCTCTCCCCAACCCCCATTCACAGGGTGGAGGTGCAACCTCAGGCATGACAAGCCAAGAATGTTGGGATTCTGATCAACCCTTTCCAAGCTCAGTCATACAGTGGAGGCTCCCCAGTGAAGGATGCAAGCTGAGAAAAGCAGAGGCTACTGCTCCTTCCCAGCCAGGGCACCGTTCCAAGAGAAGAGGGCCATGGTCCCAGCTCCCAGCTCCCAGTTCCAGAGCAGGGATGCAGATATTTAGCCCAGGGTACAATCCTTAGGAACGAAGAACTCTGAAGCTCTCCCCAAAGGCACTGACTTTGAAACAGAATGTGGAGAAGTATAAGTGTAAGAGTTCTCTAGAAACAAAGGAGATGATGGTGGTAAGAAATTAAGAGGAGTGTGGTACTCTATAGTAAACCACAACTTTACCAAAGCTAGTTTACCAGAAAGAACCAGGGGGAAAACACCACTAAGAAGACTGCTCCTGGCATCAGAAAGAAACCTCAATGACTGCCCACAACAGCTACCCATGCAAAGGGGACCTGATTCAGTTTGATCAGACTGTAGAGCAATGAATGCCATGTATAGCATTGCAGAAAATAGTAAAGGGATCATTTGGAAAGTAATGGAACCTAAGAGCTGGATTGAATGTCAGCAGAGGCAGACAGTTTGACCGAGAAATCAAGAAAGAGACTTTCAAAACGAGTCTTGTTAAAACCATCGTCATCCTGGGGTGATTATGTACAGGTCCAAGGCCATGCCCTCTGAAAATTGGCCTCAGAGATGAACACTGGGGAAGGGGGATAGACTTAATTAAAATAATCTAGCCAAGTCAGTGAGCAAATAAACAAGAAAAGAACAAAAACAATTTTTGGTAAGGGAAGTGTCAATATCCAGGATTGCTATATTGTCTAAAATGTCCAATTTTCAACAAAAATTATGAGATATGCTAAGAAACAGAAAAATGTGACATAAACCGAAAAAGGCAGCAGACAAGAGAAACTGCCTGAGAGAGGATACAAATATCGGATTTAACAGACAAAGCCTTCCAAGCAATCATTATAATTATGATCAAAGAACTAAAGGAAATTATTCTGATGTAAGCAAAAGAAGGCATAATGACATATTTCATCAAATACAGAATATCAATAAAGAGTTAGAAATTATAAAGAACCAAATGTAAGTTCTGGGGTTTAAAATTATAATAAATGAAATAGAAAAAACTAGAGGGGCTCAAAAGAAAGATCAGAATTCTTGAAGATAGATCAGTAGAGATGATGTAATCTGAAGAACAGAGAAAAAATAATGAAAAATAGACAGATTATTGGAGAAATGTAGGGGTTCATAAAGTGCATGAATCTGCACCTACTGGGAATTAAAGCAGAAGAGGAGAGAAAGGAGCAGAAAAGTATTCAAACAAATAATGGCTGAAGGCATCTCAGATTTTATGAAAAGCAGTAGTCTGCATATTCAACATGCTCAGTGAACCCCAATTAAGATAAACACAAAAGAGATACACACTTACAAACATTATAGTAAAAATGCCAAAAACCAAAGAAAATTGAAAGTAGCAAGAGAAAAAAATGACTCATTATTTACAAGGAAACTCCAATAAAATTAACAACTGACTTGTCATCAGAAATGATTGAGGCTAGAAGGCACAGGGATGGCAAGTTAGGTATAACAATACATTACAACCATGTATGGTTGGTGTTAACAAACACGCATGTAATACGCATAAAAATAATAGCACAAAAAGAGGGAAGAAGGGATAGAGCTAAGAAGGAGTATGTTTCTATGTCTAACTGGAAGTAAGTTTTTATAAATCTAGAGTAGACCCTATTAAGTTATTATGCATATAAGAAACTCTAGAGCACCCTCTAAGAAAATAACTCCAAAATATACAGTTAAAAATATCATGAAAGTAGTGTAAATGTTACACTAGAAAGTACTCAATTCAAAAAAGATCAGTAAAGGAGCAATAAAGGAACAAAAGTGGGACAGGAGACCTGTAGAAAACAAAAACTAATATGGCATATATAAATCTAATTATATAATAATATATGTGAATATACTACATGAACCAACTAAAAAGCAGAAATTTTAAGAAAGTTTATAATAACAAGATCAAACTATATCCTGTCTATAGAAGACATACTTTAGATTCAAAGATACAACCTATTTGTACAACAACAAATTTGTTGTACAAATAGGTTGTATCTTTTGTATTCAAAGAGACAAATAGGTTTCACAAGACACAGATAGGTTATATCTTTTGTATTCAAAGAGACAAATAGGTTTCAATAGGTTGAAAATAAAAGGATGGAAAATAAACATCTTGAAAATAAAAAACAGAAAACTGGGGTGACTGTACTAATATTAGACAAAATAGACTTTAAACCAAAAAAATCAATAAAGGGAGACATTTTATAATAAAAAATTATTTCTTAAAAATATAGCAATTATAAACATATATGCACCTAACAAAACCCCAGAATACATGAAGCAAAAACTGACAGAATTTAAAGGAGGAATGAAAAACCAATCAACAATAGTTAGAGACTTCAATACCTCCTTTTCAATAATGGGTAGAACAACTAGGAATGTGGAGAAATTGGAATCTTCATGGATTGCTTGCATAATATGGTGCAGTTGCTTTGGAAAACAGCCTTGCAGCCCTTAGGTTAAAGACAGAGTTACCATATGACCCAGCAATTCAATTCTACTTTTAGGAATATACCCCTCAAAAATGCAAAGATATGTTTACACAAAAACTTTCACAAAAATGTTTATAGCAGCGTTATTTACAATAGCCAAAAGTAGAAAACCCAAATGTCTGTCACCTGAAGAAAATGTATGTCATATGCGTACAATGTCATATCATTTTGCAATAAAATGAAGTACTTATACATGGTCTGACATGGATTAACCTTGGAAAGACTTTGCTGAGTGAAATAAGCCAATCATAAAAGGCCACATATTATATGATTCCATTTATATAAAAAATGTACAGAAGAGACAAATCTATAGAAACAGAAAACAGATTAATGTTTTCCTAGAGCTAGAGTAGAGGAAGTGTGGAGTCATTGCTAATAGATATGGGTTGTTTCTGAGGTGATAAAAATATTCTAAAATTGTTTGTGGGGATTTTGTTGCACAACTTTATACTAAAAATCATTGAATTGTACATTTTAAGTAGGTGAATTATATGGTATGCAAATTATATTTCAATGAAACTGTTATGGAAACAAAGAATAGTAACTATAATATTGAGTTATTGGAAACATTAAGTGAGATGATACTCATGAGAATGCACACTCAGTTAACAATAGTCACCATTTCTTTTAGTGGCTACTGGGCAGAGCTGATGAGAAAATATCTAATCCTTTCAAATCTCGGGATGATGTTGCCATTTGCAATGTCATGCCATGGAGATGCTCTGTAGTGAATCTTTGCCTTCTTTCATTTTTCTAGGGCATAGGACCTTTTGGCCAAGGGGAAAAGGGTGAAAAGGTAAGCATCTTCCTTTTATCACACTCCTCCAAGGGAATGGGACAGAGGACTTAGGTTTGGGGGAGGTGTGTGCTACTGTTATGTTGCCTGGAAAGAATTCGAGTGGGGGAAAAGAGGTGTCCTGGGCTGTGTAACTGGCCTCAATGTGTGTCCTCCATGGCTTGGGTGGTTGAAGCATGTACTGTACTCAGCAGAAAGAGAGAAGGTGGAGACAGAAAATGGTAAAATGGTGGTTGAGAATTGAGTAGGACACATATATCTTGGGGAATTCCAGGCATATTCTGTTGGAAATGTTGACGTTTGAACTATACCCGAGAAGTGGAAATCTGGGGGCAGGTCCCAATTAAGATAAACACAAAGAGATACACTTACAAACATCATAGTAAAAATGCCAAAAACCAAAAAAAAAAAAAAAAAAAAAAAAAAAAAGGAAAGTAGCAAGCAAGAGAAAAAAATTACTCATCATTTACAAGGAAACCCCAATAAGATTGGAGGTAAAATAAAGGACATCAGAAGAATTTGTGGGAAAAATAAAGATGTTCTCCCCAGCTATGCATGTTGCACCTTCTTTTACCTGCAGTAAAATATGCACAGGCTTGACCAATCCTGGGAAATATGGGATTCCTCCTAAAGAAGAAATTACTCTTAAGATGTTAGCCTATAAGGATAAATAGAAAGCAGAGAGCCACTAAAAATGCCATTTTCTACTCATACGAGCTATTTAAAAAATGAAAGAAAAAAGAAACAAAAAATTATCGTTTTCTTGGAGAGGCAGCCACAAGACTTTACAGTGCAAATGCCCGTTGATACTTTCACTGGAGTACAGGCACGCGTGGACTCAAAACATAGTGCTGTTGGATCCTGAGAGGTCATTCATCGCTCAGAGGGGGTCACATTAGTCCCTTGCATAGGGCTGGTTATGTAACACATGTAACACTCCATTAAGTTACAGTAGAAACAGCTCTCCTGTGGCCAGCTCATTCTCTCCCTGTAGGCACTCTTACACATCTAGCTCTCCTCTAAGGAGATAAATCAAGGATATGCACAAGTACATATCCATGTGTAATTTATAAGTGAGACTAGAAATGACACAATGCTGTGTGGTGGGCAAAATACATTATTGTATACCTCAATAATGCAACAGTATTTGATGATGCAAAATGACATTTAGGAGAAGAACTAATGACCTAGAAAATGCAGTCAATATTCTGTTCATTTTTAAAGCATCTTGCAAAATGTGTATACAATATGACACCAGCTCTGTGTGTGTGTGTGTGTGTGTGTGTGTGTCTGAAAGAGAGAGAGGAGAGACAGAGAAATTAATGATGGAGACAAATACCTATTATTAACCACTGGCTGTCTGTGGGTGAAAAAGTTATGAGGATGTTTATTTTCTCCCTCACATTTCTTTGTGTCATTCTTTATTTCACAATGAGCTCCTCCATTAAAAGCATAGGCACACATGTAAATTGACTACCTCACAAGAATGAAAAGCAGTTTGGGTGTAGCACAACACACAGCATAACTTAAGTGGTACGACCAGGCAGATGTAGTTCATGTCTCCATTCCGCCACTCTCTGGCTCTGCCATCAGTTTTGAGCCTCCATCTCCCGACCTAAAAATCTCCTGCCGCTTTCCATGACTTCTCTGTGACTTAAAAGCACAGCACCAGGAACCAAATGCTCAAATTCAGTAGCTACTTTCTTGTTTTACACTTTTTTTTTTAAATGAGTTTCATTTAATTGTGGTAAGGACACTCACAACATGAGATCCACCCTCCTAACAAACTTTTAAGTGTGCAGTACAGTACTGTTGATCATAGGCACGGTGTGGCACAGCAGATCCCTAGAATGCATTCGTTTTGCTTAACTGAGATTTTTTGCCCATTAATTGGCATCTCCCCATTTCCTCTCCCCCAACCCCTGGAAGCTACTTTTCTACTCTTTAATTCTAGGAATTTGACTATTTTAGGTACTTCATATGTGGAATTATGTAGTATTTGTCTTCCTGCATCTGGCTTATTTCAGTTAGCATAATGTCCTCCAGATTCATTCATGTTGTCAAAAATGACAGAGTTTCCTTCTTTTTAAAGGCTGAATACCATTCGGTTGGGTATTAAAAATAGAGCTACTGTATGATCTAGCAATTCAGTATACCATGTTTTCTTTTTCCATCCATCCACTGATGGACATCTAAGTTGTTTCCATATCGTGGCTATCATGAATTATGCTGCTGTGAACATGGGAACGTGAGCATCTCTGTGAGATCCTGATTCTAACTCTTTTGAATAAATATTCAGAAGCAGAATTGCTAGATCATACAGTAGTTCTATTTTTAATCTTTCTTTTGAGGAGCCACCATACTGTTTTCCACAGTGGTGAGACCATCTGCGTTCCCACCAACATGTTCAGCAGCTCCTTTTTTTTTTTTTTGGAGATGGAGTCTCACTCTGTCGCCAGGCTAGAGTGCAATGGCACGATCTTGGTTCACTGCAACCTCTGCCTCCTGGGTTCAAGTGATTCTCCTGCCTCAGCCTCCTGAGTAGCTGGGACTACAGGCGTGCATCACCATGCTCAGCTAATTTTTGTATTTTTAGTAGAGACAGAGTTTCACCATGTTGGCCAGGATGGTCTCGAGCTCTTGACCTCAGGTGATCCGCCTGCCTCAGCCTCCCAAAGTGTTGAGATTACAGGCGTGAGCCACCGTGCCCAGCCTAGCAGCTACTTTCATTGTTGCTTGCATGCTCGGTTCCAGTGGGCAGAGGCCGAGCACAGGGTATGAAGAAGGCACCCGGGGATTCCTCCAAATCAGGATCCGGGACTTCCGGGGTCCGGAGGTCAGAACACTCGGTCTGGGTTGTACCTGCCAGGCAATACCGTGCAGCTCTGTGACCTCCTTCCCATGTTCCTCTGGGACCAGCCTTTCCTCTCAACTAATGTGTCCTTCGCGTGTGTTCCTGTCACCAGGCAGGGACCGGAAGCCTCCTTCCTCCCTGTGGGCTGCAGGACATCTCTGCCTCATTGGCTCTGGGGTGAGCTCACAGCGGGCAGCCTTGGATGCCTGTTCTCCTCACACCTGAAGGCACCTTCTGGTGCCAGGAGTCCTACCTGCAGCATCACATTCAAGGGTCTGATGCCGCGAGGGCATAGTTGTGGCCATGGAGACCTCCTCACATCTTCGATGTTGGCAGGAGAGACAGGCAGCTGAATGGACGCTGGCACTTCTGGCTGTGTCCTTGGTTGACATTTTCCTGCAGTTGATATTTTTAGCAAAGTCTGAGTCTAGATTCCGCCACATATTAGCTGTGTGATTTGGAGTGAGTCACTTCCCTCTCTGGGACTCTGCTTCCTCTGTACAATGGAGGAGGTGGGATGAGATGATGCATAAAGTCCTCTTCAGGCAGCAGCTCTGAGATTAGGGAATCAGCCCACCCCCAGCCTTTGCCCCCTAGGGCTCTTTTCTGTAACTTGAAGTCTCTACTTCTCCTCCAGAAATGAGGAGACCAGAGTGGGCCGAGGGAATTGATAGCGTCTAGAGAGGGTAGAAGGCCACTCGTGACTCATGCATTGAGACTAGGCTTAACAAACTGGCTTCTTAGCTGACCGTTGTCTCCAAAGTAATTGACGCATAGGTTGGATTGAGTTTGAGGGTATTGGGTAGACCAGAGCTCGATGAGTCCAGGGATGGTAATACTCTTATTCTGGCTGTTTCTTTTTATATATTTGGAATTGTAATTAACCACTGCGGCAATGTGCATTGGCTTCTGCATGTACCAGGCATCCTGCTAAGGGTATTTCATACTTACTCTCCCATCATTAAGACAATATTTCAGGGAAGGCAATGCTGTGCCCATTTCAAGGATGAGGAGAACACGGCACTGAGGTCAAGTGACCTGCACAAGGTCACACAGTTAGTATGTGCCCAGGAAACACAATCACTGATTGTTACTAAAATGACGGGAAGCTGCAGAGCTGATTGAATCACTGTTCTTTGGCAGCTAAGGAAACTGAGGCTTAGACAAGGGGAGTGACCTTGGCCCATACACTGAATATAACAGGAACAACAACAGCACACTCTCATTAGCTGATGTGAGGGGTTGGTGAGTTTATCCACGGGAAGAGACAGCCAGGGACCTGGTAAATGAAGCAACTTCAGAAAGACTGAGCAAGAATCAGGTCTGAGTCATTCTCCAAGTATGAGGATCAGTTCAGGCACATTCTCCTGGTTAGTCCCATTAGAATGGACTCAGTACTTTCACTTAGAAGGACAAGGACAGATGCTCTTTTCTCCCTGGGCCCAAGGATGTAAGCATGAGAGCCTTGAAATTCCCATAGCCATGTTGCTACCATGAAAGGAGCCAGTTGAAAGAAGATGAAGGTGACCCTGAGACAGATCGGTTGCTGAGTAGAGAGCAGGCTCACCTGAGGCAGATCTCCAGTGTCTCAGAGCCGGGAGGCTATGCATTTCCTGCCAGTGGTCTTAGCTTTCTTTATGAACAGTAGCTATTATTAATATTGCAGGTAGAGTTGGGTTGGGATATTGGTGGTGGTGGCCTTTCAGGCAGGGATTTGCCTAGACAAGGGCCTAGAGGTGCGACAGTGTTGGGTCCTGAAGAGACCCAACTTTCCTGGAGTGGACAGGATGGACCTGATGGAGCCTGGACCACATCTTACAATATTCAGGGGCCCTGACACCCACCAGGAATGAAATGGGGGCAAAATGTCCCACAAAGCCATGCTTGGGTCAGCAACTAGGGACTGAACATTTGGTAAAGGGGGAAAATACAATAACAAGCACCACCAAAAAGTCATGTCTTCAGCATTTTCACAGAAATCCATATGGCAATAAATAAAACTTCATATGGATTTTCTGCTCAGATTTCACAGTATGGTGCACCAGAAAAAAAAAATCAGCAAGCAAATATAAGAAACTCAGCTAAATTTTACTGGGCTCGTTGACTCAGCAGTAGATAGAATTTTGGGTCACAGAAACACAGTTCATTGTCTTTTATGGTTTTCTTCAATTTTACTGGCACCATAAACCTGACAGGGATGAATGTGGTGAAAGGTGAGTCTCTGAGCCAGACAGGTAGTCCAGGTTCTTCCAGCTTCCTGGGATGCAGCCTTCTCAGAGCCTTGGCTCCACATCCTGAAGAGGATGCCAAGTGTGCAGGAAATCCACCTGAGAGTTCTGAAGTCACGGCATTGGAGGGTGTTTGTGGGGTGGTTTGCTAAACAAATAAGAAGCTAATTACCAAATGGAGGAAAGGTCAAGGTGCCTGGAATTCCTCTGCTCCAGATGTCTTTATTTGGTTTACATACACTGTCCCGTTTGAAAATGCAAGCGCTCTTAAGTTTGCAATTGACCTTAAGTTGGCACTGGAGTTACGCTGTTCTGTGTTACTTGGCAGATGGAGTCCGGTGTGCTTGGTGTGCACATCCTGCTGGACATGATGGGACCCACAGGACCCTTCCCCAGTATTTGTCTCCCGCTGATTCTAGGTTTATCTTTCCGTGGTAATGCTCAGGATATCTCTGCCTTCCTGTTATTGATTCTTCCTCCTTGCACGCCCAGCATCCTGCTTTGCCTGCTGAAATCTTAGGGGTGCTTCTAATCCAGTCACCATCAAGGTGCCCAGCATCAAGCAAGGCATTTCTATGGGCATTGTCCTATTTGTCCCTCCCATAGATTGCAGGTGAAAGACATCATTATTGTTATGCCCATTTCATGGAAAAGGGCACTGAGGCTTAGAAAAACATGCCCACACATTCATGGGATTGATTTCATTGTAAAAGGATATAGGAGGACAAAATAGTTTATAATGAGCTCTGGCTTGCTTGAAATCATAGCAAGTACTAGCTGAGGACCCAGCATGGTGCTGGGGGGCTAGGCAGGGACAGCAAATGGGGGTGCGAGCTTTGGAGAATGATTAACTCTTAAGAGTAAATAGGAGGGTAGGGACGTAGGGTGTTTTAAAAAAAATCACTCTGACCACTGTATAACTGATAGGGCACAGCCATTGGAAAGAAGGTATGTTCCTACTCAGTCGTGCTTCTCATTGGGTGGGGGCCCTTTGGGTGACAGTCAGGTCTGCAGTCACAGAGAAGCCAGGTCTTCCCTTATCCCAACAAGACAGACACACCTTGTGCTGTCCACAGTGTTAAATAATGGGTTCTTCTCACCGGAACCAGGTTATTTCTTCAATGTTTTTCAAAGGCAGGCTTTAACTGAAGTTATAAGAAGATTGCTTGGAGGTAGAATTGGACTGCAGAGCGGGAGGAGGAATGAAGAGGGAGTTCCACGACATGTGGATTTTCTTCCTGGAGCCTCTCTCCCAGAGTGTTGACCAAGAAAGGTCTCTGGAAACCACAAGACACTTCTGCATATCAGGGGAACCATGGTCTGAAAGTGGTGCTCCCCAAATTCATATGTTGAAATCCTAACCCCCAAGGTGATGGTATTGGGAGGTGGGGCTCTTGGGAGGTGATTGGGTCATGAGGGTGGAGCCTTTATGAATGACTGGATTGGCCTTTATAAAAGAGATCCCAGAGAGCCCGTTTGTCCTTTTCACCATGTCAGGTTACCGTGAAAAGACAGCCATCTATGAACCAAAAAGCAGGCCTTCACCTGACACCAAATCTGACGGCACCTTGATCTTGGACTTTTCCAGCCTCTGGAACAGTGAGAAATAAATTTCTGTAGTTTACAAGCTACCCAGTTTATGGTAGCCCCAAAAGACAAGGGGTTTCTGCTACTATGAGATATTTGGCACAATGAGGGATGGCACACACACTTTTGATTTTTTTAAGTTCTCCCTGAAGGCATAAGATGAGCATGTTTTAGCAATAGCAGCCATGCAGAACTTATTGGCCAGCACTGGTGATTTTATCTGGAATGGTATAGTGACTTTGAAAAGGAAGTGCCATGTACTGGGAAGAATCATGACATCAGTCTTTTATTGACCTCTTAATGTTCCAGGCTATTCAGTTTATGAGCTTCAGCCTCTGAGACTTCCTTTAAGAAGGGCAGGCCATGGCCAAGGTGACAGAGCTGGTTAGTAAGTGGGGCCAAGCCTGCATCCACCTGACACAAGACACAAGAGTGGGGATCCCCCATTTTTCACCACGGCATTGGTCAATGTCAGTTCCCTGCCCCTCCTTCAATGTGATGCTGATTTCTGGGAATTATTGACCCTCAAAAACCTTATAGGAATCAGCTTACTTTATATAAAGACTGCATTATAGAGCCTCTGAACCAGAAAATATAAATTATACATTTGTCTTTATATTTGTGAAACTTCTAAGATATAGATATATTGACGCCATTTGCCTCTAGCTCTGGGTCCTTTTCTCTTTGTTCATGGCTGGCTTAATCAGCACCCCCATCTCCTATTCTTAGCCTGTGCATTAATGTGCATTATTCATGGTTATCGAGTTGGATAACTGTGGTTGAGTGCCTTCTATTTTTACGATAATTAAAGGGTTTAAGGGGAAATTAGTTTAGCTGCTTATGTGCCCTCAAATAGCCTTGTAGGTTAGGGGCAAAATGCCCAGAGTTAGAATAAATAGAGGTGCTGCAGGCCCTGTCCATGGTGCTGAAGGACACATTGGGGAAGTTCTGAAGTTCACAGCACTGCAGGGCCTCAGGCAGAGCTGGGATAGGAATCTGCATTTCTCCTCTAGCTCCGTCTGACACTCAGGTGCTTGCCAAGTCTAATGGACCAGTCACAAAACCAAGGGCTTCATACAAGAGGGTGAGAGCGCTTATGGGAAGGGTAAATGCTGGACTCCTGAACTGGGAGGGCAGGGGAAGCTCAGGGTGCAGACCCCGGTCACAGACTGGCTGGATCTAGAACTTGGCTGGGTCACTTAGCAGCTGTGTAACAGTGGGTCAGTTACTTAGCCCTGTAACCTTTGCTTTCCTCATGCATAAATTAACAACTATAATAATACTTGCCTCGGAGGGTTTCTGCAAGGATTAAATGAGCTAATGAAAATAGATGACTTATGTTTGTAAAAAGTGCTCATAAACGTTAAACATAATTACCATTGCACCAGCATAGTGTTCCATTTTTTTATAAACCAAATGACGTCTTCTGCGCCCTCAGCATTAATGAGGTCTTATTCCCAGAGGCGACCAGCAGCAAAATGTCAGAGCTCTTCAGCCTCCCCACTGAGGAGGACTTCTGTAACTCCTAAAACCTCAGGAAGCCTAGAGAGTGTTATTAGAAAGCATGTTCCAGGAGGCCAACATAAAGAACCTTCCCTTTCTTCAAATTCACCTAAAATAATTCATAGATCATCAAAGAATCATGATAGTACCTCGTATTTACAAGAACTTGCTATCTGCTAGGATTCATGCATGTGCTATTTAGTTTAACTTTCATGGTAAATATTGCTGTCCTTGTTTTACAGGCTATTCACTATAAAATGAAAATTCACCTGGGACCAAGCACAGGTGACTTTACCTCCTCATGGGGATGAGCCAGGATTTGAGTTCATGTTTTCAGACTTCACAGCCTGCATTTGTCATGCTGGCAAATGATTGTCAAACTTGAGACAACTTCCAAATCACCTGGAGGACTTGTTAAGCCAACAGGCTGGACCCCACTCCCAGAATGTCTGATTTAGTATGTCTGGGGTGGGGCCTGAGAAGTTGCCCTTCTAACGCAACCCCAGGTGAGGTTGATGCAGCTGGCCTGTGACCATGCTTTCAGAACCACTGCCCAGCATATTCCTAAGACCCCACTAAAGGGCCTACCAAATGGATGAAGAATATTAGTAACAGCACCTCTAGCAATGCAACGATCTTTTTGTTAACATTTAGAAATAGGGCCTGATATTTAATTAGCCAAAAGAGCAGCAGAAATATTTGCTCTCTCCTTTCTCTGTGTCTTACTTGATGAGGTAAAAGGATGATCCCTGGGGCTCTGGATGCTGACAAGTGGGTGAGAGGAGATGGATAATTTCCTGCTAGATGGTTGCCCCCCTCCCCATATGCCTCCAAATGAGATCATGGAGGAAGTGAGTTTGTATGTGGTGGAGGGAGAGGCAGGGGTGGAAGACAGGTCAGAGCCTGGACTTGGAGCCAAGCCCTGATTTTGAGTCACAGCAGCTGTTGTGAACACAGGGAAGCCCCTCTTCTCTGAGCCTTGGTTGTCTTCTGCAGTGAATCTCATCCATTGTCATTCTCTTATATCCTGAGTGTTGATTTTCTTTTTATAGGTGGAAAATAGAGGCTTGGGTAATTTACCCAAAATAATAGTATCTGATGCTTGTTTTGAATTTCTTTGTATACGAAGCATTTCCCAAGTATTTTCTCAAGGCCTCTTACCAGCCATCTTGAGCCAGAGGTACTCCTCCTCCTTGTGTCATCTCCCTTCCAGGTGAAGGAGCTGAGACACAGGAGGGGAATGAGTCTGTTCTGCTCTGTTAACATGAGACAGAGGCTGCATGCAGATCAGACCCTCTCCTCCCAGCCTAGGCTTTTTTTCCCTTCTCTTTCTCTCTCTTCTTTGCTTACTTCCTGCCCTTTCCTTTCTTTTCCTTTTTTTTCTTCTGTGCTTTATTGTGGATCCTTAGCTTTACATATTCTTTTAAAGATCTTTCTATGCCTGACGTTATCAATCTGGGGGCAACCTCTAGTCTTTTCCCCACTCTTCTCCCTGACCCATCCCATGCACTTGGATGAGTGTTCTTAGTTATCAAGAGATACAATGGAAGAGCTCACATTTCAATAATACTTCATAGTCTGCAAATTATGTTCACATTTAATTCTCATCTGAAAGCCTGTAAACCTCTACTTTAGAAAGGATGAGAGGCTCATAGAAGTTAAATGACTTTCCTGGTGGAAGATGAATAGGCAGCTCAGGGCTATAACTTTCTCTTTTCCTTCTTTTTCTTTTTTTGGGATGGTGTCTAGCTCTGTCGCCCAGGCTGCCAGGCTGGAGTGCAGTGGCATGATCTCGGCTCACTGCAACCTTCGTCTCCTGGGTTCAAGCAATTCTCCTGCCTCAGCCTCCCAAGTAGCTGGGATTACAGGTGCCTGCCACCACTTCCAGCTAATTTTTGTATCTTTAGTAGAGACAGGGTTTCACTGTGTTGGCCGAGATGGTCTCAAACTCCTGACCTCATGATCCACCTGCCTTGGCCTCCCAAAGTGCTGGGATTACAAGCGTGAGCCACTGTGCCCAGCCTAACTTTCTCATTTCAAAGATGCTATGGGCAGCTGATGATGAGTCCAGCTGGGGAATTTTGGAAGGTCTATCACAAGGGAATGGTGAAGATGTTTTATAATGTTAAGAATCAGTGATACTAATATTAATACTAATGAAATATTTGAGTTAGGTTGACTTTCTCTTGGGGCAAAGTTTTCATAGGGCAGGAATCATTCTAGTAAAATGCTTGGATCTCAGGATGACTTGCAGGTGGATGTTTCTTAAAATCTATGTATTTGCAGTGCTGACTTGGTTATCTTAACCATGTAAAAAAAGATTCAAAAAGAGATGTTACCGTCTCTGACTCAGAACATATTCACTTCTACAGAGACCTCTAGTTCTCTTCTTAGAATACACAGTAAGGGTGGCCACATCCCTGAACAAAGCTGAAGGGACTTTCTTCTACTACCTCAGCCATCTAAAACCAACACGCCTAGTTTTCCATGTCCTTGGGAAGACCAATTCTGAAGTTAGGTTGACGATCCCTATTTACAAATGAAGACCAAGACTCAGAGCACTTCGACAATTTGTCCAAAGTCATCAGTACTTAGTGATGGGGAGGCAGGGAGAGTGGGAGGTGGACAGTGTGAAGCTGTGGCTCGTTGGCTCTAAGGACCATTACCTCTCTACCACACCCGCTGTTCACCTTGTCTCTGGGGCTTACACAAGACTAATTTTAAAGTAGGAGTCTTCCATTCCCTTACAAGCCCACAGGGCTCTAGAAAGAATTGAAGCACACAGGGCAGTGTGGACACTATGTCAAGCCAGACACTGGGAATGCAGAGGTGCTTAAGTCCTGCTCCACATCTCACAGAGCTCCCATCTTGTGGACGAGAGAAATTCACACAGACATCTACTGGGCATCTATTTGAAAGAACCAACAACGCTAGAAAACTGGCAGCTGGGAGGAGAGGCCAAGGTGTCCTGCTGCCCCCTCCTTTATTCCTGAGAAAGGAGCCCATCCCATCAAGACATCCCTGCCTCTGCGTTCAGCTGCAGGGTTGCCCAACCCACCAGAGCCAGAAGACAGACTGGTCATTCGAGGGCGTGCCATCGTAAGTGGGTGACCAACATCTCAGGCGAGTCACCCCCAGCGGCCTGATTCTGGAGGGAGGCACTATCTAGCGCATGCCCTCAGAGGAAGTCCTCATCCTTTTGTGATGCTGCCTGCTATAGGAAAATCTATCATTGATTCCTAGGGTTGTAGGGATGTGTCTCATGGACTGGTGTCCCTGGAAATGGACATCATCATTTGCCCAGGTTAGTGCAAGAGGCAGGTAGGGGTTGGAGCATGGACCTTGGAGACACAGGCTGTGTTGGGAGCTGAGCCCACTTTATTGCTCACCACCGTCTCCTGGCTCCACGCAGAGCTTCTCCGCCTCTGAGGCAGTCAAATGAGTGTTCCTTTCAGTATCCCCAGGGGAGCAGGGCTGGTGGAGGCTGAAGAGGAAGGGCAGAATCCCTGGAGAGGGAGAGCTAAGGCTGGATGCTAAAGTGTGAACTACCCCAACCTGCCTCACTCTGCCATGTAGACTCCCTGGTAGCCATGAGAAAGTCATGCACCTGCCCTGTGCCCCAGTGTGCCCGAAGGTAGGGTGAGGATAGCAACGCTTAGCTTATAGGGCTGCCCCACAACCAGGGAACTGATGTGAGTTCGGACACTATTAAGTGTTGTGAAGATGTTCGGAAGCACACTCTAGGGCCTGGAGTCTGGCTCTTCTATAAGCACTGTAACTTTGGGCAGATTAAATCTAATCTAATCAGCTGATTAGATTAGAGCTAATCAGCTGTCTGTGACTTTGTTTCATAAACACTGAAATGGAGATGATGATTCTGTCTCTTTCATAGAACTGTTGTGGGGAGGCGTTGAATGCAGTGATGGATGTAAAGTGCTCAGTGCCTGGCGCCTTGTAATAATAGATAAACTATCCTCAGCAACATCTGTACTATCACATTAATACACTATGATTAATATTACTCTACTCTGACTGTTGGTTCTGCCATTATTAAACATGCATGTGTGTTTAATCGGGTAGAAATCACCTCCTCCTGTACTGGTTACCTCTTTCAATCTCAGATTTTAAAATTTAAATTCCAGAACTGCCAAATGGGGAAGTGGCTCAAGGGGAGGGGAGGTGGCTCCTCATTTTGCTGATGTGTAACTGGAGGCTGAGAAAGCACCTGCCGTGACAGCATGCTCCAAGGAAGATGCTTGTGATAGTTTAACCCACAAAAGTAAACCAGTGGCCCCCACTTTTCCCAAGAAACAACTGATGACAGAAATCCCCTATCCTTCCCATTGAACAATCCTTTCTCTCATGAAATATTCCCAAACCACTTGTCTGCCCCTTTGTATCCAGCCAAGGATGGACAGGTATCCTGGAATGAGCATGTCTCCCGCCTTCCAAAAATCACCCCTAAATACAACACTTGCCAGTCTGAGACTGTCTCAGTGTTTCCTCTTTTAACCCTAGAAATAAGGTTGATTCTCCAACTAACATCTTCGAACCCTCTGCTGAAATGAAAGCAATGGCAGCCTGGTCTCCATCACAAGTTTAAGAATGAACAGCCCTTGTTCATTTTGTCTTGGACCCAGTTTTACCCTAGATGAGGCTCTGAGAAGCAGCAGTCCCTCTCCCTGCATGGGCTCTGGGCTCTGGGCTCTGAGCCACAGCAGGTCCTTCCATGCCCTTGAAAAGGGTCTGGTAGGCCAGGGCCTCATGGAGAATCATCAACAAGGGCATGAGTAAGCCTTCAAGAAAACCCACTGTAAAGGAACTTGCTTCACTTGGTTTAACTCTGCACTTTTTTCCACATAGTTGTTTGATCAAAGAATCCCCATTTCCTTTGGAAATGCTCTGGGAAGCACCTGGGAGGATTTTAATACTTAAAACAACTTTTCACAGTGGCCGTGTGTGATGGTTAATACCCTCAACTTGATTGGACTGAAGGATACAAAGTATTGATCCTGGGTGTGTCTGAGGGTGTTGCCAAAGGAGATTAACTTTTGAGTCAGTGGGCTGGGAAAGGCAGACCCACCCTTAATCTAGGTGGGCACCATCTAATCAGCTGCCAGCACAGCTAGAATATAAGCAGGCAGAAAAATGTGGAAGGAGAGACTGGCCCAGCCTCTTAGCCTCCATCTTTCTCCCATGCTGGATGCTCCCTGCCCTGGAACACTGAACTCCAGGTTCCTCAGTTTTGGAACCTGGACTGGCTCTCCTTGCTTCTCAGCCTGCAGATGGCCTATTGTGGGACCTTGTGATCTTGTTGTTAGTTAATAAACTCCCCCTTTGAAAAAAATATATATATATTTGTTCTGTCCCTCTAGAAAACCCTAATACACCGTGATTGTCCCCATTTTATAGAAAATTAAACTGAGATTCAGAGAGTAAGGAATTTGCCCCAAAGTACCCACCCTCCTCTAAGCGAGGGTCAGAGGGGTGGTGTTCAGCCTGCCCTTTCCATGAATGACTGCTTGCTAGGCTTCCTTGCTGGAGACATCCCCTCTGCCAGTCCCCACCCACATGAAGTTACTACCCCTCAGGGCCCAGGATTAGACCCTCCTGGTCCCAAGCCTGAGAACTGCAAGCAACTTACAAGTAAGTCAGTGTTGTGTCTTTGCACAGTCCCTTTGTCTCTGCTGTTGAATTGTCAGGTAAGGGCAGCAGAGCAAATCTGTGTGGCCATCCCCAGAGGCTTATGGTGCACACAGCAGCTGGCAAAGGTGTTCTTTCCCAGGCCACAGGTGCGCTGGTGGGGTGCTTCCATTGATCCGTCTGTCATCGTGGGCCTGGGTCACTGGGAGAACGGACAGTACCAGGAAGCCCAATTCTGTTCCCACAGCAGAGTGTGCACACTTTCATTTACCAAACCTTGCCTCACCTTGCAGCCATCCTGCTGCTGGTAACAATATCCACACTTCACACCTGAGGCCAGTGGGACTCTGAGACTTCCAGGGTGTGTTTAAGGTCTCACAGCCAGGGCTGGGCACCTGCAACCTTCACCTCCCTGGTTCAAGCGATTCTCCTGCCTCAGCCTCCCAAGTAGCTGGGATTATAGGTGCCTGCCACCACCATATCCCCCATGCCTAGACTTGGAATTACTCCTGTAATTCCAGCACTTTGGGAGGCCAAGGAGGTGGATTGCCTGAGCTCAGGAGTTTGAGGCCTGCCTGGGCAACATTGTGAAACCCTGTCTGTACAAAAAATACAAAAATTCGCCAGATGTGGTGATGTGTGCATGTAGTCCGAGCTACACAGGAGGCTGAGGTGGGAGGATTGCTTGAGCCGAGGAGGTCAAGGCTGCATGAGCCATGTTCATGTCACTGTACTCCAGTTCGAGTGAAAGAACAAGACCATGTCTCAAAGAAAAGGTCTCACAGCCAGGAAGGTCTACAGCTGAGATGGACTCATGTCTGTATCATGCCATGGCCAGAGACATTTGTCTGTCAGTCTTTCTTTTCAATATCACACTGACTTATGTCAGACAGAATGTTGAGGCCATGGAAGGCACTTCATAGAAATTTTAAAAGCATGTATATGCCTGCATGTTTGTAGATAAAATCTAGAAATATATCTGATATGCTTTGAGAAAATAATACATATCTCATAGGATTATGATGAGTAAATCAGATGATGTATGTAGAAATATACTTTGGCACATAGTGTTTTATAAACTTTACATAGTAGAGTTTCATCTCTTCATTTGTTCATTGAATACCCAGCACCCGCACTGTATAGATGGAAACAGCCCAGAGAGAGGCGCAGCCTTGCTCAGTGCCACACAGACACTGACGGAGAGCTGGGAGTGGGGCGGGGAGATCTCAGGCAGGATCCTTTGATTGGCACCAAGTGGTGTTGGAGCTGGGCGGGAGCTTAGAGGTGCTGGAGTTACCTGTTTCAAAATTCCCTGCCCCAGCCTTCTCCAGGATGTGTGTGGAGTAGAAAGTGGGGTGAGGAGCTGGTCTAGCCCCCAACTTCCCACAGCTGCACCGTGTTTATTCATGTCATGTGTGTCTGCATGAGATTCCTTAGAAAGAAGTTTGTCCCAGCTAAAATTAAAACAAGTTGAATACCTTTTCTAGCCCAGTGGTTCCCAAGCAGGAGGCTTTTGGCAATATCTGAAGACATTTTTGGTTGTCACCCCTGGAGGGTGCTGCTGGCATCTAGGGATGCAGCCGAGCATCCTACAGTGCACAGCTCAGCCCCATAGCAAAGGCTCATCCAGTCAGATGTCTATGATGCCAAGGTTGAGAGCCCCGCTGCAGCCCAATCCTCTACTTTACACATATGAGACCAAGCCCAGGGCGAGGAAGGGCCGCACCTCCAGCTAGTGAAGGACTATGGACCAGAGCTGCTTCCTCCCACATCAGGTGCATACAGATCTTCTGGGTATGTGGCTATGACATGGACCCTGATGTAGATCTGATGTGAAACCTGGGAATCTGCATTTTATACTCTCCCAAGTGATGCCTATGCTGCAGGCTTGTGGATCAATTTTTGAGCAGCAGTCTTGGTCACAATTTCCTTCCCTTCCTGGCACGTTCTCCACTGCACTAGCATTCTGAGAGCCTGTCTCAGTTATTCTTTACTAATTGCTATTCTCTTTTTTTGGCTTTAGGGTTCCCTGGGCCTGCCCGGCCCCCCTGGGAGAGACGGCAGCAAAGGCATGAGAGTAAGTTCTGTTCCGTCTGCCCTGGCTCACAAGGCAGTACTAGGCTGGTGATCTCCTGGTCAGAACCCCGTGTCCTTAAGTGGGGTGGCATTGCCAGGGCCAGACTTGAGTGGGGACGTATTTATATTAGGATCCTCGCAGATACCAGGAGCTCAGCCTAATAGCTGTGACAAGACCAGCAGCAGCTTTGCCCCCCGGGTATCGCCTGCCTGTCCTTGGAAATGATTTTTCATTTAGTTAACAAGTAGTTCTGCAAGGCAACCTTGTTATCCCCCGTGCCTAGACTTGGAACTAGCCCCAGCGAGGCAATGGATTTGCTTAAGACCCCAGTTTGTAGCTGGAGGAGTCAGAGTGAGACCCAAGCAACACCCCACACCCTATGTGGCAAGCCAGCTTTCCTCCGATCATTACCCCAAACCCCACCTCTTCATCTCACCTGCCTCTGAGCTGCAACATCCTCCAGCAACCCAAGCTCAAAGTGATCTCAGCTTCGGTGGGTCAGTCTCCTCTCCACCAAGCATCCAAGTACACATTAGTTCTGCGTTCTTCACCTCTCTGATCCCTTCGCCATGTTCAGCCACACATGATCAGGTCTCAGAGAGGGAACCTGGCTTGTGAGCAACGCTGAGGTCCACAGCTGGCAGCACTTTGGGACAGGTGGTCTAAGATCCTGGAGACAAGGGAGAAAGGGGAGTTACTTGGACCCTAGACTCTCTTCTCACTCCACTCTAGGTGGCCAACATCCTTTCCATGAAGACAACCGTCAGGGTGGCGCCAGTTTTTACACTTTCCCCCTGCTCTCTCCAAAGTTAATTTTGTTGACTTCCAGCCACAGAAGTGAGTAGGAGTGGAGCTAATACTGTGTTGCCAGGCATGGTGGCTCACAACTATAATCCCAGCTATTTGGGAGGCCGAGGCAGGAGAATCACTTGAGGCTAGGATTTCAAGGCCAGCATAGGCAACAAAGCGAGACTCTGTCTCTACAAAAAACAAAACAACCGGCTGCAGTGGTGCGTGCCTGTAGTCCAGGCTACTTGGGAAGCTGAGGCAGAAGGATCACTTGAGCCAAGTATTTTGAAGTTATAATGAGTGAGCTATGATCGTGCCATTGCACTCCAGTCTGGGAGACAGAATCAGACCCTGTTTCTAAAGAAAAAAAAATACTGTGTGCAGCAAAGGTCCGCTTCTTTGCTTATAGAAATAGCATCTGAGGGGAGCCCGGGCCCTGCTCACTGGTGGCTACCTTGTTTCTGTGATGTGTTCTGAGCTGCAGGAAGCAGAGGCCCTGGGAGACTGTGGGCTTCTCTGGTGTACCTGGGCCTGTGTCCCACTGCCTATGACTTTGTGTTGTTTTGTTTGTTCAGGGGGAGCCAGGAGAGCTGGGAGAGCCGGGGCTGCCGGGTGAGGTCGGCATGCGGGTGAGTGTTGCTGTGAGCTGGGCCCTTCTGATGCTCCCAGGGGACAAGGCCCAGTGCAAAGCCAGTTGCTTTAGGTGCAGAAGAGATGCTCAGATAGGTTCCCTGCCCCTCTTCTCATATAACTGCTTGCACATTTGTGTGTGTATATCCACACACAATTCTTACAAAAATGTATTTATATCATACTTGGTCATTTATCTTTGTTATTTAACAAGAGATGAGAGACATCTTTCTCTGTAAATACAGATGGGCCCCACACATTCTCTTAATCAATGCATAGAATTAGATGTATTGGATGTACCCAATCATACATGGATATATTGTAATATATAACATTCATATGGATGTATTGTAATATATAACATTCCCCTATTTATGGTCCTAAGGACTATACTAATGTCATTTGTTTTCCACTAAAATTAATGAAGCACTGAATATGCGTGCATGTGTGCATTTGTGTGTTTCTCCTTATCTACTATATTTTTATTGCAGTAGGATAGATTAAAAATTGGGATACCCTTGGCTGAATGAATACATGTTGTTATTTTAGCAGACTTTAATAGATAATTTCCAAACTAGTTGTTCAGAGGCAATAGCACTTCATGGTCTGGTTAGCAGAGGTACCTCCAGGTCTGCAGACTTCTGAGCTCTTTGTCAGGACTTGTCCAGGCTGTACTGAGCCCATGGCAAAGTGTGAATGATGAGCCACAGGAATCAGTTGTAATGTTTCAGAAGCTATGAACATATCCAGACCCAGGTCATGGGGAGGCCGAGGGGCACGGGGAGAGTGAAATGGAATAGTAGCATCTGGCCTCCTGGTGGTTCATAGGCACACACCTTTAGCTGTTTCTTGAAGTCAAGAGAATCTGGGTGTGAATCAGGGCTCCACCAGGCAGCAGATGGCATGACTTCTAAATAGGGAAGGGAAGCAGAGGTCGAGGGAGTGTCTGCTGGCGAGACCTGTGCCAACAGCATGGGCAGCACTTGGTGAGAGGTGAGCTAGCAGCTCTTGTCACCAAACGTGGGACTGGCTGAGCTGTACGGCTGCACTTGCCTTTCTTTTCCATCCCTGAAACTTTACTCTGTAAATGCTCTTCTGCAGGGGCCCCAAGGACCACCTGGACTCCCCGGACCTCCTGGACGTGTCGGAGCTCCTGTAAGTGAAGGCACTTGTCTGGGCAGGGGTTCTACCCCTTCTCCAGGAATCAAAAACCAGGTTCTAGCAAGTTCCTCCACCTGCATCTAGACAGTAATGCTGTTTTGCCTTACTGATGCCAATGAAGTGTTGGTATCTCCTTTCTTAGACCAGAAATTATTAGATGTTACAGTCCATAAGAATCACCCAGAGAACAAGTTTAAATGCATATTCCTGGGACCCCTTTCTCACATCAAGAAGCAGGGTAGATCCCAGGAATCTGCATTTTTAACCAGCACCACAGGATTTTTGACACTTGATCTAAAGAATTCATTTTCCCCAGCCTGTCCTGTACTGTACTCTTGTAAGAAGGGTGGAGTCTACTGAATTCTTAGCCCCTGGAACAGTGCCAGACTGTCCAGTATGGTGTTCAGTATGTCCAGTGAATAAAGAGATGAACAAACAGATATGGTGTATGAGGAACAAAGTAGCTTCTCGACCATTTAACACTATTCTCGATTCTCTATAAAGACACATGCACACGTATGTTTATTGCAACACTATTTACAATAGCTAAGACTTGGAACCAACCCAAATGTGCATCAATGATAGACTGGATAAAGAAAATGCAGCACATATGTACCATGGAATACTACGCAGCCATAAAAATGGATAAGTCCTTGTCCTTTGTAAGGATATGGATGAAGCTGGAAACCATCATCCTCAGCAAACTAACACAGGAACAGAAAACCAAACACTGTATGTTCTCACTCATAAGTGGGAGTTGAACAATGAGAACACATGGACACAGGGAGAGGAACATCACACACAAGGGCCTGTTGGGGGGTGGTGGGCAAGGGGAGGGAGAGCATTAGGACAAATATCTAATGCATGCAGGGCTTAAAACATAGATAAATGAAAGAAGCAGTGTAAAATGTCATTTTCAAGCAAAGCAGCTTGAGTTGCCAGGGAGACATTGAAGACCTCTGATCTCTGTGTGTGACCAAAATATTTAGATGAAATTAAAACAGGAAGGATGCCCACTCACCCTTTAGGTCTGGATGGCCCTGCAGATGCTCTGCTCTTTAGGACGGCGTCTTGTGGCCTTGGCCCTGTACTCTCTCTAGGTCAAAGATGTGTGTATCATTCCAGAAATCAACAAGGAGGCCTGGGTGGCACCCGCTATCTCTACCATCTTTTCCATAGAATGCCCCAGGGTCTCTTCTCCAAGAAAGGAGAGAAAAGGGAGTGGAGCCCACAGGGAGCTCACATAGATACACAGGACATGTTCCTGCTCATCCTGGAGGTCCCTACCCTGCGCCATTGCCTGGCCTGCTGGTTGCTGCCTGGGGAGGAGCTGTGCTTTTTTCAGCTCGTGTGGGTGGCCCCAGTGCCTCACCGTGTAATCTGTGCACCTGGGAAGAGCAGGCACATGCACTGCCAGGCCTTCTGCTTCTCAGAGTAGGGCAGTAGCCTTCCGACACAACCCCTAGAAGATTCCTGTGCCAAACGAGGGATCGACACAGTCACTCACTGGGTCAGTTAGTCATTCAACAAATGTGTATTAGTGCCTACCAAGTGACAGGCTCTGTTCTAGACTCTGGGGATACCATATTGAAGGAACTGCCCTAGTGGGGCTTACATTCTACCTGGGGGAGGCAGAAAATGCAGCGTTCAGGGCTGAGTATTATCAACAAAGTGACGCATGGTAAGAGGATCCAGTGACCCTGGATGATGGGGTGGGGGGAAGCAGGGGGATCATGTTTTGGATCCTGCACTCAGAGAAACCCATATCCTGGCTGACATTCCCACCTAGTCTATACACAGAGGGGCAGGGAGTCCACAGCACAAGGTCTAGGTGCTGCTCTAGATAAAGGCAGGATGAGCAATGGGGACAGACAGTGACCCTATCCCCGAGGGAGGAGGGGCGATTGCCTTAAAGGAGCCATTCTCTGATTCAACGTTGGGACCCCTGGCTGGGCACCATGGTCATGGGGTATCACAGATGTAGTGTCTTGGGGGGAACTGACTTTGAAGCCACATTTCTGTCCTTGGCCACTGGAGTTCAGGAGCCGGGCTATGTCCCAATCTATGGCCGTGAGGACCTGGATCGCCTAAGCCAAGGGACAAGCCCAGGAACTCACGTCTCACTCTGGAAGTGGCCTGCCTCTGCTGCCCAGGCCCAGACGACACAGCAGCTGCTTTGTGGCCTTAGACTACACAGGGAGACAGGGTCCTCACTATCACCATCCCTGCCACCCTGGGCTGGAAGCTGCCAGGCAGTTTCTCCATGGACACCCCCACGGTGAGCACAGAGAAGCCAGATTAAGATGTTGGGTCACTGCTCTTTCTTTGTCCCCCAGGGTCTCCAAGGAGAACGAGGTGAAAAGGGAACTCGAGGAGAAAAGGTATTTATAGTCTGCACTCATTCATCAATACGGCTTTCCATAGAAAAGGGAGAGGGTGCATGGAACCATCTGCTCTGTGTATGCTCGTGTGTGTGTGTACACATTTGTGTGTGCATGTGTGCACATGTGTGTACATGTATATTTGCATGTGTATGTGTGCATGTGGCAGGCGAGGGCTGATGCAGACAGTGTTAATTTCCCACCCTAAATGTAAGTTGTGCTGGGAAGGCTGTGGTCTCAGTACCTGCAGGTATTGTCATCCTCTGCACCAAGGCGGAGTTTAGGGTTTCCAGACCAGACAGGTTTAAGGATTGGACTCCAAAGTCCCAGTTGCTGCCTCAGAGGACTCGTATCTTACTTGGCAAGTTACATAACTTCTCTGGTCCTCAGTTACCCTGGCTCTCAAACAAATGGAAGAATGAGTGGTGACAAGAGTGGCATTGGTGACCTGCATTTGAGCCACAGTCACCAAACGTTGTGAACTGGCCCACACTCGGGCTCTTAAATGTAGATTGCCATGCAACCAACATGTCTGAGGAGGCCTAGGTGGAGGCTCCTTCATGACTGCTGCCAGGTAACAGTGGAAGGGTTCTCCGATTGGATTCCGCCATATGTGCTGACATTGTTGCCGGTTCATGGTTCCCCTGGGGAGTGGTGGGGATGGCTGCCCAACCACTGCAACTCCCACCCAGCTCCACCTTCCCAAACCATAGCTGCTGCTGAATTTTCAGTGTACTCTTCCCAGCCCCATTCATTGAGTTCCTTACGATCTGGAGCAATGTGTCCCAAGAGCTGGGGCTAGGCCCTCTCGCCTAACCCATGTCTGAGATGCTTTGCTGGGGTCTGCTGCATGCTGTCTTCCTGCAGGATGTGACTCTCTAGTTCCATAGGAACTTGTTCTTCAACCTTAATTTACATTTATTTTAAGATATTTGAAAGATAGTGAAACATAGCCTGTAATCCTGCCATCCTGATACAACTATAGTGGGCACGTAGGCATATTTCCCTTGGGAATTCTTACACATGGGGAGTGTCCCTCCACAGCCACATCATCCTGTATTCCATGCTGCGTCCTGTTTGCTGTTCCGACATGCAGCGTTTTCTCCGTGCTGCTGTAGAGTTTTTAGAGCTTGTTTTAAATGACTGCACAGCGTTCCACTGAGTGAATAAACCATAATTCAGGTACCCATTCCCCTGGCATTGATCATTTACAATTGTTTCCAGTTTTTCACTTTTAAAAAGAATGCTGCTGGGCGCAGTGGCTCACGCCTGTAATCCCAGCACTTTGGGAGGCCGAGGCAGGTGGATCACGAGGTCAGGAGATTGAGACCATCCTGGCTTAACACGGTGAAACCCCGTCTCTACTAAAAATAACAAAAATTAGCCGGGCTTGGTGGCGGGCGCCTGTAGTCCCAGCTACTCGGGAGGCTGAGGCAGGAGAATCACTTGAACCTGGGAGGCGGAGGTTGCAGTGAGCCCAGATTGTGCATCTGCACTCCAGCCTGAGCGACAGAGCAAGACTCCGTCTCAGAAAAAAAAAAAAAAAAAAAGAATGCTTTTGGTGAGCATTTTAAAACTTATAGCTTTATTTATTTATTTTCAAATTTATGATTATTTCCTTAGGCTGCTTTCCCAGAAGTGAAATTACTGGTCAAAGCAAATGAATCTGTCTGTGGCTCGCTCACGTTGCTTTCTGAAAGGTCCCTTTTCATTCAGGGAGGCGGGGACTGGCCTCGTTCCCCAAAGCAGGCTCCCAAACATGATTTTTGTTTGTTTGTATATTAAATTTTAATCATTTTAACTTTAATAAGCAAAACCCTTACCGTTACCTCTTCCGAGAGCTTTCACATGTTTCTGTAGATTTGTTTGCTGGTCAGCTCTCTCTGTGGGCCCTCTGCTCCTTCCCTCACATGGTGAGGACATAAAAGTGGCATTTGGAGTAACTGAGGCTCTGGGCACACAGGAGCGTGAGTTGCTGTGCAGCTCTGGTGCTGGAGGGAGCAGGGGTCTTATTTCAATCCCCGTGTAGCGGAGAGTGGGGTTTGAGGAACTGCCCCGCAGCAGGGCTGGGCTGTAGAAGCCAGAGGAAGCTTGAGACTCACATCCAAAGCGTGTGGCTCAGCAGTGATTCAGACAGAAGGCCCAGGCATGTGGGGGTCACACGCTGGCTGTCACCTGAGGGTGCAGTCAGAGGTGGAGCCTGTCCCTGGCCTGGAGTCTGAAACAGGCTTCCAGGCATCCCGTCTTCCCTCAGCACCCACAGAGTGCCTGGTGCAGGCCCTCCATCAAGGTCCCAAGAGTTTAGCGGGCAACACCTGCCAACACATGGCGGATATTTACGTAGTCAGCTCAACACACGGCTGCAGGTGTGCAGTGCTTTACTGTCGAGCTGGGGCAGAGGTGGCCTTTGATACACATTTGCTAAATCAATAAATGAATAAGAGATGACTCCTTCAAATCACATGTCCTACGGCCAGATCCCCTGTAAGGACAATGGATGAATCCAAGGTGTGGGACCCCCCACTCCAAAGGACAGGAGCACAGAGCCAGGTTGTGTGAAGACAAGAGACAGCCGTATTTGAAGGGGATATGGAGGCCGAAGACTCCTAGTGCCTTGGTCATCAGAACCAAATCCAGTACCAATGTGGTCCCTCGGGGGGCAGCCAGAAGCCGGGATCAGCCTGGGAAGGCGGTGGCTTCTCCATTTGTCTGAATCCTGGGCTGGGCTGAGCCTGTCAGGGGAAGGCCACTCAGGGGCCTGTGGTGGTTCCGCTCCTGGGGCTTGTTTGCCTCATCTGGGTTCACTGTTCCATGAGCCAGCAGTCCAGGAAAGTGGGTGTAAGTCACACAGCACTAATCTGAAGTGCAAAAAGAATGTTTTTTGTTTGTTTTGCTTTGTTTGTTTTTTAAAGAATATATATTTTTTAACTGGGGGGCCTGTCCCCAGCCTCAGTGTCTGCAGCTAGGCCACACGCGGCGCCGGGGCTTTGCAGAGACGCCTCCCAGCACTCAGCACCCTCTGCCTAATGGAGAAACATTGAAGACATTCTGAAGAAATCCAAAACTATGGGTTTTTTGTTGTTGTTTTTTGTTTTATTTTTTCTGAGACGGAGTCTCACTCTGTTGCCCAGGCTGGAGTCAGTGGTGCGATCTCGGCTCACTGCAACCTCCACCTCCCGGGTCCAAGCAATTCTCCTGCCTCAGCCTCTCCTGAGTAGCTGGGACTACAGGCATGCGCCACCACACCTGGCTAATAAAACTATGTTTTAAGTATTTATTTTCTTTAATGTGCCAGAAAGAATCCAAAACTACAAGCATAATCTCTGACCTAAGAAACCTACAGCGTGATTAGAAATGTATGAAAAGGTGAATGGACGCATCCGTTCCTGTATTCTATTCATTGCCTCAGTCACGTGCCCACCCACCCAGCCATCCAGCCACGAAGATTGGTATAAAAATCTTTTTTTTAAATACGCTTTGCTCAAGCATCTCTCCCTCAGAAGTCTTGCTGGGTTTCCCTGGACCTGTCCCAGAGCCTCTCCTTCTGTGCTGCTTAGAACCCCTGTCCTCTTCACCGTGATGACCTTGGTCAACCACATGGCATTTGTTTGCCTTTCAGCCACCCACCCCCACACACATATGTAGACTCTTGGATTTTTAACATAACGCACCTTATTCACCTCTGGGTCTTCCCTGCGTGAGCTGGTACCTGCAGCATGGCCCGTGGCCAGTCCTCTGTTGACACATGGGTGAGCACCGGGCCCATGCGAGAGACGATGCAGGAACCAAGATCGAACTCAGCGTGCAGACGGCCTTCCCTCACAGGTGTGGAATGGGACTTTTTGGCGATGTGCGGGTGGGTTTAAAGGGGGTACTCCACGCTCAGGGTTAGACGAAACCCTGGGAGTGGATGAGACGGCCAACAGGAAGCTGCCTGGACCACCTCACCTGAGCCAGGAAACATCACAGGGAGAAAACACTCACTGAGCGTCCACAGCAGGAACCGTCTCCATCGGAACAATGATCTCCACGCTTCCTGGAGGCTGCGGGGGCTTCGGGTGAGCTCCTGAGGCGCGGTGCAGTCGGCTTTCCCAGAGAAGCAAAGAGCTCTCCGCAGGCCCCGGGGGGCCAGGTCTGCCACTGGGACAGCTGCCACAGCTACTGGAGCCTCCGTTTTCTCACTTGCAGGATGGAAATATTAATGTCTTCTCTGAAGCCGTTGGAAGGTGGATAACAGGAACAGCGTCCGGTCCATAACTAACACATTCACAAACATTTATTACTTTTTCCCACTTGCTTCAAGAGAAATCCAGTCTGTATGCACTGTTTTGTTCTTGCCAAAACACCGTTTGGAAGCAACAGGCTTTTTTCCATGTAGCGTTGGACGTTTTTCCAGCAAGCTTTTGGAGTCTTGCTTTAAGACTTTTGTTCAGTCAAGGAACACTGCGGTTTTATCAAAATCCTAAATTATCAGACTTGGAAAGGGCTGTAGAGAAGCCGGGGGAGAACTCCTGATTGTGAAGCGGGGGAAACTGAGCGCAGAGGCCATGTGTTTCCTGATGCCCTGTGGCCTGTTAGAAAGCCAGCAGGATCCAGAAACTCCTCATTTCTGGTTTGGGCCTTCCCATCTGTGGGTTACCAGGCCCGAAGGTCAGAAAGGCAGAATGCTGGCGTATTTCCCCTAGACTGTCGCCATAGCTCTACCTGCTGTGGGAGCTTCCTTTGGGGTAAGCTCAGGAAGCGAAGATCATCCCCTGGTGAGGTGCAGGGAGTAACCTCAGCCACGCCCCCATCAGCCTCTGAGTCCCTGCAGCCTGCACCAGGTGACGTGGCCGTGGCTAGAGCAGCCCTGCACTGTGATCCTGGGGCCTGCCCTTGAATCCCAGCTCGGGGCTCTGCGAGCAGTGTGACCTGTGCAGAATTATTTAACCTGCAAGTCCCAGGTTTCTTCACTGCAGAGAGTAATTTTATCTACTTCATAAGGATATGATGAGGATTCCATGAGTTAATATTTACAAAAGGCTTAGAAAGGTTCTGGGCAGCATGTGCTTTATATATGGGGTTTGAGGATAGAGAGAAAGAGAAAACAGACACGGAGAAGGGGTGAGGATGAGCCCGCACCTCTGAAGGTCAGCTTTGCACTGCCTCCGACTCCCTTGCTGATGTGCTGGTGACTCACAAAAGAGCTGGCTCCTCTCTGTGCCTCTGTTTACCCACCTGCCAAGGAAGAGCCTGGGTTGCGTGATGCCGAACACCCCTTTTCAGCTCTCGTATTGGTGGGTGCTTACAGTTTATTTTCTCAGGAACCTCTCTGATTTCTTATATCAGCAAGAAGGTTTCCATCTTCTCTTGGAAAAAGCCCTTCCAGCTGCCTGGCCTTGCCCAACATGGGGTGGGACAGTGCCCCAGCCCTGCCTTAGCAGAGACAGCCACCATCGTCCAGCACTGAGGCCACCTCTAACAGCCCCAGGGCAGGGCATTCCCTGTAAAGCAGGGAGACGGCCCTTCATCTGGGGGTTTACCAGATCATGTCTCTGCAGGCACAGTGAGGTAACTGAAGGCTCTGGAGGCATGAGGAGGTCCAGGTGGCGGAGCCCGAGTGGGCTGTCCAGGGGCTGCTGGGCAAATCATAAGGTGAATCCAGCCAGGCACAGAGAGGAGTCTACACACAAAAAGGGCCAAGCACTGGGCGTTGAGGGCCCTGTTTCCACCTAGAAAACCATGTCTCCCAGACAACGTTGGGTGGCTGTAAACATTCCAGTCCTGAGGTTCCCCAGGTGTCCTGCCCTGACTCAGAGCAAGGAGGGGCCTCAAAATGGGAAGAGCACCAGCCTTGGAATCGGAGGAACTAGGCTGTCACCCTGGTTGGCCTCCACCAGTGCAGGTACCTTAGACAAGCTCTGGACCCCTCTGGCCTCCATGTCCATACTTGACATTTAGGGGTGGATGGTGATGCCTCTCCCAGTTAGTGGCTCTAAGGATCCAATGAGTTATGAGAGCAAGTGCAGGGCTTGGCACCTGGTAGAAGGTCCCTAAGCAATTAACAAAAGAGAGTTGGTGTTTTGAAGGGACTGAAGCCACAATCCACCCTGCAGACATGGGCACCTCTGTCTTTTCCATTTTGGCTCCCAAGTCAGCCTTATAAAAAGTCATCAATAAGTCTCACCCCCAATTTGTGTTGCTTTTGAGGGGTTGGCAGTGTCATGCACTAGGAGTGACTGTGATAAGTATTTACTGGGTACCCGCTGTGTGCTGGGTGCCTACAGATGCCCGCATTCATCTTCACTCGGTTGCCTTTATGGAGCAGCCACTTGGCAGCTCGAGATCTCAGGTACCAAGTCCGTGGGTAGCTCCAGGGCTCATCCCGAGACACCTTAGGATGTGCTGCTCCTAGAACAGGGTGGTGGTGGAGTCCCCACCGGGAGGACAAGGCAGCCCTTTGGGTGGAAGTCCCTGGGAATGGGCATCATTAGCTTGGAGGTGTCTGGGTGGGGGCAGCCAGGGTGGCTCTCAGCTCCTAAGATGCCATCTTCCCCCTTCCCAAGGAGACCACAGGGTGAGGGCATGGATTCCTTTGTTGGGTGAGCACAGTAACATAATTGGGTGGGTGGGAGCTGCCTGAAGACTTCTGTGTTTCATTTATCTTCCTCTCCTGAGGCCACGTTATGTGGTCCGAGTACAGCAGGGAGCTCATTGTTGAACTGTTGAGTTCACGTCAGTCAGTACAGTGCCTGCATCCATTCATGTCATGAGCATCACTGCACGCCAGGCCCTGCAGGGGGTAGAAGACAAATCACATCCAGGCCTTGACTCTTAAACTCACAGCTTAGAGGGGAGGGTAAGATTTGCAAAGTATAGGACAAGGAGAGCCTACGTGTCAGGAGAGAGGAAGAGATGAGATGGAAACTGAATTCCAGAAGAAAGAGAAGCCACTTCTGGAGGGGGCTGGAGAGACAGGAGATGGGAGAGTCTTCATGGGGGAGGTAGCATTTGAGTTGGGTTGTAATGGCATCCTCTTTTTTTTTTCTTGAGATGGAGTCTCACTCTATTGCCCAGGCTGGAGTGCAATGGCACTATCTCGGCTCACTGAAACCTCTGCCTCCTGGGTTCAAGCAATTCTGCTGCCTCAGCCTCCCGAATAGCTGGGATTATAGGCACCCACCAGCACGCCCAGCTAATTTTTTGTATTTTTAGTAGAGACAGGGTTTCACTATGTTGGCCAGGCTGGTCTCAAACTCCTGACCTCTTGATCTGCCTGCCTCGACCTCCCAAAGTGCTGGGATTACAGGCATGAGCCACCATACCTGGCCATAATGGCGTTCTTTACTGTGGGTGGTGATCTGTTAAGTACCCAGAATTTCACCTATGTTATCTCACAAATTCGAACCAAAAAACAACAAATGAAGGGTACTTTACATATTCCTATTTAATAAACGAGTCCGTTGTGATTGCTAGGGGTTTGAGTTCTTGTCAAAGCACAGGAAAGAGGAGCACCTGCATGTCTCTGCCACAGTGCACGCCCTTCCACTGCCTTCTGCTGCCTCCGGATGTTGGTTGGCGGAGAGGAGAATGGAAGGTGGGCTTTCTAGAAAGAGGCGATCCTGTGGCCAAGCCAGGGGCAGGCTCGGGCAAGAGTGTGCTTCAGTGACAGTCAACAGTGCCGTGCAACTGCTGCTGTGGCCGAGAGTGAGCAAGACAGATGGGGAGGGTCCCCTGCTGCCAGGCTGAGGAGGCGGCTGCATCCTGCAGGCCATGGGAACCATGGGGGGCTGGGAAAGGAAGGATGTCCAGAAATGGATTTTGGGGAGACCACTTTGGCAATGGGAGAGGCAATGGATCGGATCGAGGGCAGAGGCGGAGGGCCAGGAGGCTGTGGGGAGGATTTATGCAGGGTGTGCTGAGGCCCTCTCTGCATGAAGTACCACAGGGACACCTGGGCCATCCTGCTCATCAAAGGCACGAAGGGGCTGCAGCCGATTTCAGGGGAAAACAATACGTTAATTCAGTTCTAGCACCCATGTTATATGAATGGTTTACTGTATGTGAGGGAGAAGGAGAAGAAAGACACCACGTGTCTCCCTCCCACACTGAATGTGCTGATCAGCAGCGAGGTTTCAGAGTGGTCAGGCACGGGCAGCCGGCGGTTTTCTGCTTTCAGTGGAGTGGGGGCGCCCTCTGCTGTCAGCAACTCAGAACCGCAGCAAGTGGCCTTGGCCTGGAGGGGCTCTGTGGGCTTTGCAGCCAGGATGGAGACCGGGCGGTGCACTGTCTGGAGACTGGGTTTTCTGCCGTGAAAATGGGAACAATATCCCATACGATCGCTTGAAATGTCAAATGAGGTAGTGCCTGTTTCAGCACTTGGTTCTCAGAGCAGAGGTCCAGTCCTCTTTCGTTTGCATAAGCTTACACTTTCCTATTGATTCCGGATATGAGAATCAGAGTAGAGTTCTCCTAATACAGCTGGCTTTTTCCTTTTTTGTGTGTTTTGTTATCCTGGTGGGGAACTGGAGCCCCAGAGAGGAGCAGCCTCTCTCCAGGTGGCAGCCGGCCGTCAACAGAGTCAGGATTAGAATCCAGGTCTGGCTACTCCTTACTCAGTGCTCTCCGGGCCCTTATGTCCCCAGCACCTGTCCCTTCCCTCCTCTGCTGTTCCCCTGTTGCTGGTCCCTTCCAAGTGATTTCTTTGTCTTTCTTTCCCCTACCCCAAGCCCATTCCACACAGTCATCCTTCGTTTGGCCTAACTGACTGTTAATGCGCACCTTCCACGTGCCAGGCAGTATTGTCAGCATCTCACGTAGATTAGCTCACGTGGTCCTCACAGCAGCTTTACTGGGTAAGTATTAATATTATGCTCCTTATTTGTAGAAACCGAGTGACAGAGCTGCTAAGGAACTGGTCCAAGGTCACACAGCTGGAGCGTGGGAGAGCCAGGGTTTGGATCTGAGTCGTGCGGTTAACCACCACCCATGTCCCCTCTACCCCGGAGCCCGGGGTCTCACTCTCAGTCTGCAGGAGCCGAAGCCTGCACTCAGCTGCATTTGTGTAGCCAGTGCAGTGCTAGCAAAGCTGGCAAACCCAATCAACAGCAGCAAGTCTGAGTGGAGGGCCTGCAGGGGGGCATGGGTGCCCTAGTGTGGCCTCAGGATGGGCCCACACTATGGCATGGTTCCACTGCCTGTCCCAGATGCTGTGGCAGGCATTTCAGCTTGAGACCGCACTCTGAATGCCACATCTTCTGTCTCTCTCCCTGTCCCTGACTGTGTGTGTCTCTCAAACTCTCTCTTCTGTCCTGTCTTTCTCGGTCTCTCTGCGTCTGTCTCTGTCTGCGCCTGTCTTAACTGTCCCTCTGCTTCTCTGTGTCTCTTTATCTCTCTCCTGTCTATCTGTCTTCTGTCTTTTTCTGTCTCTCTCTCCGTCTCTCACATCTCTTTGTCTTTGTTTTTCTGTTACTGAGTCTCTCTCTCTGTGTCTCTGTATCTGTCTCTGTCTCTCTCTGTCTCCATCTGTCTCTCCCCCACCCCCACTCTTCTCTTTCTCACTTATTTCCTTCCCTCATGTATCCTCTCTCATTCCTCTCGCCCCTGCTAATGACCACGCATCCATCAGGCCCGCAGCCATGTCCACCTCGCTCCTCTGTCACATGCCGGCCAGCAGTGCAGACTGCTGCCCCCAGGTCCAGCCAGGCCCTCTCTGTGCACCTGCAGCTGTCCTAAGCTGCAGTCAGAGGAACTCTTGGCTCCAGACTCCACTCATCTTGGTGTGCAAGTGCAGGGAAGTAAGAAACAGGGACTTGGGCAACAGGCACACTTGGCCTTGCTCTGAGGTCTCTGGGAGAGTCAGGTTCCAGGGTGATTGTCAGGTCCACATCTATGCCAAATGTCACACTCGGATTTAGGGTCCAGCCCTTGCTGAAGTCTGAGGGGAGTGGGTGGATGAGCAGATGGCTGAAAGAACACTCAGGGGGCCATAGGGCAGGTGAAATGTGGTTCTACTCAGCAGCTGTCTCATCAGCAGCTCACTCACACTAGCTCTCTTACACTGTTCTCCCATCAGCAGCTTACTCTCACACTGTCTGCTCGGTCTTGGCTGCTTAGCCTGGTGGCTCCTCTCTGCTGAGAGGACACACAGCTGTGCAGCCGGCTCTCCCTGCCTTCAGGGTCAGCAGCTTCACTCTTTCTCTCTCTGGGCACAAGGAAGCTGAGCTGGGTCCTGCCTCCCCGCCGTCTGCAAGACAGACAGCTTTGGCTCTCTCTCTTTCTCTGGGCGTGACCACACCTGCACAGTGTCAACAGGGCAATTATACCTTTTACAGACAATAGTGGCCTAGGGCCAAGGGATGGCCTTCCCATGTTGTGGCTCCATAGCTATGTTTCCATTATACATGGAATTGTGCGCCTGCGTTCCAAACTCACTGAGTCACTCAGGCCCGGATGTCCGCCTCAGCCTATTCCTTGACCAAAGCACAGCCATGTTCCTTACAGTGATCTTTAGTAGGGTGGCCTGTCACAAGGAAGTGCACTCAGGACTGGAAATCAGGAGACCTCGATTTGAGTCCTGGTACCACCGCTAAGTTTCTATGTGCCTTTGGACAAGGTGCACCCTAGGGCTCCCAGTTTCCTCATCTAGAGGTAGAGGGTGAGAGTCCATGGGCTCAAAGACCCTTGTCCACTCACCAGCCCAGGCCCCGCAGTCCCTCCAGGGACTCTGCTCCGACCCTCCCCCTCCAAGGCAGTAGAAAGAGACCAAGGACGAAAGGACAGGAGGGCCGGTTCTGGCGCCAGTGCCAGCACACCCAGCTGGGGTGAAGTGGCTTCACCTCCTCCGGCCTCAGTTTCCTCATTTCTTGTTGGTGCTTGGGCCTGCCAACCTTGCCAAGTTTGGAGGAGAGGATATAGTGATAGATGTGGAATCACTTGGCAGAGACGAAACCCAGGCAGCTCCACTCACCATTCGCCCCAAGTGTCACGTGATGCAAAGACTTTTTATTTTTATTACTTTTATTTTGTTTTGAGACAGAGTCTCACTCTGTCGCCCAGGCTGGAGTGCAGTGGCACGATCTCGGCTCACTGCAACCTCTGCCTCCCAGGTTCATGCCATTCTCCTGCCTCCTGAGTAGCAGGGACTACAGGTGCCCACCACCATGCCTGGCTAATGTTTTTGTATTTTTCAGTAGAGATGGGGTTTCACCATGTTGGCCAGGGTGGTCTTGAACTCCTGACCTCAGGTGATTTGCCTGCCTCAGCCTCCCAAAGTGCTGGGATTACAGGCATGAGCCACTGGGAAAGCCTTTTTAAAAGATTAGTGTATAATTGTGATTGAAAATACAAGTGTACATCAATGTTCTGGAATTTTAAAATAATTTCTGAAAGATAGAAAACATGTAGGATTAAGTTTATGTAGAAGCAAGGCCAGGGGCCTGCAAACCAAACTGCAGAGCCCAGAGAGGGTTGGGACACCCCTACGTTCACATCAGTGGGTATGGGGAATGGGGGGACCCTGAGGCAGGCGTCAGTGATTCACTGGTTTCCTGCACTTGGAGACGCAGAGTCAGGCAGCCCCTGCCCCATTCCCTGCCCATCCTGGGCAGTAGGAAGCCTCAGTATTTGTTTCCAGATGAAAGGAGAGACCCACTCCGCAGGTAGCCAGCAAGCCCGGGGAGAGATAGGAGCAGCCACACAAGGAAGAAAACCTTCCTCTGCATCCCACCCACGGGAGGTTCCCCCTGCCCTGCCATCCCCAGAGGGAGCGGCAGTGAATAGAATCATTGTCCACTGGTGGGCAGGCACCCACAGCGAGCACAGCAGCCATGAGCTGAAAACCAAGAACCTGCAACCCCTGGAAGAAAAACAACATCCTGAAAGAGAGGAACCAACCTCAAACGGAAAAAGCAGCAAAGAAATCACGACTTGGGAAATGAGGTTATAAAGAAATAGAAGGAGAGTTCAACATAATTTGTATATATAATCTTCCAGTCATTCAGTAAATGTCAGCGGGGCCCACACTGAGGCTCCAGGAACGGAAGAACCAAGAGTGAACGCACCTCCTGTCCTCGTGTGACTGGGGAGGTGCGTGTACAGGGATAATAGATGAAAATTGAATTAAGGGAGATGAGGGAGAAGAAAATGAGACCATGCTGCAGCCGAAGAGAGTCTCTCATTTAGATGAAAAGGTCAGGAGGGGACACTGAATCTGAGCCCCGAAGGGTGCAGGGGAGGCAGCGGAGGGAATAGGAGGCAGGGAAGGCAGAAGCCGGAACAAAGTGGCTGTGTCTGAGGAGCCTGATGAAGGAAGCCGCAGCTGCTGGGGTGCAGGTGGGAGACTGTTCAGATGAGCCTGAACCCACCATTTGGAGTGTCTGCCCCACGGAGTTCTTGCAGCCCACCTGGAAGAAGGACCCCCACTGGGAACACCAGGCCTGAGTTAGCCCAGGACTTGAACACACCAGCACCTGGGAGTTGGCTCAAGAAAACCAGGGCACAGCTAGGGGAAGACGATGGCACTGACTCACTACCTATCCTCAGCAGGAAGGTTTTCAGTGGACTTGCTCATAGGGATCTTTTTCTTTTTCTTTTTTTTTGGAGACAGAGTCTCACTCTGTCGCCCGGGCTGGAGAGCAGTGGCATGACCTCAACTTGCTGCAGCCACTGTCTCCTGGGTACAAGCCATTCTCGTGCCTCAGCCTCCCAAGTAGTTGGGACTACAGGCACACGCCACCACACCCGGCTAATTTTTGTATTTTTGGTAGAGATGGGGTTTCACCATGTTGGCCAGGCTGGTCTATAACTCTTGACCTCAGGTGATTCACCCGCCTCAGCCCCCCAAAGTGCTGGGATGACAGGTGTGAGCCACCACGCCCAGGCTTTTGTTTTCTTTTTTTTGGGAGTCATAGCTATCTTTTGAGGAAGGGGTTATTATCATCCCCAGGGTAATCAAAACACTCTCAGAGAGGTGAAGTGACTGCCCAAGATCCCACAGCTAGTAAGACACTCAGTCAGCTCCGTCTGAATGTAAACAGATGAATGCGCAGATGGTGGCTTACCGCTAGCCAGCAGTTCACTCTGAAGTCTATGTTGAGTGCTGGGGATGTGGTGCATGTTCACACGTGTTTACGGGACAAATGAATGATGCATAAAATACACCTGCAATTTTATGAACTGCATTACAGACCCCACTCACCCATGGCTTTGTTTGACCCCCATGAACCGTGAGATGAAGAGACTGTGTGGCTCACAGAAGGCACATGGCCATCTCTTGGCCACAGATTTGAAAAGTGAAAAGCAGAGGGATGACTCTAGTTGTTCTGACCCTAGACCTATGTTCCTTGTCCTCCAAGACACATCCCGTCTAGGGCTGTTGTGTGTGTGTGTGTGTGTGTGCACGTGCGTTTGGCACCTTTTCCCCACCCTCCTTGTCCATGACGGTCACTGTGGGGATGTGTGCTGGGCTGCTGCCTGTGGTCACTAACCTCTTTATTTCACCATTTGCCTTCTTTTGCCAGGGAGAGCGAGGCCTGGATGGATTCCCTGGGAAGCCTGGGGACACAGGACAGCAGGTAGGTGGGTGCTGGCGCTGTTGGGCTAGGTTTCATCAGCGGTCAGAGGATGGGAATGACCAGACCCCACATAAAGCTCCACAGAGCCTCAGCACCTGGGCCTCCTCCTTGCTCAGCTGGAGGCTGCAGGAGGCTTAGGACCAGACCCCGGCTGTGTGGCTGTAGGTTGACTCTGCGAACCCCAGAGCTGGAGGGATCCCACTTGAAATCCATTTTACATCAGGTAAGGTGGTGCGTTATCATAATGTAAAGGCCTCTGACCACGCGCACGTTTTCAAGGTGATGTGTGTAAGCAGCGCTCATTGCCGTCTTGTCCCCAGAGGGAAGGATTCAAGACAGCCCCAGTGCTCCTCAGTACAAAGCTAGTTAAATAAATCAGGAGGCATCGACACAGAGAGTGCTATGAGGCTGAGGACATTCATGAAGAAACTCTGGATGCACTGATGTGAGGGGTCTGCAAGACATGTGGTTCAGTGGAAAATAAAGAAAAGTGTTGGGAATGGTGTCGGGGGAAAATGCATCTGGTGACTTACAAAGACCGTCGCTAGAAGAAGACATAAGACGATGATAACCTTGCTGCTTGGTTGCCCCCAGAAGGGGACTTTAAATGTTTATGCACTTCAGTTTTGAACCATGTGAACGCATCATCTATTCCAAAAGAAACTACATTTACATATTTAAATTTAAAAACTAAAATGAAATAAAACCTAAAATCATACATTCATATTAAAGCCAATTAGTAAAATACTATGTTGCATAGCATAATTTAACATATACATCAATTAATATATTTATTGATATAAAAATGAAACCATAGATAAAATATATATGTTAATTATATTAAATGTCAATGAATTACAATAAATATTCTAATATACTATATTAATATAAATTAAACTTATAGTTCATTCCATCTCCCACAAATATCTGGATTTGTATTTATTGTCAGGTAACACATTGGAATCATACTTTTTATATCTTGCTTTTCTTCCTTCAACATTGTATCATAAACGTGGAACCATTTAAAAAAATATTCACCAAAGGCCTGACTCAAATGACCAGTTAATGGTCTATGGTATGAATGTACCACGATTTATTGACTTGCTTAAAAATATCCATCGTGCAGTGCCTGGTTGCCAGGCCTGGCTCTTGTCACTGGAAATACCCGCTTGGTGATGGCAAAGAGGGAAAGGAATCCTTCCCATGGATGAGTGTGCAAAAAACAATAACCCAGCACACAGACCTAGTGCTGGTGGTGTGGGCTGGCCGGCGAGGGTCTCAGGGTGCAGGGGAAGCCAGGCAGTGGGGTTACAGATCTTTGCTGTTCAGAGTACAGAGGAAGTGAGGGTGCTTTGCATGCATCCTTGAACGCATGTCTATGTCCTTAGGATCTTTTCCTATACAAAGCCCTCTGTCCATGGATGGAGATTGATTGTGCAGCTGCCCTCCAGGCCCTCCCTGGGGTCTGTGAGGACGCTGGCTGAGGACTACCCTGTGCTCTGTGCTGTGGCTCCTGGGCTGCTCCCACGCCCTGCTCCTGCAGGAGCTGGGGAAGCTCAGGCGTTCTCTTGGCCGCTGGTGGAAAGCTTCCCAGCAGGGACATTGAAGAGCAGGAGGGACAAGTCTTCAGCATCCTCTGCACCAGACTTCTGGGACTTTGATTTCCCTGTGGCCCTAACTAATCCTGGCCAGAGTCTGGGCAGCTCTTCCCTCTTCCCTGGTGCCTCACCAGTCCTCAGCTCTAAGGATTTCCTTCAACTCCACCAGACTCCACCTTCTATGCTCCCTGGGCCGGGGCAGGTCCTGGTTATGTGCTTCTTCTTCCTCTTGCCCAGGCCCTCATATCCCTAAGGAAGGGGTCCTTTGTTTTCTCAGAATGTGTTATCCATGCTGCAGAACCAGCGCAACTGCAGATGAGAAAGCATGGAGATAGGGAGCTTAGGTTAGTTGAGGAAGAACTTTCTAGCAATAAGCACAGTCCAGAAAGTCAGGTCTAAAGGGACTTTGGCTTCTGAAGAAAAGTCTAGCCACAGTGGGCAGCTGTCTTTCAACCTGTTTCTCCCCAACACCCCACCACCGTATCCGTAGTGCCCATCATAATCTGCCTTTTCTTTCTTTCCTCCAGGGCAGGCCCGGCCCTTCTGGTGTGGCAGGACCCCAGGGAGAAAAGGTGAGCGAGCCTGGGGCTGTCAAGGGCTCTGTGCCCTGGGCAGGCAGGTGCGGGGACTGCCCGCCTTGGCAAACCAGGCTCAGGGAAGGGGCCTGGGTGGCAACTCTGGGAACAAAGCACACACAAAGGGTGGTGGCTGGGGCATCAGGAACTCACATAAGACATTTCTGGCTATCATATTGAATTTTTTTTCTACTTTTAGGAATAAACATACATTTGAAAAGCAAAGAAAGTTCTGTTATATAATATATAATATTTATATAAAGTTCTGTTATATAATATTTAGATGTATTAAAATGTAAAAAAGCATTACAGTGCTTTTTGGAATAAGGAAGGCTATAAATAAATATTAAAAAATCTTACAAAAACTTTTTCCTTTTCTCTTCCTCTTCTTTTCTCCTTCTCTACTACATTTTGCAATTTTTAAAAATCAGAATCAGAATCCTGAAAATGCCCTAGGTATTTGAAAAACAAAATAAGGGTTGTATCTTACTTTATTGGTCATCTATTTTAGAATATCTTCCAGGTTTAATGAAGTAAATTTGCTGCTAAGAATTTCTGCATCTCAGATGCAACAGTGGCAGGTAGACATTCTTTGCAAAATGTGAAGGGCCTACAAAAATGTCCATGAAAATAGCCTTCCTAAGCATTGAGGGTCACGAAGAAGGAAAAAGAGAAGGTGTGATGTTGTATTCTGGATTGGCATAGGAGGGGTGACGAGACATAGCCTGAGCTCAAGTGCAAGAGGATGACATTCTTCCAGGTTCCTAGACAGGCCCTTAGGAAGGCATCAGACATTGGGTTGGAGAATAACTGGGGAGAGAGAAGGGGCTGAGACGGGAGACATCCAGCTCAGCTCAGACGGCTGAGACCCGATCAGCATCGCTTCTTCTCAGAGCGGCTCACCGCAGAGTTCAGGTGAAGGTCATTGTCTGACTCAGACTGGTTTCCAGCATATGCTCTAAATATGGGAGAAGGCTGCTCCAACTCCTTATGGAAGCAGACAAGGTATCTGTTATAAATAAATAAATAGTACGGGCTGACACAGACCTCAGCTTAGGATGGGGGCTGGAGAAAGTTAATGTCTTCCAAACTCGCTCACTCGGGCTTCAGTGCTAGCCGAGTTCATTATTCTCTCTCCTTCTAAGTATTTTTAGAGTTGAGATGTATATTGTTATATTATCCAGGTGTCAGGATTTTAATATATTCTTGCAGTTCCTTGACAGGGGATGCTAAGTCCTAAAATAAGCAGTTTATTTCAAGTCACAAAGAGGGAATGAGCCTTGAAGTCTGGATCTAGGTGATGACTCTATTTCTTGCTGCCGCCTATGTGTGGGTGTTATAAGTTTCAACCTTCCACCTTATTTAGAGATTGGGTTTGGCCCTTCATATTTGGGAAACTGCTGAGTTATTATTTCTTATTATGATAAATGCAGCAGAAATGGGAGGAGAAGGTCAAGGACCATGGCATGATTTTGGGGTTTTCATTAAAATAATTAAGAAACCAGTGAAGCTCAGGTGATATGATGCCTCTCATCTCATTCTGAGATCACATCCTTGAGACAAATCTTAGATGCTACACAATTTGGGAAAGTCACTGGAACTGCAGAGACGGTCTTTTTAAACTGCTTCATTTTACAGATAATAGACCGAAGTCTAGACAATTACAATTTCTTGCCCAAGCCCCAAAGTGAATCTGATTATTGACCAAGGCCTATCATATTATCTGCCTGTCCATTCGATGATTTACTGCAGATCTAAATATCAGGTGATGCATTTTTATGCCCTTTTAATGATTTTACTGGATTGGGTCTATGGTTGCACTAGTTACCTACCGCTGTATAATAAATCATCCTGAAACTTAGTAGTTGGAAACAATCATGTATGATCTCACACGATTCTGAGGGCAGGAATCTGGGAATGGCATGGCTGGATTGTTCTGCTTCACGATCTCTCCTGAGAGGCAGACAAGCTGTCAGTGGGGACACATTAATAGTTATCTCAAGGGTCCACTGGTGCTGGAGAATCTACTTCCAGGCTCACTCATGTCATCACTGGTAGGCCTGAGTTTCTTGACAGCTGTTGGCCAGAGATGTTTACTTCCCTTTTACATGGGCTTCTCCATGGTACTGTGCACAGAAAGGGAAATTGCTCCCCAAAAGTGAGCAGTGACTGGTTCAAGGTTGGGGGAAAGGAGGGAGTCTGAGATGGAAGCCACAGTCATTTTTATCACCGAATCTTGGAAGTCACCTCCCAGCACGTCTGCTGTTTCTGTTAGTCACATAGAGGAACGGGGATGGTGTGGGAGGTCCCCACACAGGGTTGCATGCAGGAAGCAGGGACTACGGGGGACCGTCGTGGAGACGGGCCACCACAGTGGCCACAACTGATCTTTACAAAAATGTGTCACCCATATTGTGGGAAGAAATTGATTCTAGGAAAGACTTTTGGTCCTATTATGTACTAGACTTCTGACCTTGGACAAGTTACTCGGTGTATCTGTGCCCCAGTTTCCTCATCTTTAAGACAGGAAAGATAGTATCATAGGGAACGAGAGTGAATCCATGTCCAGTCCCTGAAGAAAAGCCTGCAAGGCAGAGTCTCTCCAATAACTGTTAGCTGTATACACACAGTTGTTAGGGATGGATACGAGGGTCTTAGTTTTCCTACCAAATTTGTTGGAACATTGGCCCTTATATGGTGAGTTGAGAGTAATTAAAACATGTGTTGATTGATTGATTTCATAACTGTTATTGGAAACTCACTTTTGTGGTGTAATATAATAATAATATTATGAGAAATACAACAATGAAACCAACAGAAGGGAATGTGACAGTTGACACAAAGTAGTCATAAAAAAGACATGATTTTGAACCTCAAAAGATTCATTATTCAGCCGTTCTCTCTCTCCCTCCACACACACATACACACACACATAGTATAGCTCAGAATGTCTTCTAACAATCCTGTATTACCAAGATATGAATAAGGTTTGTGGGAGTCTAGGGGAAATCTGACTCTGTTTGGAGATGTTGAAGGATGTTCGTGAAGAAGTGACTTGATATCCGCGCTGGGATCTGAGTGTATGGAGATCTTCATGTTCTCATGTCCTGGAAGTGCCTGCAGGGGCTATAGAGTGGTGAATGCAGTGTGTGTGCAAGCACATGTGTGTGAGAATATGTGCTCGTGTGTGTGCACGTGTGTGCAGGGGTACTGGCAGCATGGAGAGAATAAAACAGAATAGAGAAGCGTTTCTGAGGCAGGACTCGATTTCTCTGTGTGAAAAACAGGAAGGTACAATGAAGAAAACTGGCACTCAAGGTTTTTGACATAAAACATGATGGATCGGGATTTTTAGAAAAACACTTGATGCTGTGAAAAGTGAGGTGATTTTTCCAGGTCTCGGGCAGGGATGGGAGACAGGGCATTGGAAGATACATTGTAAATGTATCCATTTTGGTCTCAGAGGAAACATTTTCTGTCCATAGAATAGAATCCCCAAGGCAGTGAGCGTGTGTCTTGAGCCATTCACTCTTCCCCCTTAGCCTTAAGACCTAATAGATGCCTTCAGCTTTAATTGGTGATTCATTTATTCATTTACTAGCTTCATTAACAACAGGTTTTAAGTGTTTCCCATGCTCCCTGAGCTAAGCTCTAGGTAAAAGGAAAAGTTATGTCCCTACGTCATGTGTGGAAACATTGACTATATGTATTTTCCTTGCTTTAGCCATAAGGCACCATAGAAATAATACTAAAGATTTTTCTGTGATCAAAATTGATAAATATGCTTCATTTAGGACCAAGTTGTAGCGCACACGCTGGAACATCCGGTCAGGCCACAGCCGTCATAGCCCAGGGGACCTGGAGGCCAAGGAGGAGGAGGCAGGAGACAAACCTTGTGTATAAAGTGACTTAATGAAAATGGATGAGAAGCAGTGCCACATTTTTAGTTACTTATTTGATAAATACTTATTGAATGCTGACTGTGTGCGGAGCTATGAACCTGGCATAAGAGACCTGCCAAAATATATCATCACAGCTCTCACAGTGCAAAGACAGTGGCTGGCGCAGGCAGGGGCTCAATGAGGCTGCTCTCAAGCCGCAGAGGCTGGTGAGGGCCCTGAGGTGTTCATGGAACATGACCCAAATCTAGGCACTAGATTGGATGTGCACAAAATAGAAAATAAGACTCCTGCCAGCAAGAAGCCTATGATCTGAGGCAGAGATGAGGATCAGAACCCGAACTTTGAGAATTTCAGAAGACAGCAGGCTCGGGCAAGACGAAGATATGTGTGGTGGTGCACAGGGAGGGGTGTGGTCCCCTGGGCCCACAAGAATAAGCCTCAGAGGGATGGGACTGCCACAGAAGGTGGCACCAGTAACTATGCTGAAATGTTTGTCGTTTCTGTGCAGGGTGACGTGGGACCTGCGGGGCCACCTGGTGTACCAGGCTCAGTGGTGAGTCAGCAGTGGTTGGAATCATGGATGCAGGTGCTGGTGGGATTGGGTGGTTGGATGAGTCTTCACCTCTAAGAATAAGGCAACGCTCTTCCAAGGACATGGGTTGGATAGAAGGCTTTCAACACTAAAAATGGGGCAGAATCAGAGAAAAGTCAGGAGGCACGACATGACAGCATGGCCTGTGAATGAATGGCCTTAGTGCAGCTGAGAGAGGTTGACTGTGGTTGCGGAAATGCCAGCACCTTTGCTAATGCTTGCTTTGTCTCTCAGGTGCAGCAAGAGGGCTTGAAAGGGGAACAGGTAAGAGGCACACGCGTCTTCTTCTCATGGGGATTTAGGTCACAGCAGAAACAGAAAAGCCACAACCATGATCTCAGGCTGAACTCAGATGGAGCCTTTCAGACTTCAGTTGCCTTTCTGCCAGAAATGCAAATACCCACTCCCATACCTCTACTCCCTATCGAGAACTTGGAAAGTAAACTTTGAGTCAGGAGAGGGCCATGGGTGATGGTGGGCCTGATCATATGGGGGAAAAGTCATGACTAAACATCTGTTTGGCTTGTGTTACCAGGGAGCTCCAGGACCCAGAGGTCACCAAGGCGCCCCCGGTCCTCCAGGAGCTCGGGTAAGTTGTCCCTCTCCTGCGCAGGGTTTGCTCTGCACGCTTCTCTTACCAATGGGTTTGGAAGATCAGAGTCATTCCCGGCGCTGAGCATGGCATTATCTCAAGCGCCTTCACATCACCTGAGTGGGTTGTGCTGTTGTGGTCACGTCTCACGTAGGAAAAACTGAGCCTGGAAGAGGTGGGATAACTCTCTCCACGTCAGGCAGCTGCCATGTGTGGAATGGGATTGAAGTGTGGGCACCCTGCCTTCAGAGCCCCCAGTCCCCAGCGGGCCATGATGGGGGTTTCTGGGGATTCAGTTTGATGTTTTATTTTCCATTCAGATAAAGTAGAATAAAAACATTGGACACTTACATGCCGACTGAATCACTTCCAACGCACTCACTTTTCCCATGTTTCTGGTCAGTTCTGACTTTGCAGTGGCCTGGGACGTTTCAGCCTCTGGTTTCTCCCCCTGCTAAGAATTTAATGATATGTAAATCACCAGTTGGGAAGCGGCCATCCAAAGGGCCCTTGTGATTATCTTATGATGTGAGTTCAGATATCGAGAATAATTAGTAAGAATACAGTACCCTCCACAGGGTCCCTGCTTTAAAGTTGCTTCTTCTGGCAATGTGCTGCTGTTGCTTTCAAGTTACTGTATTTTATTGAAAGGAATAAAATAACTGACTTATAAATGAACATAGATCAGATTTATTTTAAGCTATTGAGGCCCACTCTTTATGAGGATATATTTATATGTTTTTGCTGGGGTAAAACTAGAAGAAACTTAAGGGATGTTTAATTCTAGGAAAATTAGAACAATTTTATATCAAAGATTTTGGATCAGAAAATCTAACTTATGTCTCTGTGACCTCTCCAGGTTCGGTTTCCAGAGCTGCCCACAATTGTAACTGTTGAGAGATTTAAACTAGATAATGCAGAGAATGCAGTGTGTTCCAATATTTACCTTTCTATGCATACATACATGTATATTTCAGATCTATTATTGGCAAGTATTGAAGGTCTATACTATATATGTTTTCTTGTGCAAATATATGCATATTAAGTCTGCAAGGGTGAAGATGTTATTTTTCATCTTTTACCAATGAAAACATTAGTGCAGAGACATTGAGTGGTTTGCACAAAGTCACATAGCTCTTGAGAAGCAGAACTGAACTTGAACCTAGATCTGACTGTGCAGCCTCTCCTGTTTTCACCACGGAGTATACAATCCTTCCTCTGAGCTCCGTAAAGGGGAATTACTTTACTTCATGGTCCCCATTACAGAAGAAGAAGCTAAAGATAGCTAGCTCTGCTTAATCATGAGGCAAACTTCTTGGCCTCTTCCTGAGATGAAAATATATGGGTAGTCCTCACCCTTTACCTAGATTTTGTTACAGTAAATGAGGGAGGGAGAGAAGGAAGAAACCTCAAACGTTTGTGACCACCTACCTTATATCAAGCAAAATACTAAGGCTGAAGATATAGGGATGAAATAACACATGAGGCACCCTCAGAGTCTGAAGAAGCAGCTATGTGAAAAAAGAAATAACTGCAAGCAAACATTTGCAATTTCTAGATGATGAATTGGAATCCCCTGCACGTACCATTTCTAGGGTCCATTAGACAGGACATGCGGATGGTCTTGAATCTACCTACTTTCAAAATTCAGGATATCTTAGCCTGATGCCCCACGGGGTTCCCCGTGGTTCTGAAGATGTCTTCTAGCCTAGACAGAATGGGATTTAGTACAATACATGATGTTAGTGATAAGATTCCCTTCGGAGTGTTCAAAAAGCAAACAGCCTAACTAAAGGCCTTATTAAGAGAAGAACAGTAATGAGAGGCCCAAGACTATAAGATTCTTTAGTCGAGGACCAACATCTCTCCCGTCTCTCAATCCACAGGGTTTATCACATGGTGGGAACTTAACACACGCTTGTAGAGCTAGCCCTGCGGCAGGTGTTCAAGAGGGCCAGTAAAGTGAACCTGTCTGCAGCATGAGCTACAGAAATAGGGTCATGGAAGGTACTTGGGATTAGGAACCAGAGCACCTGATTTCATGGCCCAATTTGTCCACCAAGTAATTTTGTGGCTTTGGTGACATTGCTTAATCTCTGATCCTCATTCGATTCACCCCTAACTTGGAAATCTACCGCAGCAGCATCTTCTCCTATGTAAACATACTATGAGGTTAAATGAGCTGCTCTCTGAGGCAGAGCCCCATGGAGCCTGACTGAGCCCAATGCTGATATCAACTGTCACTTCTCTCTGCTTTTGAATCCGCAGCAGCACCTAGCTCGGGGCCTTCTGCAGAGCAGTTACTTTCTAAATATTCATTGGGTTGAATTGAATTGAGAAGCTGGCTTCAGTGACTTCTGTTGAGAATGGAAAATTTTGAGTTTGTGTTCAGCAATCCCAGAGAGAGGAAAATATATCCCATTCTCGAAATGGAAACAGTGTTCAGCATTCTGCATCCAAATGCTGGCATCTTTCATCCATTCCCTAAGATGAAACAGGCTTTGATAGTTTTACCAATGTCTCATGGAGTCACTAAAGGGCCAGAGATGTAGATCAATGCCAGCTATTTCTTGACGCTTAAAAATCTCATGCCTTTAGGGCCTTCTCTTTCTGTGTGTCCTGAGCTCAACAGAATCTCCTTGTTAGGAAGAGAGATCCACACCTTTAATTACTGCAGTTTGTCCATTGATTTATTCATTTACATGGCGTTATTAAGAGAAAGGACCTTTGATGTAAATGCAGCTTGGTCACGTACAGTTACGCAAAATTTAGCAGCAGTAGCTATTAGTATGATAATTATGAAAATAATATTTATCGAAGATGTGGAAATTGAAATGCAGAGAGGGCATTTCTGGCCAAATTCACCCAGAAGTGGTGATAGAGTCACAGCTTAAGCTTAGGGTTTCAGTTTCCCACTCACATGATATGCCTCATTCTGTGGTATAAATCAGGGTTCTGTCAGGGGACCTGGGTGCTGTGCCCCAGCTTTAGAACCCATTCATAACTGCTCAGTAGGTGGTTGTATCATCCCCACTTCAGAGATGAGATAACCGAGGTTTAACGGCACCAAGTGACTTGCCTGAGCTCATGAGGCAGAATCGAGGCAGGACGAGGGGGCAGGATTCGAATGAGGTCAGTATGACCCCTCCCTGCGCCAGTGTTCCTTGGTTAATTGATATTGATCTTTCCTAGGCAGTTTCATTCATTTGTCCAGACTATCATGTTTTGCATATCACTGTTGCCTGAGAGTCAGATAGTCTATGCCAGTTCTTTCTGAGCCAGCAGGCTGCAGGGAAAGGGCACTGGGCTTAGAATCAAAGACACTTAGGTTCCAGACAGTTCGCTTCTGTGTGCTTTGTGCAAACCACTAAAGCAAGCTGTTGGATGCTTACAGTACTCAGTATAAAGTACGAACTAGGTTTCTTACATCCTGACTGCTCAACATACTTAATCAGATCTGATAGATGTACATGTTTTAAAGTGTTATAGGTTTGAGAGAATGGGACCTCCGAATTTCCCCATCAGAATGGGATGGTATTACACTATTCAATGAGGGTGAGATTCTAAAGCCTAAGCTATGCCATTGAGCCCTGCATTTACCATTATGTTTCTCTCTCTTTTTCCTTTTTCTCCCTCCTAAAGGGTCCAATAGGCCCAGAAGGCAGGGATGGACCTCCTGGTTTGCAAGGTCTCCGAGTAAGTAAACTCTCTTTTCTTTGTGATTCCTCAGCTCACCCACACTGGTCCCTATTTTATAATGCCATGCAGAGAAGATAGACAGTGTCAGTTTCAGGGACTTGAAATGAATATTGGAAGTAGAATGAAGGGTTGGATTCAGTTCATCAAACATGGTTGAGGTTCTACTATGTGTTCTGCCTTGAGTTGGGCTTCAGGGACATGGAGATCAGTCTGTTGTCTGCCAGGAGTCATATATAGAGAGACATGAATCCATTGGGTGATCACAGCCCCAGAGCAGGGAAGCCCAGTGCTGAGGGTATACAGAGAAGAGGCAACTGAGTGCATCTAATATATCCATGCCATTATTGAATATCATATCTCATGGTATTTAATTAATTTAATTAAGCACCTGTTTTCCTATCTAGATTGTGCACATTATTGGATATGATATCTCATGGTATTTAATTAATTAAGCACCTGTTTTCCTATCTAGATTGTGCACACCATAAGGGTATAATTCACCAGTAAATTCAGCTCTTGAAACAATGCCGTACTTTCTGAGGAGGGCTGCAGAAGCATGCTTGGGTTGTACCCCTATCCCCTCCAATGCTCCCACAGCAAACTGGACTGAAAGCCAGACTCAACTCTGTGTCCCCAGTTCCCACCAAGGTACCTGGCACAGGGCAGGAAGTCAGCTCACATTTGTTGAACTGTAACCGTTAAGCTTGTATCGCCTTTTACTAGTTCACATGGTTAACAATCTGAGGGCCACAGGCATCCACAGATGGGCAGGTAGCTCCAGGGACCAGTGAGCTTCCTGCCTCTGGAGGTTTACACCACTGATGGGTGGGTAGGAATGGAGTCCTGGCATCTGGGAGAGGCAGCCCTCATTCCACGTATGGCCTCTCTTAGCCTGCACAATCTGTAGCTCAGTGACGTGGATAGTGCCATATATTTTGCTGTGGATTGACTTCGTCTAAGGGGGTTGCCTCCCCATCACAGTTCACATCCTCCGTTCTGAAAGGGGGTGGCCTGCTCTTCTCATTCAGCGCCGACTCTGACCTGTGCTTACCCACTGGTTAACTTCGATCTTTGGTTTTCAAAGAACTGTGCCTCCTATAACCCTTTTGAATTCTCAAAATTCTACAAATAATTTATTTTAAGGCTAGGTGAGGCAGGGAAAGGCATCAGGAAGGTGCACTGGGTGAGAGAGATTGTATTAGTCTGTTCTCACGCTGCTAATAAACACATACCCGAGACTGGGCAATTTACAAAAGGAAGAGGTTTAATGGACTTACAGTTCCACATGGCTGCGGAGGTCCCACAATCATGGCAGAAGGCAAGGAGGAGCAAGTTACGTCTTACATGGGTGGCAGCAGGCAAAGAGGGAGCTTGTGTAGGGAAACTCCTGTTTTTAAAACCATCAGCTCTTCTGAGGCTCATTTACTATCATGAGAACAGCATGGGAAAGACCTTCCCCCATAATTCAATCACCTCCCACCGGGTTCCTCCCACAGTGTGTGGGAACTGTGGGAGTTACAATTCAAGATGAGATTTGGGTGGGGACACAGCCAAACTGTATCAGAGATTCACTCGCCCCCACTTCCCATTCAGCATCCCCACCCCTGGCTCAGTTTCCCTGTCAGTCAAGTGAGGCAGTCAGGTGGGTCAAAGCTAGGTGTCTCCCTCCTCCATAGAGTGGAAGGATCCTGGGCTTCAGAACAAGATGCACCTGGGATTGAAGTGCTGATCCACGTCTCAGCAGCTGTGTGACCCTTGCAAGTTACCTGGTCTCTCCAGGCCGGTTTACTTCTTGCTACAGTGGGGAAGATATCACCATCAGCTGTGTTGTTAGGAGAAAAAGTGCTCAGCAAGGGACTTGGCCCTGGTTGGGCGGCATGATGTGACAGCTGACATGGCTGTCATTCTCTCAACATGCTCCCGCACATGCTCCTGCACAGTCTTAAGAGAAAACAACAATCTTTGTACATTTATGTAATTAATGTGTACGTGAAGCTTTTTTCATTTTGCATTGAACTTGGGCAATTGTTATTTTTCCAAAGTAGAGTTAGATGATGGGTGGAACTGTTTATATAAAGATGACTGTGAAGGTTTTTAAAATCTACATCTTTATCTAATTTACTCTTGTTAAGGCAAGGAGGGAACATCTTGCCCAGAGCTCACTCACCAGGCTCATACCTTCTGTATTAGTTCATTTTCATGCTGCTGATAAAGACATACCCAAGACTGTGTAATTTATAAAGGAAAAGAGAGTTAATGGACTCACAGTTCCATGGGGCTGGGGAGGCCTCACAATCACGGCCAAAGGTGAATGGACTCACAGTTTTATGTGTCTGGGGAGGTCTCACAATCATGGTAGAAGGTGAAAGACATGCCTTACATGGCAGCAGGCAAGGAGAGAATGAGAACCAAGTGAAAGGGGTTTCCCTTGTAAAACCATGAAATCTCGTGAGACTTATTCACTACCACAAGAATAGTATGGGGGAAACTGCCCCCATGATTCAATGATCTCCCACCAGGTCCCTCTCACAACACGTGGGAATTATGGGAGTCAAGATGAGATTTGGGTGGGGACACAGCCAAACCATATCACCTTCTTAGATACAACTTCTTTAAACCTGCTGGATGTGCTTCCCAGGGTGACTGCCATCATCTTCAGAAACACTTTTTACCCTTCTGAGGAATACCAGCCACCCATGCAATGGTGCTTGGCCTGATCTGAGCTTAACACAACCCACAGGCCTTGGAAATTGGGCAATTCACTGGGTCTGGAGATTTGAGGAATAAAACAAGGAGATCCAGAGAAGCAAACAGGGTGAGGGGTTGGGGTGCAGTGATGATGGGCAGGGGTAGGATATGGTGTTTATTGAGCTCCAATTACATGGCAGCTCCCATAACAGCTCTGCCATCCCCATTTCTGCAGATGAAGGACAGGCTCTGATACAGCACAGCCACCAGTGGCCCCTCAGGGATTCGCACGTGCGGCTGTGCGTCCCCAAAGTCTGACTTCTCATTTTCTCCCTTCTTTCTTTCCATGTGTCAGTCTGTCAGAAAGCTCATGTTGACTTCTTGTGATGCACAGACACTCTGCTAAATGCTTTGGGATTTTCTGAAAACATTAAGGTCTCAGCTACTAGGAGCTCACAGGTCGGCTAAGGAGCTCAGTGCATATAAACAGATGACCTCAGTGGAGACTGAGGAAGACTACAGATGTTCAGAGGACAGAGGGAGATCTCAGCTTGAGGGAGGCCACTGAGAGGAGCCGGGGGGCTGGAAATAGGCACATCCAAGGGAAAAGGTGATGTTTGAGGTGGCCTTGCAGGAGTGAGTGAGTTTTCCATGGGAGTCAATGGGAGCATTGAAATCAGTGTTTTGGATATGGGAAGTGCCCCCTTGAGAAGGCATCCTGCCTCTGCACACTTGCTTGTGCCCCTCAGCTTCGACCTGGACTTCTTCCTCTTCAGTTTGGAAACTCATTGGTGTAATTAAAATAGCTGCAGACATGGCTTCTAGTTGAGGCTCTGCTGGCATCTTATTGGGGACTCTCAACCAGTCTCTCTTTTCTTCCTCTTGTGTTCCCTTTTCCAATTTTTTTCCTATTTTTCTTTTACTTGCTTTTATTCCCTCCTGCCCCTTTTCTTCTCACCTTTCCTTCCACAAATTCATCCATTCAACAAACATTTCTTCTTCTGTATCTACTGGGTACCAGGCATTGTTGTAGGCAAGTGAGTAGTTCAGGAAGAAGGAAGCTCCTGCCCTCATGCTGTTTATATTCTGGCAGGCCGGGGGAAAGACATGAAATAGCATGTAAGCAGGTGATGCAGGAAGGCCCCATGAAGACAATTTTCCTTGAACAGGCTCTCCAGAGGTGAGGACATTGGCCAAACTGATAGCTGGGGAAGAGCCTGACAGGCAGAGGTCCTGGGGCAGGCGCAGGTGTGGAGTGGTGGAGCCCAGAGGTCCATGTGGCTGGACCCAGCAAGGGGCCTGGCAGGAGACGAGCTTCCTTTCAGGCCTTGTGGGTCATTATAAGGACTTTGGCTTTTACTGTGAGTAACCAATGGAGCTTTTCCATGTTTTCAAAAAATGTTTTGTGATGAAAAACAAGTTTATGATGAAAAAAATGTTTTATGATGAAAGATCATACACAAAAGTAGAAAGGACAGTAAAATGAACCTTCATATACCCTAAATGCACTCAACATTTATAAGTTATTGAAAAACTTCTTTTCTATATACCAACACTCCTACCCACCACTGAATTCACTGAAAGCAAGTCCTAAAATCATCACATCATGTTGTTTCTAAATATTTCAGTATGTTGTCTCCAAAAGAGAAGGAATTTTAAGAGACACAGAACCATAATACCATTATTTTACCTAAATCTATGAACACTGCTTCTTGAAGCTGCATCAAATAATGTCAGGTTCCAGATGGGCCTATCTCATACATTTCTGGTCGTGGTTGCTCATGCTGGGGTTTTGAGGGTCGCAGTGGCAGGGCCCGGGTTGCACCCTAAACACATTCATGTGTCTTATTGCATTGAGAACAGACTGCAGGAAGGAGGCCAGTTAGAAGGCTCCCACGGTGATCCACTGAGAAAGGGCAGGGGCTGGGCAGAGCACAGGGCTTCTGAGCACCCATCCTGGTTCGGGTCGGATGCCAGGTGGAGGGCATGCTGAGGTAAGGACAGAAGTCATGCTCTGAAAGGCCCAGCGTCTAGTAAAGGAGAGTGAACTAAGAGTGACAAGGCAGGATGGTGGGAGCATTAGCACAGGGTGCAGAGCAACACAGAGGATGGCTCCCCGCTTGTCTTGCTTCCTCTAGTGAATGAAGGACGATGAGCAAGTGGGTTTTGGGGGCCCCATGGCCTTTCAGTCATCAAAGGTGATTCCCTGATTCAGGTTGTGTTCTGTCATTTGGATATTGCTAGCTCAGTGCCTGCATCTATGGAGAAAAAGGGAGTAGAAACAAATTGTAATGTTGTGGGCTTGGAAGCAGCTTCCTGTTCAGTCGCTCTCTAGCTGAGTCAGGAAAATGCAAGACAAAATGACTTATTCAAAAAATTATCTCTCTCCTTCCCTTGCCATGACCTGTCATTTCCTCCTCATCAACTTCAATTGAAACATCACTCAGAAGAGCTCCTGAACATCACTGCACATGCTCAGGCTGTGCAAGGGAAGAGACGAGGCTGACGGCTGACAGCAGGCTGGAACCTGGGCATGGAGAGACAGACACTAAACATGGGTTGGGGGGCAACAGAACCCAGGCCCTTTATTTTAGAGATTAGCAACAGGCAGACAGGATAATCCTCGGCAAAGTAAATGCATTCATTTTGGACAAAGCTGGTATTTTTCCACATTGACATGGTAAAAGGGGGAATTGAGAGCGAGGCACGCTCCACGCCATCCCCGGAGCTGCAGGAGATGCCCGCCCACCTGCCCGCCTGCCTGCTTGCCTGCTGGAGGGCGGTAGCAGTCACCAGGCAGAGAGATAGAGAAGGACTGCATTTCTCTTTCCAAGGCTTTAATTTCCTGCCTGTTGTCTGAGCTGGGCATTAAGGAGGTTGATCAGGGAGCACTGTCATCTAGTTGAAATGAGAGATGCTGCAGTTACGTCTGAATCCTGAATGTTTTGGCGGAAGACCCAGCCTGGCTCAAGGCCACTGCAGCAGTGGGACCTTTCAGAGCTTCCAGGAGGCTCACTTTTCCAATAAAAAAATTGTCATGCCCGAATCATCCACCTCAAAATGGCTGTCACTGTTATTCTCACACCATCCCATTTTAATTTTCTGCAGATTTATCTGATATTTTTCTTATTTGAGAATTTGTTTTTGTTTTCTTTAATAGAATGTAAGACTATGAGAGGAAGGACTTTTTCTTATTTATTTTTATAACCACAGTAATGAGAAGAGTCCCTCACACCTGTAAAACATACATATTTTATGGACACATAACATAGTTATAAATACAATAGGAATATGCCTATAAAATACGCATAAATAGATAATGGCATTAATTAAATAGGTAATGACATTAATATAATCTCATACAGTTAAGGAACATAAGTGAATGATTAGAAGAGGACAAGATTCAGAACTGGGTGCCTGGTCACCTGGGTTCTCACCTTCCACAGGGGATGGCTCATTTTGGAGAAGAGAATGTGGTCCCTTCTTACGCCCTGCCTTGCTCTGTAGCACTGAGTCTCAGCTGAAATCGCCTAGACATCATCTTTCATCTTCTCTGGAAGATTTAAAAAAAAAAAAGAAAAGTTGGTAAAAAAAAATTGTATATTGTGACACATTTCAACAAAATGTAAAATTTGGAATGTCTATAGAAGCATTGTGGCAACAGGGATCTTTGAGACTCACAGTGAGAAATATATCCAGAAACGTGAATGACCTTCTCAAGGTCACTTAGATCTTGGTCATTGCTCTTCCCACAGCGGGTGACAACCTCTTTGGTTCATCTGATCATTTTCTCAGTATCTTCTGGTTTCTCTTCCCTGTCATCAATAGATGAGGACTGGAGAGGTGATCCTATCCAACAAGATGTCCCCTCTTACAAAGACGGCAGTGCTCCCCACCCATCTCATGGGGTTCTTGACTGTCATTTACTTTAAGAATGCATTTTAAAAATGGAATCTCTCTTTATAGATGTATAGCTAAGAGAAGGGAGAAAGGAAATAACATTGATTGAATAGTCACTGCATAGCAGGCACTTCCCTAGGGAATTGTTTGCACCCATGATTCTCATTTAATTCCCACAAGGACTCTCTGAGGTATGGCGGTTTTAATCCCATTCTACTAATTAGGATTCTAAGACTTAAAGGTATACATCAAATTACTGAGTGTTACCCAGGCTGTAGGTAGTGAGGGTACTTATACCTGGGGCATGAGATCTGCCTGGCTCTGAATTCTCCACCCTCTTTGCTTCAATATTGTGAGTATGAGTGTGTGTGTGTGTGTGTGTGTGGTGTGTGTGTGTGTATCCATGTGCATATCAGAATTCTAACATGGAAGTTAACTGTCCTTGCTGTGCATGCTTTGAATAGATCTAGGACCCTCAATACCTGACCATGCCTGTCCGATAGGATGCACTGGGCACACATCAGCTTAATCCCTGCCTTTCGCTTGGAACCAAGGGTCTCATTATTGTTGAAGGTTATCTGGCCCACCAGCTCTGATTTCTAGTAGATTTGAGGAAGGAAACATGGCCAGTCTTTTTTTGCAGTGGCAGCCTAGGTTGAATTCGTTTTCCTTTTTCATTCTAAAATCTCTTTCCTGCCTTTTCCTGCTCTACCAGGTGGTAACAGTGTTGTTTGGATCCTAGGCTACTGTTTGATTCATTTCATGGCATGAAGCCAGGGTTTATATCAGGACACCCTGGGTTTTCCCTGCGCACCTGGTTTCAGCTCTAACCAGTAGAAAATAATCATGTTTGACATTCTGAGGCCTGGAGAACAGGAACTGAGCAGAAGACCATACGGCACATATTAGAATCAGTTGCACAAGCAATCCTTTTATCTGTTAATGGCCCCTCAGATGACTCTGTTAACTCATCCTGGCTGGGAGAGAATTGCTGTTCTGAATTTATAGGCTTCCTTCCTCTCCATGGGCAGACAGGCAACCTTGGAAATACCAGTTCCGCTCAGCATCTTGGCATTCAGAATGGCTTGAAAAATCTGCCCTCTTGATAAATTACAAACACTTAATCCAGATATTGTGCTGGGTAGCAATTTAAAAGAGAAGAAAAGAAAAATGACAAGAAACAGGCCTATCGTTAGTAAAACAGCTCTTTATTGCTACAAAATTTATTTTTTCTAGCACTTCTCAAATCTTTGAAACCAGTTATGGGACAAAACTGCAGAGATTACATAGCCGCTGCTACATCTACCTTTACTAGAGTTGCCACTATCACCACTGCCACCAATAATGTTAGCATCACCATCACCATCACCACGATCACCACCATCACCATCACCATCATTACCACCAAAACCATCAACTCCACCATCACCATCATGATCACTACCACCATCACCATCAACTCCACCATCACAATCACTACTACCATCATCAACTCTACCATCACCATCACCATCAACTCCACCATCACCATCACAATCACTACCACCATCACCCTCATCAACTACACCATCACCATCATCTCCACCATCATCATCACAATCACTACCACCATCACCATCAACTCCACCATCACAATCGCTACTACTATCACCATCAACTCTACCATCATCATCACCATCAACTCCACCATCACCATCGTGATCACTACCACCATCACCATCAACTCCACCATCACCATCACAATCACTACCACCATCACCCTCATCAACTCCACCATCACCATCACCATCAACTCCACCATCATCATCACAATCACTACCACCATCACCCTCATCAACTCTACTATCACAATCACTACTACCATCATCATCAACTCCACCATCATAATCACTACTACCATCATCATCAACTCTACCATCACCATCACCATCAACTCCACCATTACCATCACAATCACTACTACCATCATCATCAACTCTACCATCACAATCACTACTACCATCATCATCAACTCTACCATCACAATCACTACTACCATCATCATCAACTCCACCATCACCATCACCATCAACTCCACCATCACCATCACAATCACTACCACCATCACCATCAACTCCACCATCACAATCACTACTACCATCATCATCAACTCTACCATCATCATCACCATCAACTCCACCATCACCATCGTGATCACTACCACCATCACCATCAACTCCACCATCACCATCACAATCACTACCACCATCACCCTCAACTCCACCATCACCATCACCATCAACTCCACCATCATCATCACTATCACTACCACCATCACCCTCATCAACTCCACCATCACAATCACTACTACCATCATCATCAACTCTACCATCACCATCACCATCAACTCCACCATCACCATCACAATCACTAGTACCATCATCAACTCTACCATCACCATCAACTCCACCATCACAATCACTACTACCATCATCATCAACTCTACCATCATCATCACCATCAACTCCACCATCACCATCACGATCACTAGCACCATCACCATCAACTCCACCATCACCATCACAATCACTACCACCATCACCATCAACTCCATCACCATCACTACTATCGTCACCATCACCACCATCATCACCATCACCATCAACTCCACCATCACCATCACGATCACTATTACCATCATCAACTTTACCATCACCATCACCATCAACTCCACCATCATCACAATCACTACCACCATCACTATCAACTCCACCATCACCATCACCATGGCTACTATCATCACCATCATCACCATCACCATCAACTCTACCATCACCATCACCATCAACTCCACCATCACCATCAACTCTACCATCACCATCACCATCAACTCCACCATCACCATCAACTCTACCATCACCATCACCATCACTACTATCATCACCATCACCACCATCATCACCATCACCATCAACTCCATCACTACCATAACCATTAATGCCATCATCATCAATGCCACCACAAGACCCCATCACCGCCACCACCACCATTATTATCATCAAAATCACCAACTGCTACCATTGTCATCACCATAACCACTATTACTAAGTACTTTGTGGGCGTCATCCAATTTAAACTCTGTGGCACTGCTAGGTGGTTGAATTTTGAAACCAGATCTGTTTGACACACAGTCTATCACCCACTACAAGAACACAAAGGAGCCAGAATATGACTCTTACTATTTCTTCTTCCTCATATTCATTATCATCTTCCTCCTCATTCTCATCACTCTCTGTTACAGTTGAGGGATGCTTTATTGTGTTTTATAAATAACTTCCTCAAATATTAAATCATTTCTTCTCCTATTATCTTTTGAAATAATTATCATGATTATAATCTTCCATGTGGGAAAACAAAGACTCAGCAAGTTAAATGGCTTATCCTTCCAATGTACCTTAGATTTAAACTTCTTTTCCTTACAATATCATAGAGGAAAGGGGTTGGAGAAAGAACACAGAGAATTCCTTTGATTCTACTCACTTGGAGCTTTGTACCCCACCCCGGCAATTCTAACTTGTTAGCTCTTGGGTGGCCCCAGGAAATCCATGACTCAAGTATTTATTTCTCATCATTTGAGCTGTTGTCATTTCTGCTCAAGCTTCATGGAAGAGATAGCACTGAACTGGGATGTGATTTTGATGGGCTGAGATGTGAAGGGAGGATTACAGACAGAGGGAGCAGAATGGCAACGTCTCAGGCATCAGAAGTCCTAAGTGGGTATTTGGGGCTGAGCTAAGCAGTCCATTTGGGCTCTTGCTTAGGAGATGATGGTGTGAACCCTGGACACCAAACTGAAAAGGTAGGTTAGAACCCCAGGAATCTCCAAATCAAACAGCTCAGATGCCTGCAGAGGTTGGCCCAGGAGGGCCTGAAGGAAGATACTGGGCCTGGGAACAGGGTGGGTTCCTGTGGCTGTGGCTACAGGAAGGAAGGCCACCTTTGAGAGGCACTGGAATGGCCCATGATGCTGGGGGTGCGGAAGGTACAGATGCCAGAGAGATGTTACCCTGAGGCTTCTCTGGATGATGCCCCTTCATGGATGACCCATGAAAGACCTGCTCTGACACTTTTCTTTCTCTGGCCTCTTGCCACCTTTTTGGTTTCTTTCTCCTTGCTGAAAACCTAATGCTTATGGTGTCTGCTTCCATAGATGTGTTTCTTTGCATTTCTCTCTTGTCTACCACGCGCCTCCTACTTGCCCATACATCTGCTCTTCCAGATCAATTGATTCAACTTTCCTGGCACAGGAACACCTCCTGAATTCATGCCTTTTACAAGTCCTGTTGTCAACTTAGGTGTTCACCTTCCTGAGCATGAGTAACGTTGTTACATAAGATCCTGGGGTCAGCTCAGGAAGCGGATTGCTGCTGAGACCTTGCTGCATCCCCAAATGGTGATTGTGTCACCCTGGAGAGGGAACTGATGCTTCATCCCCCGACCACAACGGCATCTTAATGAGTCATTCTGCTCAGTCATGGCCCAGACCTCTGCATCTCTTCTCTCTCATCCTTTCTTACCAACCATTAGATATTCCGATCTCTCCTTTCAGTCTTTCCTCTCAACACAGTTACATTGCTGGCTTGGATTCTAACTTCCGATGATTATTCACCAGGTCCTCCCACTGACCTTGAGGGAAAATGGTTTATTCATCTTGTAAATAACCGGTGACTCTCTATAGAATCCCCTGGAAGCAACTGGAGGGGGTGTCTGTCTAGATAGAAAATGGAAGGTGTCTGGTTTCCTTTCCCTGAGGAAGGGGAGCTGGCAACTCTTAGCTGTCTTATGATCAGCTTCCCGATGTCTGCATTAATCAGAGCTGGATCAGATGGATGGAGAAACCCAGTGCCTCCAAGGCTTGGCTGTCTTCTGAAGGTATCTGTGACCACATCTTGAATTCTACCTGGCAAGTATCAAGAAACTCATTGTGACCCAGACATTATCGCACCCTCCAGCCTGATGGGTTCACAGCTCAAAGGTGTGGATCCAGGGGCTTCTAAACCAGGCTCACTCACTCTCTCTGCTAGTCAACAAATCTCCAAGTTGTATCTTCCCTTCCTCCCTGATATCACTTTTCTCTAACTTTTCACTGCTATCCTCAGTGCCACCGTCATGGCTTGGGACTGCATAGTTCTCAAAGGGATGATTTATTCAGCCCACAAATGTCTATTGAATGTCCACTGTGTGGCAGGCACTGTCCTGAGCCTACAGTATATAGCATCAAACAAAACCAGAGCCCGACTCCACTTTCAGATGGCTTGTGTCCCAGTAGGGGTAGACATGCAATAAATAAGCACAAACGCCAATGGTGCATCTGGTGAGGATCCGCACTAAGGAAATTACGGCAGCGTGAGAAGACACAGTGGGACAGAGGGAGTGCTATTCTGGTGAGGCTGGCCAAAGAAGACATTCAGTTAAAGGAGCATTTCAGGAGAAACAAAATTGAATTGAAAAACTGATCTATGTGGATACCTGGGGAACAAACCCAGGCAGAAGGAAACGCCAGTGGACAGACCTTCAGTTTGGAATGCATTTGGCAGATTCAAGGTGGAGGTGGGAGGCCACTGTGGCTGGAGGTGGGAAAAAAGTACATGGAAATGAGAAGAGGGTTGGAGGAAATGAGGTCATGGAGGGCAGGCTGGAGGTCATTAAAGTTCTGCTCTATGTGAGCTGAGAGGCATTGTAGTGTTTTGAGCAAAGGAGATGTGACATGATTTATGTTTTAATGATATCATCCTGGCTGCTTTGAGGGGAAAAGTGCAATGGCCAAGTGTGTTAAGGGAGGCACTGTTTAGAAGGCTACTGCAGTGGTTCTGGGGAGAGAGAATGGTGCGCTGGTCCAAGGCAATGTTATGGGTTATGCTGGGCAGTGAGAGAAGCAACTTGAACAGCCTTAATCCATCCTCCCTGTTGCTCCCAGGGTGTGCCTGAGTTGGAGATTCCGGGACAGTAGAGAAAAGCAAGAGTCACCAAGGGGCAGAGAGAAGAGGGCCAGAGTTGCTGAATGAGAGGAGAGGACGATATCAAGTTTTACAATCTCACAGATACACTTAGAGTTATTTTGTAGAAAGCATCCCTTTTAATTCTTCAGAGCCCTGAGAAGCCAGCAATATTGGTACAGGCTTCAAGTCTGCATAGAACTGGGTGTGATCTGAACTCTGCCCCTTACTAGCTGTGCAACAAGAGAGACATGAGGTCTGAGCCTCGATTTGCACACTCGTCAATGGGATGAGAACATGGGCATTCCAGGGTCCTCTTGCAGAGTAAATTAGGAAAGGATCAGGTGGGAAGAACTAGAAAGAGAGTTTGCCGTGAAATAGACACTCAAAAAAATGTAGATCTTATCAAGGTCTTATTTTACTTTCAATTCTTGATTGTAGTGCTTTTATTTAATCAAGAAAACCACCAGGACAATGCCAAAAAGGGCTGTATTCTGTTCTTCAGATAACCTCTGTTATACAATATATGCCATTACCACATTATGTAAATTAAACTAACCAACACACACCTTACCCCTATTTAAGGAGATGGCCTCAGGTCACCCCACAACATCACCCTGCTGGATACTGAACATGTATGCACTGAAGCGTGGATTCCCACAGCAGAAGAGCAGAAACGCCCTAAGTAACCTACCTAGCCACGAGGAGGGGGTTGTTTCAATGCATCATGCCTCATTTGCACAGGGAAAACCATGCACTTGTATAAAGGATACCAGCAACTCTCCATGTGATATGGGATGTGGCTTAGATAAATTAAATGGAAACAAAGAAGCAAAGTTTAACAGGTTGAATGGCAAGCTGAAGTCTGTGAAGAAACGGGGGACGGGGGAGTGTGTGTGTTGGTGTGTGTGCGTGTGTAAGGCTTACCAATGCATAAAATCTCTCTGGGAAAATTAACCAGCATCTAGTAAGATTAGTTGTTTCCAAGGAAAGGAACTGAGTGGCTGAGACTGGGATTAAAAGGAGACTTTTCTTGGGTATACCTTTCTGTATCTTTTGAACATGGGTCCATGAGTTACCGAACACATTTAAGTTACAGAGCTGGGATCCCAAGCCTTACTGCTGACCTCAGAAAAAGCCTGAGTCCTTTTTCTGATCCCACATTGTTCCTCTGTGGGGCACTCCTGAGGGACAATTGTTAATCTGGGAGGTTGAGAGTAATAAAGACCCAAATGTCCACCGAGACTCATTATTAAACCCCCTCTGGTTGACAATTGCCTGCTTGTTAATTTTAGCTTCTTCTTTTACACTCAGGGGAAGAAAGGTGACATGGGACCACCTGGAATCCCTGGATTGCTGGGGCTGCAGGTAACTACCTTTTACATTCTCTTCCATAGCAACGCTGCTTTTCTCTGATTAAATAAATGACCAGGCAGCAGCTCTCAGGTGGGCAGCCAGAATCCTGCTGGTCACCTCATCAAACTATTAAAAAGAACAGCCAGTGGGTCACGTGTCCTCCCTCCCTCCTCCTGTGCTGTCCTGTGTGGGAGCTGAATGGCCATTGTTGGCTATCCTGAAGGAATTTCCATCTGGAGGCAGATGGGGGTGATAAAAGTGATGAGCAGTCCTAGGAGAAAGGGAAGTGCTGGGAGGCGAAGGGGGACCCCAGGACGAGGTGGTGGGGAAATCAGTCATGAAGAGGCTTGTCTCGCCTTGGCAGACAAGGCACTGCCAGCCAGGCTGGAATGAGCGGAGGGAGGGCCTTCCCTGGGGCACAGCTCTGCAGGGACCTGGTGGGCCGCAGCGCAGCGCTGGGCAGGAATGGAGCAGCATGTGGTGCCGCTGGAGCACAGGGCATGGAGCAGCAGGGGTAGGAAGATGAACCCAGTGAGAGTTGTAAGGGGATCAGCCACAGAGGCCAGAAAACCAAAAGGGCGGCCACTATCATAGGAGCTAAGAGGCCTGGGTTTGGGTCTCAGTCTGTCCTCCAAAACACTGGGACATTGGCCAAGTCCTTCCCCTGCTCAAACTGAGATGGGGCCTCAGTTTCCCCATCTGTAAAATGATGGGGTTAGGGCCCCAGTCTCAGAGGCCTCTGTTCCTAGGCAGGTGCTGTTCTCGCTCCCTGGATTCTCTGCCTCCTCCTCCTTCTTCCAGCTTCTCTGGGTCTCTTAGGACTCAGTTCTGGTGTAGCTTCCTCTGTCCTCATACTTGGCCCAACTCCCACAGGCCATACTTGGCTCTGCTTCCACAGGTCCAGCTGTGCCATCCTAGTGCCGGCCATGTGGATCCTGACACCCACCCATCTAGATAGGCACCCTCAGGGTCCTTGTCCCCATGTCATAGATGAGGGGTGAGGCTCCAGGCGCAGAGGGCTTCACTCAGGGCCACCCTCTGCTAGGCAGATGCCTGGCTTCAAATCCCTTCCTCCCTGCATGACCGAGGCCCTAAACTGTCTTAGTCTTCCTTATTTTCAAATGCAGCATCACCATGGGTCCCCCACAGGGTACCACAGTGTGGACAAAACATGGCAAGCCCCTGAAGCTCTCTGCCGGGCCTTTGCAGTGTACAGAATTCCCTTCATCCTTTCTTTGAGCCCCCCACCCACCAAAGCTTCACTCCTGTCCCCTGATCTGGGCCTCCCCTGGCATCAGTAAGTTCATGCTGAAGCAGGATCAGCAAGCAGAAGGCACAGAAGGAACCCAGTGCTCAGCTCTCGCCATAAAAAAGGAGGGCACACCTGAAGGTTGAGGAGAAGAGCAGTGACTATGAGAGGTGATAATGAGGTCCTGAGGCATAGCGCACAGGGGGTAGACAGATGTGGCTGTCCCTGTTCCCCTGGCCTCTTTGGCACCAAGCAGGTGGGCACAAGTCACTGCTGGGCTCTTCCGTTTGGTCCTCCTGGAGCTGTGGTAAAGCAGCTGGCTTCAGCACCACTCGGGACTGGACAGCCCCACCTCCACACCAGATTCCCCGGGGTGGCGGTCACACTGTCCGTCCCTCGTTGGCAGGGAGGCACTCATCCCGAAAACACTGCTCACTGCACTTCAGAAGCCAGTTTTTCCTACTGGCTGACATGAAAGCACTCTAGTGAAAGATGGCACCTTGGATGCAATCTGAGACTTCATTTCTGCACCCTTGACTCAGGTCAGGATGCAGCAGGGAATAAGAATATACGATCCATCATAATTCACAGTGTTCTAAAGATTTCACATTCACTGTGGCATTTTGCTATTAATAATGAAAAATAGAGTGGGTTTTGCCTTATGTTTTATTACCTTGCTTCATAGTGAGTCAACCTTGTGTATTTTAAAATTCACCATCAATGCAGCTCGATCAAATTATTTTAAGCTATAATTTTTCCCCCTACAACTCTTTGTTTGTTTTCTGGGAAAAGAGATTTCGTTCTTTCATTTTTAACTTTGAAGTCATTTTCATTCAGTGAATCTTTACTGAAGGCCAGACATTGAGCTGTGTGCTATAGATATAAATATTACCAGGCTTTCATGGCAGGGAGTAGCACCCTGTAATTGTGCACCCTGATGTGTTCAGGGATCTCAGTGGTTCAGAACCAGGCAATATAGCATTTGCAGTATGTACCACCTGGTGGCCTGGATGGGGCCACTGCCTGATGGAATCGAAGCTGTGTTCAGGTCAGCCACTCTTACGCTAAGAGGCCAGGTTTCTTTTTCTTCAAAGTTTAATTTTATTTTACTGTAAGTTCTGGGATGCATGTGCAGAACGTGCAGGTTTGTTACGTAGGTATGCATGTACCATGGTGGTTTGTTGCACCTATCAACCCGTCATCTAGGTTTTAAGTCCCACATGCATTAGGTATTTGTCCTAATGCTCTCCCTCCCCTTTCCCCCAACCCACTGACAGGCCCCAGTG